>NC_000018.10:77249728-77551084 GCF_000001405.40 Homo sapiens
GCAGAGGCGAGCGCGCTCCGGTTCCAGCCGGGAGGTGGGCGGCGACCCATCCCGCTAGAATCCGTCCAGTCTCTGCTCGCGCACCGTGACTTCTAAGGGGCGCGGATTTCAGCCGAGCTGTTTTCGCCTCTCAGTTGCAGCAGAGAAGCCCCTGGCACCCGACTCTATCCACCACCAGGAAGCCTCCCAAAAGAGCTCTCGCCCTGTGGACGACTCGGAATCCCTGGAAAAGCCGGGAGGGAGTCGGAGGCGCCAGCCCACTGGGGAGGTGGCGCTGGGCGCGCGGGATGCGCGGGGAGCCTTCTCTGCAGGAGCCGCACAGTGCACTGCTGCGCGCTGGGCAGTGCGGGGAAGCGCCGCGGGAAGGAGCGGCTCCGAGCAACAGGTGCAGCACGCAGCCCCTCCGGGAGCCAGGGAAAACCGCCGGCGAAGATCTGGAGCGGTAAGGCGGAGAGAAGGGTCTTTCCACCTGCGCGGCTGCAGCCGGCGGATCCCTCTTCCCAGGCTCCGTGGTCGCGCAGCGGGCGGAGGCGCCCGGGAAGGGGACCCCAGTGCTCTCGAGATCACCGTCCCTTCCCGAGAAGGTCCAGCTCCGGGCTCCCGAACCCACCCTCTCTCAGAAGGTCCCGGCGCAAAGACGGTGCCACCAGGCACGGCCACCGGATCCCCGCTCCCGCTGGCTCGCGCCTCGGGGGAAGCTCAGACTCCTAAACTCGCACTCTCCGTGCTTTGCGCCGGGACCCCTGGCCACCCCCGGCGCCTACTATCCCGCCCTCCCTCCCCGCGCGCCCCGCCGCTCGCCGGGACAGCCCCGCGGGCCATGGAGCTGGCGGTCGGGAACCTCAGCGAGGGCAACGCGAGCTGGCCGGAGCCCCCCGCCCCGGAGCCCGGGCCGCTGTTCGGCATCGGCGTGGAGAACTTCGTCACGCTGGTGGTGTTCGGCCTGATCTTCGCGCTGGGTGTGCTGGGCAACAGCCTAGTGATCACCGTGCTGGCGCGCAGCAAGCCGGGCAAGCCGCGGAGCACCACCAACCTGTTCATCCTCAACCTGAGCATCGCCGACCTGGCCTACCTGCTCTTCTGCATCCCCTTCCAGGCCACCGTGTACGCGCTGCCCACCTGGGTGCTGGGCGCCTTCATCTGCAAGTTCATCCACTACTTCTTCACCGTGTCCATGCTGGTGAGCATCTTCACCCTGGCCGCGATGTCCGTGGACCGCTACGTGGCCATCGTGCACTCGCGGCGCTCCTCCTCCCTCAGGGTGTCCCGCAACGCGCTGCTGGGCGTGGGCTGCATCTGGGCGCTGTCCATTGCCATGGCCTCGCCCGTGGCCTACCACCAGGGCCTCTTCCACCCGCGCGCCAGCAACCAGACCTTCTGCTGGGAGCAGTGGCCCGACCCTCGCCACAAGAAGGCCTACGTGGTGTGCACCTTCGTCTTCGGCTACCTGCTGCCGCTCCTGCTCATCTGCTTCTGCTATGCCAAGGTGCACGCCGGTCGCGGGGCCGAGACGCGCGAGGGAGGGCGGAGGGCCGGTGGGGGCCCTGGGGTCTCAGTGTCCCGCGGCCCTGCCGGAGCCTTGGCGGCAGCCTGGCCCCGGTGGTCCCCACTCTGGCGGCGCTGGTACGGATCTGTGCAGAGAGGCTTCCTGGCCGCTGCTGGAGCGTGCCATTGGCTTGCGCAAGAAAGTTACTTGGAGTCTGAGAGATGCTGGGGAAAGTTTGCAGTTCACTTCGCATGGTCCAGTAGAACCAGTTTCTCCTCCCCTCCCCTTCCTCGGCCCTGCGGCCCTTCAACGCCCCCAGGTTGCCTGGGCGGTAGGTAGGCGGGCGCTGCCGCATCCTTCCCGGTACAGCAAACCCCGCTCGGTTCCAGCAACTCTTCAACCAGATCAGCTGCGCGGGGAGGTTACCGCCGCGGCGCTGTGGGACCTGAGGAGAGCTCTGGTGGTCACCAGAGCGCGGACCTTTTGCGAGGGTGACGGGTCCCCACAGCTCCCTCCCGGGCTCTCAGCTGGCCGTGGCGGGGGGGACTCGCGGGGCGGCCCCTCTCCCCCGGGGTGCGCAGTTTGCCCTCGCTCCGAAGGCTTTGCGCACACCGGGCTCTGTGAAGCCGCTGCTCCCGGGGACAGAGCCTCGAATTTTATTTTATTCTGAAGCTTAGCTTTGTAAACCCAAGTGCAAAAGGGTGTTTCTTTACAGAGTCTTGACCGCAGGCTCCAGGAACTTGGAATGGAATGGACTCGAGCTTTCGGCTTCCCCATTTCAATCCTTTTTAGAAAGGTCTCCTGAACAGGGTGAAGTGGTTGAGGCGGCGGGTCTTCACCCTAACTGTAGCAGAGGCACCGTCCACGCGTGTGGGAGATAGTTTTTCCCTTTGTACAGCCGGGCAGAGCTCAGCACTCACATTCTTTTTCTCATTAAGTCCACAAGGGTTTGAAGACTTTATACTGATCAAAACGTCTTCAGCCTTTGACATACGTGTTTTTATTTGCGTAAACGGGAGCTTATTTTAATAATCAGGTGATGGCGATTCACCGGGTAAACCCTAATGTGCGCAACCTCCTCGCTCCAGAGCATCGCCATTTGAAATACAGCTGTTACCAGTTCCACCCGACTTCACCGCTGTCTCTCATTCTGTTTCAATAAGGCTGTGACTATACGACCACAAATAACCTGACTAGGTAGAACAACTATCACTTTTAATACTCAAGTCACAAGGTATTTTTATCAACAAAAGTGTTTACTATAAGCCACCTGTTTCCCCCCACCTATTTCATCTAGGTAGATTGTGTCTATTTTGAATAATAATATTGCTGGATATTATCTGAACGGCCTGCACCAAAAGGTTAAATATGAAGAAATACAGTACCACTTTGGGAGGCCGAGGTGGGTGGATCACCTGAGGTCGGGAATTCGAGACCAGCCTGACCAACAGGGTGAAACCCCGTCTCTACTAAAAATACAAATATTAGCTGGGTGTGGTGGCGGGCCCCTGTAGTCCCAGCTACTCCGGAGGCTGAGACAGAAGAATTGTTTGAACCCAAGTGACGGAGGGTGCAGTGAGCCGAAATCGTGCCACTGAACTCTAGCCTGGCTGACAACGGAGCGAGACTCTGTCTCAAAACACCACCACCACCACCACCACCACCATCACCACCACCACCATCACCACCACCACCACCACCACCACCATCACCACCACCACCACCACCACCACCATCACCACCATCACCACCACCATCACCACCATCACCACCATCACCACCACCACCACCACCACCACCACCACCACCATCACCACCATCACCACCACCACCACCACCACCAATATAGTAGCAGTAAGGGAATTTGGAAAAGAACTCTAGCTTAGCTATTTGGAAAATGGCTGGTTTATTAACGTGGTCTTCCGCAGATGCTAAACAAAGGCTATCTTACATAGCACAATTATCTGATATGTGCACCATCTCATTTAATTTGCACAACTCTGTGGCTTGGAGCTATTTTATTATTTACCCGTATTTTATTATTTAAGGAAAAAGAGCTTTGGAAAGGAACACCTGACCCAGATTATGAAGCTGGTGAATGATTCTGGAAGGATTTTAACACAGGGATTCCCAGTCTTCTGAGGACGGGACAGTTGGTGAGGCCTTGAGGACATTGAAGTCTGAGATTGAGATTCTTAACATATATGGCTGTTAAGTTCCTAATTACTGTGGAGAACTGAAGCACACGCTTCCTTATTTCCCCAAAGCCTTCAGGGAGAAGAGCTAAAATCTTCTTACTGGAAATGACAAAGTAAGATTTTAGGAGTAAATTGAATTCAGCATAATATTCATAATATTTGCAAGTTAATTTCAGGGCTGTCATGGATAGGTGGAGATTTCAGTTATTTCAAGTTGATTTTCTTTGGCTCAGGCATTAGGTGTGCACCATCCAGTTAAGGATTTTGCTACTTGAGTATTAGTTTCAGGATTAGCTGTTCCTCCAAACCCCAGGCCTTTTGGATAGCCTGAAAAAACACAGATGGCTAAAAGGGAACCTGAGGTTATGATGCTTTAAATAAACAAAAAAACTTAAGACAATTGCATTCCAGAGTTGCCTTTTGCCTCCAAATTCTCACAAGTTTGTAAGGGAGCAGTCTTTTGCACCAGACAGTTTCTGGGAAACTCATCGAATACATGGGTGGGAGGATGAGTCGAAGTGGTCTGCCCAGTGCCCCCTGAAGAGCCCTCCCCTCTGCTGCTATGGAGCTGTTCTTCACCAGGTCTGTGCCCCTCGCTCACTTCCCTTAGAGTGAATTACTGTCCAGAATCTCCTTGGTCTACCATGAGGATAAACTCAATGGGCCCACTCGACTAAGTTACTCCGAATCCCCAGGATGTAGCCAGCAGGACCTGGGTTTGGTTTGAGCTAGCACCTTCCTGTGCACACTCAGAAATTTACAGACTCACCAAGAGACCCCAGTATGTTATTATCACTCTCTTCTTAAACGTCGTCATACCCTATCATGGTACCTACATTCTTCCTCCTTTGCTGCTGAGACCTTCAGTGGGGTGCATCATAATATATCATTCTGTGCTCATAGTAGGAGCTATTGAAGAGAAGCAGAGCTAATAAAAATAGACTTGAGTATTTTCTCCATTGACCATTTAACAGCATTCAACATTCTTGGGTGTTTTGAAGTGGCTGAGCTGTGATCCGAATTCCTTTTTGGAAGGAACAATTGGAGCTCGGCAGCGTTATGAAGCTGGTCACATTTGGACATTTTGTTGTGATTTGTCCAGGTGTCCCTCTTTGATTTTGCTTGTGCGGCCTCTCCTGTTGTCTCTCCTGTGTCCTCAGTGACCAGTGTTGTCCTGTGGTTTCCCATTGGGAAGGCTGCCACTGAGCCATCTAGGCAGTCCTGTCCTCTTGGGCAGGGTCCTGCCTCCTCCAGCCCTTTCCTTCCCCTTTGAAACGCTCTCATTTGCTCCTGCAGGAAATCCCTGTTCTGTCGTTGCCTTGCATTCAGGTTTTGATACTCCCATTTCGGCTGGTAGAACAGTAAACTAACACCTTGTCAATGTATTGAGTGTTTTCCCAAATGCTCCTGCGGCACGTAAACACTTGTTTTGTTGCAGATGTTGCTGAGTCATTTCAGGAAGTGGGAAGCATTTCGGTAGGGGAGAGAATTTAAAGTCAGAAATTCACGTCCCTGGGGTGGCTGCTTGTTCACCTGCATAGGGCCTGGGCAGCTGGTAAATATATCCTGTGGCTTCCAAGTAAGGTGTGACTAATTGCTCTGAAAGTGCCTCATCTGGCTGAATGGAGCAGGCTTTTGCAATAAGTTCAATTCGATTAAATTATTTCCATGCTACAGGGAACAAAGAACTGGTTGGAACATGGCTTCCGGTTCCTTGAGAGACTTCTCAGCAATCTACAGATGCTCTAAAGCACTTAGTCGCCCTGGGGCTAGATTTTCTCTAGATTTTTCCCTCAGATGGGATATAGCAATGAACTTAAGTGACAGTTCTGCAGGCTTGACAACGTTGTCTAAGACCAAATATATGTTGGAAATTCCTACATCTAAAACCCCACATTTTCATATCATTTCTCCTGAGTATTACACTGGCAAGAAAAGACAAAAATAGTTTCTGTAATTGAGGGAGTCAGTGTGTTTCAAGGAGATTCCCTGACAGGGACATTAATTGTCAAACCTTGCAAAAATGTTCTGTAAATCATCAGTGACGCTGAATCCCCAATAAGTTGTCTGAAAGCACAGCACAGTGGGTAGGATTTGAATAAAGAATGAAAGGAAGCCTGATGGGAGGTGATTTGCCATACGGAGAATTGCAGTGGAGGCAGCCCATAAGAGGAAGGAGAAAGAATATTTTGGCACAAACGCTGGCAATATTTGGGTTGGCTGCACTGAAGAAATGTCTGATGATATTATCTTCATTTGTTTACTTGCCTGCTTTCCGCATCAGATGGTGAATTTTGGAAGGGCAAATCTCTAGTTTTTCGATGCATCCAGGATCTAACTTTGTGCCTGACATGTAGCAGGGACCTGGTGTTTATTAATATATGGGGTCCTGGAAGAAACCAAGGAAGACAATAGTGTAATAAGCACACCTGAGTGGGTCATGGCATGGCTGTTTCTGGGCAAAACCCCAGAGCTCCACGCCCTGGGCATTCTCTGCAAACAGGTGCTATGGCTGTGAACTTGTCTGGCTGTGCATCAGCCTTCCTGGCTGCTCCTAAGTGTTAGAAAAGAATGTATTTGGCAACTCATGTTCATTGTTACCTAATTACCTAATTTGAGTTTTTATTTTAATGATCTTATAAATAGTGATGTTACCATTTCAGCATGTCAATAATTGTTAATGCAACATAGGCAGTGGGTTATGAGAGGTGAGGCGAACTGATTTCAATAGTCTGTGTCTTTCAGGTCCTTAATCACTTGCATAAAAAGTTGAAGAACATGTCAAAGAAGTCTGAAGCATCCAAGAAAAAGGTAATGATCACAAATATATATATATATGTTACTTTTCAGAGCTTAGTTTACCTTTGTTTTTTTTACTTGTCCTCACGTCCATCCAAAGCCTGTAACATTTAGGACCCTTGGTGTGGCTAAGGAGGTTTGAGATGAGCCTCCCACCGTTAGGATGGGAATGGAGGGTCGGCCTTGGCAAGGGCACCGTGGGTCACTCCGTGCTGCATTCAAACTTAGCTGAAGATCTGGGGAGATGAGGAAATGCGGATTCTGCTGATTGTGCGCCTCACCAGGAGGTGAGTGCACTTAGGTTGACTGAGACAGAGTGCAGAGTGCAGAGTTGCTGACATGCATACTTAGAGGGAAAGTATAGTCATTTTGTTTTATGTTTTCAATCTCTGATGTGATTCCGAAAAGCCCTGGTTTGGTTCTTGTTTAAGACAACATTGTTATAATCCCTCCCTAAAGCCACCAGAGTGCTGGGCCATTCTTGCCTCTTTCACCCACATGTGCTGACTCTGACCCGGCAGGTAAAGACTGAAGAGTGGACAAGGCTGAAAGCAGATTCCTCCCGTTGCTAACTGACTTTCTCATCCCCCAGCCCCGATTTAAACAAGCTTCTCCTGAGTGGTATTACAGCATCTAACTTATTGATGGTCATGATATTCTACATTTTGGGGGAAAACTATTTCACAAATCAAGGTTAAATGAACTCTTACTCAGAAAATATCTATATAGCTTCTAATTTTAGGAAGTAGAATGAGATTATTAGGCAATATGACTAAGGAGTAGGAGGTTATAACCAGATATTTTAACCCAAAAGTGTAATAATAACATCTTAAAATACCTTGTTTTTTCCTTATATTTATTATGATCAATGACATACCTAATTTATAGAAATTATAGTTTAGATCATGTTTAATCATGTTTACTTAAAAATTCTACTTGAATAAAGGACAGCTCTTCCTGACTTTCCTTCTTTATGAACAGTAATGTGGCTAAAAAGCCATCTGATAGTCCAGAGTCAAAACCAGTGGTAGAGAATTGGTTATAGAGCACAAACATTAAGACTTTTTTTTTTCCCTGGCAGCAAAAAATTAGCTTATGTTAGAAATGCAATCATACAGTGTTTAGGATAACCACCTAAGAATACAAGGTGCAGTATAAATAACAAGACCATGCTATGGCTTTATTCCATTGATCCTTTCTTACATCTGAACAATTATTATGAATATTTCATTTTAGGCATCTAGGCCCCGCATTAGAGCAGCTGACCAAGTGCTAAGTTATATGAATGGAATAAACCCTGTAAGTTGGTGCTTTCCTCCTCTCTTTTTAGTGATGTGCTGTTATGGTAGAGATTTTCCATTTTTCTGGTATATCTATTGATTTTTCCTCTGAGTCACACTTCTTATTTCTAAGACAATGGTTCTTTAAAGACAATTAAGGATAGTTTCTGACTTCTCCTAGGACAGTTATTTTTAGAGCACCTGCTCTGTGTAGGACCAAGCCGATCCAGGGGATTCTAAGAGGAACTGGCTCCGCATGGAAGCCAACATTGTAATGGAAGAGATCAATGTGTGAGTCCCAGAGGCCTGTTCAAGGGGGCAGTGTTTGGAGCATCAGGGAAGGGAGAGATTAATTTCCCTTGGGAGGGATTGGGCTCGTCAAACTTTAACTGAGAAGACACCATTGATCTGTGATAAATGTGTGTTAATGATTCAAAAGATTTTATGCTTACCAAAAGAAATAAAACCAAACATTTATTTAACATTTGCTGAATCTTACTTGTGTCGATGGTAGTTTTAGTCTCCATATTTGAAAAAGTATTGGAGAGAAATTGTGAAGGTCTCAGAGAAGAACAAAATACTGAAAAAATAGGTCTTATAAAAATGATTAGAAAAGCTTCTATTTTATTTTACAATAAAAAACCTAAAGATCAGTGATTAGTTCAGTCATTAGTTATATACACATACACATATATACACAAATATTTAGATTTATGTGAGTATATGTATATATAATACATATGTGCTTACATATATACATATACTAAATATATCTATATAAAATTATCTTTTGCTTATTCTTACCATGAGGATCTAGCATTTGAAGAAGGGATGAAGATTTTCTTTTTCGTTTTCACAGCCTCTGACCCTTAACAGCTACTGAACAGATGTCAGATCTTTGTTGATGTATTTAATTGCCTCCTTGTTTGCACAGAATAAATAAATGTGGTGGTGGTGGTGGTGATGATGGTGGTGGTATTGGTGGTGGTGATGGTGGTGGGTGGTAGTGGTGGTGATGATGGTGATCATTGTGGTGATGGTGGCGATTGTGGTGGTGATGGTGGTGGTCATAGTGGGGGTGGTGGTGGTCATGGTGGTGATGGTGGTGGTCATGGTGGTGATGGTGGTGGTGGTGATGGTGGTGATGGTGGTGGTGGTCATAGTGGTGGTGGTGGTGGTCATGGTGGTGATGGTGATGGTGGTGGTGGTCATGTGATGGTGGTGCTGGTGATGGTGGTGATGGTGATGATGGTTATGGTGGTGATGATGGCAATTGTGATAGTGATGGTGGTGGTGGTGGTGGTGATGGTGGTGGTGGTCATAGTGGTGGTGGTGCTGGTGATGGTGGTGATGGTGGTGGTGATGGTGGTGGTGATGGTGGTGATGATGGTGGTCATAGTGGTGATGGTGGTGGGCGGTAGTGGTGGTGATGATGGTCATGGTGGTGATGATGGTGGTCATGGTGGTCATGGTGGCGATTGTGGTGATGGTGGTGGATGGTGGTGGTGGTCACAGTGGTGGTGGTGTTGGTGTTGGTGGTGGTCATGATGGTCATGGTGGTGATGATGGTGGTCATGGTGGTCATGGTGGCGATTGTGGTGATGGTGGTGGATGGTGGTGGTCACAGTGGTGGTGGTGTTGGTGGTGGTCATGGTGGTCATGGTGGTGATGATGGTGGTGATGATGGTGGTGATGATGGTGGTGATGATGGTGGTCATGGTGGCGATTGTGGTGATGGTGGTGGATGGTGGTGGTGGTCACAGTGGTGGTGGTGTTGGTGTTGGTGGTGGTCATGGTGGTCATGGTGGTGATGATGGTGGTGATGATGGTGGTCATGGTGGCGATTGTGGTGATGGTGGTGGATGGTGGTGGTGGTCACAGTGGTGGTGGTGTTGGTGTTGGTGGTGGTCATGGTGGTTATGGTGGTGATGATGGTCATGGTGGTGATGATGGTGATCATGGTGGTGATGGTGGTGATGGTGGCGATTGTGATGGTGATGGTGGTGGTGGTGATGGTGGTGGGTAGTGATGGTGGTGGTGGTCATAGGGGTGGTGGTGATGGTGGTGATGATGGTGGTCATGGCAGTGATGGTGATGGTGGCGATTGTGATGGTGATGGTGGTGGTGGCGATGGTGCCAGTGGTGGTGGTGACAGTGGTGGCAGTGGTGGTGGTGGCAATAGTGATGATGATGGTGGCAATTGTGGTGATGGTGGTGATGGTAATGGTGGTGGTGGTATGTGTGTGTCTAAGAAAGAGATGGGAGAGAGGAGCAGAGAAAGGGTAAGAAGAGGGTGTGGAAGCAGAGGCGTGATGAGAAGGGAGGTGGCGGAGAGAGGGGGACAGAGGCAGGAGAGGTGAGACAGGGGAGACTCGGGAAGGAAAGCAAGAATACATGGCAACTTCCCTGAAGACAGGAACTGGGTTGGTCCATCGTGGGTATTTCCCCAGGTCTCAGCACAGAAAATTGCTACTGGTGCACACGTGTTCATCATTTGATTGGTAATGGAAGATGTGACAGGGATTTGGCTACTTGTTTCCAGCCCTTTCTCTCAATGTATAAGTAAAGTTCCCTTTCTCAGCTCTGTATCCACTGGTCTTAGTACGTTCAGGCTGCTTTAAGAAAATACCATAGTCTGGGTGGCTCATAAACAATGGAAGTTTATTTCTTGCAGTCCTGAAGCTTGGAAGCCTGAAATCAAGCTCCTGCAGATTCAGTGTTTGGTGAGGGCCGTTTTCTGGTTCATAGATGGCCCCTTCTCTCTGTATCCTCACAGAGTGGAAGGTGAAAGGCAGCTCTCTGCGCCCTCTTTCATAAGGGGACTGGTCCCATTATTCATAGGGTGGGAGGTGTAAGGCAGCTCTCTGGGCCTCTTTCAAAAGGGCACTAGTCTCTGTGTCCTCATAGGGTGGGAGGTGTGAGGCAGCTCTCTAGGCCCCCATTCATAAGGGCACGGATCCCATTATGAGGGCTCCCCCCACCTCATGACCTAATTACCATCCAAAAGCCCCACCTGTTAATACCATCACCTTGGTGATTAGGTTCCAATTTATGAATTTTTTGGACGGGGTGGGGACATAAACTTTGAGATGGTGCCGCCGTCCATACGGGGCTTTCCTGTTGAGAGTTATAATTATTATGGGGTGGGGAGATTGGTCTTTCATGATAAACATGCTAACAGTTATTCTCCATGTTTGGAGCAAGTGCAAAAGAAGAATAGGATTTCTACTGCAGGAATAAAGGGCTAGGATTGATCACATGCTTTTCTTAAACTCTGCTAGACATAAAGAAATGTTTCTGGCTCAAAGCTGATTGTTAAAACCTTGGAAGACCTCAAAATGGGATAGACACCCATACTGGATGGTTGCTTCCTGGAGAAAATTGGATTAAAGGACCTCTTGATGTCCTATCAAGCCACTGGGTTCTTTTAATGTTTGCTTTTTTTGTTGTTTCTTTGGCTTAAAGTAATTCAGTAAGGTTTTTGGATGTCATTTATACAATTTGTGAGGTTTTTTTTTTTTTTATCATTCTCACCTTTTATTCAGTTCTTTTCTCCCCAGCCAAATTCCATTAGACATATTGTGAGTAAAATTCTTTGAAGAAAGAACAGACATCTCAGATGATTTGAAAAAGAGCATCTCACAATAAGAAGAGAGACTAATATTTTTTCAGATACTTTCAGCAGAAGGAGCACAAAGAAACCATGCTATTAAAAGACCTAAACTCAAGTGTAAGAAGAATTTGTATAAAGATTTAGCACATAATTTTAAACAATAATTTTTTCTCCATCAAAAGATAATGTTGAGATTCTATACGCTAAATAGACAAAGGAGGGAAGCAGTGCACACACAGGGGACATGCCCGTCTGACGGAGACGGAGGACCCTGTAAGAGAGTAGAAAGAATCACGTCATAAATAAATTTTAAAAATCAGCCTCGTCCTCCACAGAGGGGAGTTCTCTATGTTACTTTCTCTGCGCTGTATCCACTGGTCTTAGTCTGTTCAGGCTGCTATAAGAAAATACAACAGCCTGGATGGCCCATAAACAACGGAAATGTATTTCTTGCAGTCCTGGAGTTTGGAAGTCTAAAATCACGCTCCTGCAGATTCAGTGTTTTGTTACTTTCTGATGTTACTTTCTGATGTTTCCATGGGAAAGACAGGAAGGAAGTGGCTTTTCCAGCCCTTTCTAAGGAAAGGAGATGCTTCAGCCTTAGGGGTTGATACCAAGCATTTTTTATTGCCTTTAAATTGAGGTGGGGAAGACAACTTTCCTTTTGTTGTGACTTTTATGTAATTCATCAGTGGTTCTCCAAACAGTTTCTTGAGCTCCTTTTAAATTTATTTTTAGGGATGGGGTCTTGCTTTGTTGCCCAGGCTGGGGTGCAGTGGTGTGATCATAGCTCACTGCAGCCTCAACTTTGTGGGCTCAAGAGATCCTCCCACCTCAGCCTCCTGCATAGCTGGGACTACACGTGCACACTGCTGCACCCGGCTAAGTTATTTGAAAACATTTTTTAAAGGTGGGGACTCAGGATGTTGTCCAAGCTGGCCTAGAATGCCTGACCTCAAGCGATCCTCCTGCCTCAGCCTCCCAAAGTGGTGGGATTACAGGCATGAGCCACTGTTATCTGGCTGAGCTTTTTAAAAAGGCAGATTCCTGGGTAACTAGTAAACTCTACCAATTGCTTTAAAGCCATAAGAGATGAGGTATAGCTATCCGAATTAAAAAAAAAAAAAAAAGCTTTGCACTGGTTGAGGATGGGCATACTAACCTACTTAAATCCCAGGGTTGAAATTAGTACACGTGCATTATTTTGCCAGATCTTTAACTTTGAGCGTGTCTATGCTAGGCATATATCGTTTCCCGAGTTTGACAGTGTGGAGCAGTAGTAAATCAAAAAAGATGGTTTTCCACTGGCATGGAACTTCTTGCCCCGTGTCCCATCTTCTACCAGCATCCGTTGCAAGGGAAGAATGAAGACAAAAATCATCTACTGTTTTCAACCATGCACATGGGTGTATTTGCCACATTGTCATTGCTACGACTGAATTGGACTCACCTCAAAGATAGCAGGACCAGGTGCCCAGGGCCTGTTTGCATGGAGTTGGCTTTTACCAACCAGGAGGCCTTCAACTTCAATGGCCTGAGATGCTTGATAAACAAGAAAATAGTAATCCCCTGGAGATATTTAGCTGGGAGGATAGTCAGTGTTGACAGGCCTTCTATTAAACTCTTTTGGGAACAATCTGAGACAGATGATATAGTTTATGCAAATACCCATTAAGCCTTCTTTCCTGATATTTATGTTGCAAACTGTAATTCCATCTCATTTCAAAGCTGCTGGTAAACCAAGAAAAAGAACCTGATTCTTATCCATGGCTCTAAGAGCAATGGGACTAGTAAAAATTAAAAGGTAAACTTGGAATGAGTCACAGACACACAAAGTTAACAAACACTGCCAGAGAAAACACTCCGGCCTCAGGGCACACTACCATTTGCCCTGTGGATGTTGATAAGGCATAGATCTTATCAGTAAGCTGCTGGGATAGATTTCTGCTTTGTACTTAGTAAAATTGTCTAAAAGAAACAATGAAATGCAATACCCGGAGGGTAACCATTCTGTGACATAGAGAGATGGTCTGATTGTCTTAGAAAGAAATGATGATGTTTTATATTCTATTTGTAGGTATAATTATATCTAGATTGTTTTGATTAAATCATCTGAGAATGGCATTTCTCATCCACTAATGGATAAATGGATTGATAGAAGGCACTCCCTTAATATATGTGAGCACATTATCTGCTTGCTTTGTGTGTCATGCAATAAGTGGCTTTAATATGTAAGCTTGTACCCTGTAAAACCCGTACTTAGATTTTTATACCTGAGTTGTTTGTCGTGTTTAAATAGATGAGGCATGGTCTAGGAATCATTTCATTGGTTCATCTTATTCTTAGCTGAGGAAGTTGAGGCTCAGGGAGTTTATGACATTTTGCAAAGGTCATACAACCAGCTTATGGCATGGCCAGGTGGGAACACAGACCTGCTGTCAGTCCTGGGGTCTTGTGCAATCCCTGGTGCCTCTCGATAGGGAGCTTAACTCTCATCTCCTGTCCACCTCGCTAGTAGGATTTGTCCTGGCCTTGATCTGAGATCTAGCCCTCCCTCTACTCTCTCTGCCTGGATCCTGGGCACAGCTTCCTGGCTTCCAGTCTCCCTCTTTGATAAACATCATTTCACGTCTTACTTTGCTACCTCATGTCAATCCTTGAAGAGCTGGCATCTCATGCGTTATAGTCTGGTTGTCATTTCTATTGCAGTGGGACTCCAGTTCATGGGAAGTGATAAGAAGAGTCTTTTTGGCCAGGCACAGTGGCTCATGCCTGTAATCCCAGCACTTTGGGAGGCTGAGGCGGACAGATCATGAGGTCAGGAGTTTGAGACTAGCCTGACCAATATGGTGAAAACCCGTCTATACTAAAAATACAAAAATTAGCCAGCGTGGTGGCACACACCTGTAATCCCAGCTACTCAGGTAGGTGAGGCAGAAGAATCGCTTGAACGTGGGAGATGGAGGTTGCAGTGAGCCGAGATTGTGCCACTGCACTCCAGCCTGGGTGACAGAGCGAGACTCCATCTCAAAAAAAAAAAAAAAAAAAAAAAAAAAAAAAGAATCCTTTTGCTATGTAGGATTTCCCCTCCTAGCAGTGTGGAGCTGTGGTTCCCACTGCCCTGTGATAGTCCTGCAGGGTGTGAGGTCCATGCAGGATCACTGTAGGAAGTCCTATGTCCCAAGGGAAAATCTGTGGTGGGACAGTGCTGTCTCAGTCATGGAGTCACTTTCCCATGTCTTAGTCTTCCCTCCATGTGAAGTTATAAGAAAAATAAGGCTCTGTTTATTTTCATTCTTTTTCTCTTTCTCTTCGTTCCCCCCAACTTTTCTTCTCCCACTTATCCATTTTAGAGTATTTCTGTTTAGAAAACAGACTGGTGGCCACAGGTAAACCCTTCATCACATCTGTATGCTGTGATGGGAAGGCCAGGGGAGGGGGTCTGCTTTCCTGCTCCATGAAACCCAGTGAGGTCTGGGAAGAGAGTGGGTATATTAGTCTGTTCTTGCACTGCTAATAAAGACATACCCAAGACTGGGTAATTTATAAAGAAAAGATGTTTAATTGACTCACACTTCCACAGGGCTGGGGAGGCCTCAGGAAACTTACAATTATGGTGGAAGGGAAAGCAAACACGTCCTTCATATGGCAGCAGGAAGGAGAAGAATGAGAGTAAAGGGTGGGAAAAGCCCCTATAAAACCATCAGATCTCATGAGAACTCATTCGCTATCATGAGAATAGCATGAAGGTAACTGCCCTCATGATTCAGTTACCTCCTTTTGGGTTCCTGCCACCACACATGGGGATTATAGGAACTACAATTCAAGATAAGATTTGGGTGGGAACACAGAGCCAAACCATGTCTTACTGCTCCTGGCCCCTCCCAAATCTCATGTCCTCACATTTCAAAACACAATCATGCCCTTCCAGCATTCCCCCAAAATCTTAACTCATTCCAGCATTAACTCAACAGTCTGAGTTCAAAGTCTCATCTGAGACAAGGCAAGTCCCTTTTGCCTATAAGCCTTTACAATCAAAAGCACGTACCTATTATACTTCCTAGATACAATGGGAGTACAGGCATTGGGGAAATACAACCATTCCAAATAGGAGAAATTAGCCAAAACAAAGAGGCTACAGGCCCCATGCAAATCTGAAATCCAGTGGAGCAGCCAAATCTTAAAGCTCCAAAATGATCTCCTTGGACTCCATGTTTCACGTCCAGGTCACACTGATGCAAGAGGTGGGCTCCCATGGCCTTGGGTAGCTCCTCCCCTGTGGCTTTGCAGGGCATAGCCCCCTTCCGGGCTGCCTTCATGGCTGATGTTGAGTGTCTATGGCTTTTCCAGGTGCAGGGTGCAAGCTTTGGATGGATCTACCATTCTGGGGTCTGGAGGATGGTGGCCCTCTTCTCACAGATCCACTAGGTAATGCCCCAGTGGGGAGTCTGTGTGGGAGCTCTGACCCCACATTTCCATTCTGTACTGCCCCAGCAGAGGTTCTCCATAAGGACTCTGCCCCTGCAGTAGACTTCTGCCTGGGCATCCAAGCATTTCCATACATCCTCTGAAATCTAGATGGAGGTTCCCCAACCTCAATTCTTGACTTCCGTGCACCTGCAGGCCCAACCTCATGGGTAAGCTGCCAAGGCTTGGGGCTTACACCTGCTAAAGCGATGGCTTGAGCTATATGTTGGCCCCTATTAGCCACAGCTGGGACACAGGACACCAAACCCCAAGACTACACAAAGAAGCAAGGCCCTGGGCTTGGACATGAAACCACTTTTCCTCCTAGGCCTCTGGGTGTGTGATGGGAAAGGCTGCCATGAAGACCTCTGATGTGCCCTGGAAACATTTTCCCTATTGTCTTGGTGATTAACATTTGGCTTCTCATTATTTATGCAAATTTCTGCAGCCTGCTTGAATTTCTCCTCCAAAAATGCGTTTTTTTCTTTTCTATTGCATGATCAGGTTGCAAATTTTCCAAACGTTTATATGCTTTGCTTCCCTTATAAACGTAAGTTCCAATTCCAAACCATCTCTCTCAAGTTCAAAGTTCCACAGATCTCTAGGGCAAGGGCAAAATGCCACCAGTCTCTTTGCTAAAGCATAGCAAGAGTGACCTTTACTCCAGTTCCCAAGAAGTTTCTGATCTCCATCTGAGACTACCTTAGCCTGGACTTCATTGTCCATATCACTATCACCATTTTGGTCAAAGACATTCAACAGTTTCTAGGAAGTTCCAAAATTTCCCACATCTTCCTGTCTTCTCAGCACCCCCAAGGCTCTAGGAAGTTTCAAACTTTCCAACATTTTCCTGTCTTCTTCTGAGCCATCCAAACTGTTCCAGCCTCTGCCTATTACCCAGTTCCAAAGTTGCTTCGACATTTTTGAGTATCTTTACAGCAGTGCCCCACTCTCTGCAGTACCAATTTACCGTATTAGTCCATTCTCACACTGCTAAGAGACATACTCAAGACTGGGTAATTTATAAAGGAAAGAAGTTTAACTGACTCACAGTTACACAGGGATGGGGAGGCCTCAGGACACTTACAATCATAGCAGAAAGGGAAGCAAACATGTCCTTCTTCACATGGCAGCAGGAAGGAGAAGAATGAGAGTGAAGGGTCGGGGGAAACCCCTTATAAAACCATCAGATCTCCTGAGAACTCACTGTCACGAGAACAGCATGAAGGTAACTGCCCCCATGATTCAATTACCTCTCACTGGGTCCCTCCCATTATGTGTGGAGATTATGGGAATGACAATTCAAGATGAGAGCTGGGTGGGGTCACAGCCAAACCATATCAGTGGGATTGCTGCCAGCTCACGCTCTGATGCTTCCCCTCCCAATGTCCAAGCATGCTCTAAAATATTACAGCCTGGACTATGTCTGAGAGAAAGAAGTTACTTGAGTCCTAACCTTTGGCCAAGAGGCTGAAAGGTGCACCTCTTTGCGCTTAATGTTCCTTTTTTCCTATGAGAAGTAAACTTGCTGGTGAAGTGAACAGAAAGCTGAAGCCATCGAACAGAGGAGGCTGGGGAAGCACTCTGTCCCTTCACGCCAGGGAACTGAGATGGAGGTTTTCTTATGGCAGCCTTTATTGCCCACACAGCTAGCATAATGCTTCTTGAGAAGCAGCCCTGTTGGGTGCAGAGAGGGAAGTGTGGCTTTTGATGACCAGAATTTTCCCTGCAGCTCAGCTGCCCAGTGCATGGGCTGGGGAGCATGTCGGCCTGGCTGCCAGCCCCACCTTTGCATTCAGCTGTGGGACACTGGGCATTTGCTCTTCCCCTCCTGAGTCTCAGTTTCCTCATCTACAACCTGTGGGTCATGACAGCATCTGCTTCATAGAGTCGTAAAGGACATTCGGTGAAATAATGCATGTGGTCCCATCATCGGTCCACTAGTTTCGATGGCTCTGTTGTGACCATCGCGGCACTAGAGGTTGTGTGTGGGTTTTGAGCTGCACTTGTTAGAGAACCATCTGTTTGAGGAGAGAACCAACTGATTGGTTTGTATTTTATAGTTTAAAAAATACTAGACTCCCGTAATTAAAGCATTTTAATAAATTGGATCATTGCCTTTTCTTTGAATCCAAAGACAGAGTTTTCAATTAATCACAAACTAAGCTATCTAGCTCTTGTCTTTCAACATGTGTGGAACAGACGAGGTTGCCCTGAGGCTTAATTCCAGTCCCATAGGTTTGTGGCCAGTGGAGGAGGCCATGGCCATGTATACAGGCACATGCTTGTTGAGCATAGGAGGTTGATGTCCTCTCCTGTTGAGGTCCCTAACCAGCGATGACTTCCTCCTACCATTTGCTCAGTAGAAATCACAAAAGAAACACGAAGACCCTGCCTCTGATTTCTAAGTATTTCTGATTTAGGAGCAGCAAAGAAAGAGTTAAAATGAAAGAAAGCAAAAGGGACTAATTCGGTCCATAGACTGAAACTGAAATGAAACACATCGCTGCATCAAGTAATTTGGCCTTGAATTTGCCAAAGTTTAACGAGGAGAAATAAACACTTACACACCTGCTCATAGAAGTGACTATTTGGAGCAAAGTCCAGCGCTCCTCCGAGATGCATTGCTGGTGATACAGCTGCGGTGGGTGAGATGCTTGAACAGTTTTGCTAGTTTAAAAGTTACAGTCTCTAACTTTGTACTTTTCTAGTTCCATGACTTGAAGCATACTTCCTATAATGCATTTCACATATATCACAAAATTATTACTATGGAAGGTAATGACAGGTCTTGGAAAAGTTATGAACAAAATTATTATGGGGAGTGAAGGTTAACACTTAAAGCAGATGTAGTATCCATTTTTGATCTCATGAAAATATACATAAAATTAGCTTAGGATGTATTTTAAAATGCTGGATTCCTTTTGTGTTGTAATCAATGAATTTCCTTCCTTCTTCTTCTCCCTTACCGCCTCCTCCTCCTCCTCCTCCTCCTCCTCTTCTTCTTTTCTAGACTGCACAGACAGTTCTGGTGGTGGTTGTGGTGTTTGGAATCTCCTGGCTGCCGCACCACATCATCCATCTCTGGGCTGAGTTTGGAGTTTTCCCGCTGACGCCGGCTTCCTTCCTCTTCAGAATCACCGCCCACTGCCTGGCGTACAGCAATTCCTCCGTGAATCCTATCATTTATGCATTTCTCTCTGAAAATTTCAGGAAGGCCTATAAACAAGTGTTCAAGTGTCACATTCGCAAAGATTCACACCTGAGTGATACTAAAGAAAGTAAAAGTCGAATAGACACCCCACCATCAACCAATTGTACTCATGTGTGATAAAAGATAGAGTATCCTTATGGTTGAGTTTCCATATAAGTGGACCAGACACAGAAACAAACAGAATGAGCTAGTAAGCGATGCTGCAACTTGTTATCTTAACAAGAATTCAAGTCGTTTTAATTAAATCCCACGTGTGTTAAAAAGTACTTTGATCCATTTAGGAAATTCCTAGGTCTAGTGAGAATTATTTTTCAATTTTATTTTAGTTCTAAATTATGTTTCAGAAACAAAAGACAATGCTGTACAGTTTTATTCCTCTTCAGACATGAAAGGGAACATATATATTCCATATATATGTTCAACTCTTCATAGATTGTGAACTGGCCCATCAATATGGTCAGGAATATTTGCAGTCTACATTTTAAAGCCAATTTATTTAGAAAAAAAAATTTGAGCTTTAATTCTTTAATTTTAAGAGAAGTAATATTGTGAACTATGTATTTTAAAATATGATCATGGACACACAATGATGAATTTTTTGGCCATTTACATAGACATATCTATTAAGTGGAAAGAAGGCTTTCTGAAGTCTGTTTGCACAGGTGGCATTTGCTTCCAATTGTAGCTAGCGCACAGAGCTTTGGAAGCCTGTCATTATGAGATACAGTCGGTTTACCTCAGGAGTCAATTCAGTGTTGTACTGGTGACCTGGGATGCAGTAGTAGGCACTGTTGATTCAAATTTATCCTGTGAAACTGGCTTTATAGAGTTAACAAAACAGAGTCAGAGACCACTGTCTTAACAGTGGAAGATGCAAATAAGTTTTTGAGAATAAAACTGGATTTTGAAATTTTACATTAGTACTTGACAAAAGTTTTCATTTTGCCTTGAATGGAACCTACTAAAAAGAGAGATGAAAAAAAATCAGCGAGGTTGATGTAGATAATAATTTCTATGGGACCAAAGACTAGACAGAATTCAGTAAGTCACATGAAGTAATGGTCATGCCTGTACATAAAGCATATTTCATGTTTGATTTAGATGACATTCAAAAAAAATCATGGGACTGAATATACCTGGGGTATCCTATCTTGTACAAATGCATGCTTTTTCATTAAATTTGTAATGATGTTTAATGAACATTTCCACCAAACATTATTTCCTCTAAAAATGTTAATTTGGGGTTAAAACCATCACCATTTGAATTTCAAATGTAGTTTTCATGACAATTTTATATTGATGTGTGTTTACAATGAGAAAATGGCATGAAAATATTAAATTGTCTTGTATCGGAAAAGTACTTTTCAGACTGTAAGACTTTGATATGTTTTAGGAGGCAACAAAAGCAAGAAGTTTTTTTTTTGTTTGTTTGTTAAAAAGGATTTGGCCAAGCACAGTGGCTCATGCCTGTAATTCCAGCACTTTGGGAGGTCCAGCTGTGTGGAATGTACTTGAGCTCAGGAGTTTGAGACCAGTGTGGGCAACATGGCAAAACTCGGTCTCTACTAAAAATACAAAAATTAGCTGGGTGTGGTGGCGCACGCCTGTAGTTTCAGCTACTCTGGAGGCTGATGTGGGGGATCACCTGAGCCCGGGAGGTCCAGGATGCAGTCAGTCAAGACTGCACCACTGCACTTCAGCCTGGATGACAGAGTAAGACTCTGTCTAAAATATATATATATATGTGTGTGTGTGTGTGTGTGTGTGTGTGTGTGTGTAATGTACCTCTGTGCCAAATCAGCACTCCACATGAAACATCAAATTTTAGATAAAAATGCAAACTTGACATAAGCCTTTGGCATGCTAATTTTTTTAGCTCATTCACTTACTTTCACTAATCATATTTCAGTGACTAGTGTTTACATTTGCAATGTTATTAATAACTCTCTGGATAAAAGGAAAGAAAAACGTTAGAAAGATTTTGAAGTGATGTATTATGTTTGTTGACTAGAAGAAGAAATTGTGTTTATGTGTAAGTGAGGGTCTTAAAGAATATGTCCTTTGCATCGAATGTTTTTTGCACTTTATTCAAATATATAGGAGCAGAAAAATTTTATCCTGACGATGATACTTCCTGTGATTTGTGGAACTTGAAGTTGCTGTTGCAAACTCCAGAACAACTTCTTTGGGTGTGAACTCACAAAACTGTGTAAAGAAGTGCCTTCTTGTTGTGTTTGAGTTTGCATGAATGGAAATGATTTCTTGCACCATGGCTATTTCTTTGTTTTCTCCTTCTGATCTGTAAGCATATAAATGGAAGTATTTAAAAAAATACTGTAGCTAATGTTGCTATTTTCTAGAGGCATGCCGAAAATGTGCTGTGCCTTTGGTCCTTCCCAGATGCTACTGGCACGTCTGAAGCTTGAGGCATGGTACAAAAAGTAATAGCTTGCGCTTGAAACCCCCCCCCCCCCGCCACTTTGCTAAATGTAAATGCTAATTGTTGCATTTTACAGTTAGATAGGATATACTTCCTGCATATTGTCATTCTAATCAATTCCTCTTACTCAGAGTTTTGGCTGAGTCTACTTCTAAAACAAATTTTGATAGGGATAATGACATCTTCTGCAAAGATCTAAACCTCTACAAAATTTTCTGAATAAAGAGTTTCAGAAGAACTCGTAAACAGAATGAAATTAACCAGAGAAGTATAGGAGTGTGTTGCGTTTGCCAAGCATCTGCTTCCCAGCTAGATTTCCCCCTAATATACAATGACCAATTCTGAAGCACCTTCTTTTCCGTCACTAAATAAAGACAGCTTCCCAAGGACACACTTTTTCTCCCAGCATCAGGTTGAGGGAGAAATATTGCTTATACCTTTGAAGTCAGGCTGCTTGAAACTCACATTTTCAGTTTACTTCAAAGAAAACTGATGCTTTCTAAGCAGATTTGGCTGTCTCAGTGCCCAAGGCAGCTGTTATTTTCCTAGGCTTTTTGCTTTCACGTAAGGAGACAGGCTTTGGGATATTTAGTAGCTGAAATGCTTGCTGTTTCACATGCATAAGCAACCATTTCAGTGTCCTGCTGATGAATACAGTGATGTGGATGGAAACGTTTTCTTGTCCTATATCCTGGGGATAGGAAACAGATTCTCTGTGCTCTTCTGACCGGGTATGTACTCAGCAACATGGGGGACTGAGGCCATTTTCTGAATACTTTAGGTAAATTACTTTTGCTTTTAACTAAATTGTTTTATTTTACACATTGGGAGTAAAACCATTTCCGCCCCATCCCAATCTCTTGTGCTTTTATCTTTTTTATCCTAACTCACTTCTATCCAGATTTCCTCTCGATAATATTTACCACAGATAAATTCATCTTTCAGCGCAGATATAACAAATCAGAGTGGGGAGGAGAGATGCTTAAGGAACTGCATGAGTCATGCAAGGCTCAGAACTTCTTGTGGCTCAACTCGAAATCATATTGCATTCCTGCATTCTCCCAGATGCTTTGAGGCAGTGCAGCGATCATTCTAATATGTTAACTGAGACCCAAGATCTCAGCAGGAGAGGACAGCTTATCCAAGCATCCCTTTCCTTTTCAGTCATGGCCATGGCTATCTGTAAACACCAAAATGCTCATGCTGAAGCAGCATTACATTGAGGAAAATAACCTATTGGGCAGCTTCATCATGTTCTTGCTTTAAATGATTTATCAAATACATGTATGTAAACTACATAGTCACTAACTGCGAAAATACATCAATGTGGCTACTTCCTCTGGAAAGTTACTGTCTAAAATTTGTAAATTTTAATCTTCACTGTTGCACATATTTTCCATGTCTTAAATTTGTAAGTGGGTTTCTATGAAAGGTAATCGTATTCTTCTTGACCATTAAAAATGTTGCATGTAAGGCTATTTCTCAAGTAGATGTTAATGACTTGTTTAATTATTGACTTACTTATTTTAAAAGCTGTATGTAGTAAGAACAAGTAGGTGGTTTAAAATTCAGATAGTTACATGTTGGCCTGGAAAGAACAAAATTATGAAATGGTAATTATATCTGATTTTATTTAACCATATTTTAATATTTTCTCTTTTAGAAGTGGAAAAGTTGAGCCTGAGGAAGAATTTAAAATGCTTAAGACATCTTTGATGGGGGCTGTATTTGCATTAGGCAGAGGTGTCTAAGGAGAGTGTATCGTGTATTGTGATGCATTAGCAGGATGTTTTGTTCATCGACTTGTGAAAGTGCTGTGGATAATAGATGGTGGTTTCTTTTCTTAGTGTGGCAGGTTCACTCACATTCATGTTTTTGACTTTAGCTGCCATCCTGGGGTTCTGAGGGTAGCATGTCTGTTTGACTGGGCAAGACCCTCACATACCTTGGCAGGCCCTGGCTTTCGTTTCTCTGTGGTGCCTGGTGCTACTCACAGGGCTGACTCACGGGCAGATGCTCCCCATCCTTCCCCATAGGCCCTGTTCCCGCATCCGATGATTCTCAGGTTTTGTTCTAGGTGCAGAAATAGTGGGAGAGGCCATAATCGTGAATGATGAATAAGAAGGGAAGGTGGGGCCGGGCATGTGACTTATGCCTGTAATCCCAGCACTTTGGGAGGCCGAGGCAGGTGGATCACCTGAGGTCGGGAGTTCGAGACCAGCCTGACCAACATGGAGAAAACCCGTCTCTACTAAAAATACAAAAATTAGCTGGGGGCACACATGTGTGATCCCAGCTACTCAGGAGGTTGAGGCAGGAGAATTGCTTGAACCCGGGAGGTGGAGGTTGCAATGAGCCTAGATTGCACCATTGCACTCCAGCCTGGGCAACAAGAGTGAAACTCTGTCTCAAAAAAATAAAAATTAAAAAAAAAAAAGAAGGTGGCCAGTGAGGGTTTTATCTTTGTATTCACTGGAAATAACCTCAGCTGAATTTTCTCTCTGAATCTTTTCAATGTTGGCTCCATTTGCCATACTCAGACAATTGCTTGAAGAGCTGAACTGTTAGCTCAAGATTTCGTTGGCACTGTTGGATAGAAAGCCTCTCCTTTTCTGCTGGAGAAGAGATTTCTCAGGCCAAGTTGTGTAGCTCCAAATTCTCCGCAATTAGAGAAGGCACAGTAAAGAAAAGATCCCTTGCTGATGGAATGGACTGGAACTGAGCTCCACTGTTTAAATTTTTGACTCTCAGGTAGTGGTGATCGTTATGGTAACCCATGAACTCGGATGAATTTCGGGGCCTGCTGTGGGTTTTCTATGGGACACCATATACCACAGTACTGTATTTCAAAATATTGGATATTGATTATGAACACTGGAACTATTTATGTGTCATCATTCCAAAGACCATTGTGATCTATGAAGCTCCTTTATTTGCTGGCTAGATTGTCCAAAAACAAGCTCACTTGTTTTTGGGCAATCTAGCCAAGGTGTCACATAATGGAGAAAAATGCAGATGGTCCTGTGGCTGGTGTGAATGAAGAATGACCTGGGCCCAACATAGAACTTTTCCAGTATGGTGAGCATCAAAGTAGGCAGACATCCAAAAGCCAAGTGAAGGGCAGATAGATCCCCAGGTGCCACCCAGGCTCTGCAGGCAAAGCTCTCAGGGCCCCATTTGTGTTTGTGTGGCCTGCACTGTGTAAGTGTCGTTCCCCTAGGACTTCTGCAATGGGATACCAAAGATGACGTGTAAGGCCTTCAGTATATAATGGACTTGTGCCAAGTACCTAAGGGTTCACTGCCTTGTTTGAGGAATCGCAGAGCATCATTTCTGATTGGTTCTTAGAGCCTGCATCTTGTACCACTGGGACTTCTGGAGACCTCTGGGGACCGTTGACTATGCTGGGAGGGTGCAGAAATGAAGCTGATGGCAGAAGCAGGCTCCCAGCTCCTCTTCTTCTGCTCAGCCAGGTGATTCTTACCTCCATTGGCCTTTGGATGTCTGCGTAATAATTTGTTGAGAATCATTAGAGAACAACTAATCCAAAAAATCTATCATCCTTTATTTGTGTTGACTTTCTGATTATGCCTTCATTCACTCTTTTTATTACTTATACACATGTCTGTTTTTATTCTTCCCTACTCTTTTCTTAAAGTTGGTCATATTTCTACACTTGAGATCTTCCAGTTTCTGTGAATGTTGAGGGGTTCACAAAGTGGCTTGGCCTCAGACCTCTATATCCTTGTTGTTCTGTTTGGACTTAGGACTTTTTTCCTGGCTATCCTGCCAATACTTTTCCATCTAACAGAAACGCAAGCTTCAAGAGCAAGTTATTTTTATAACAGATCATGTGAGCAATTCCTCCATAGCATTGGTTGTAGAACAGGTCAGTTGGCATGTGGCCTCCTGAGGGCCTTGCATGGGGTTCTGGACCCAGCGGGGGCCACATCTCTGAGAATTCGTTCCCTGTGGGTGTCTGGGGTGCATCGTTACTTCTGAGATGTTATGACTCAGCAGATGAGATTTGTCCGTCTGCTCAGTGAGAGGAATTCCAATGCTGGGTCTTGACTCCCGCTGCAGGGAGCTCTCTGGGCCCGGGCATGTTGGATGGAGTTGTGATGGGTGTGCCTCCCTCGGACTTACTCTGGCCAGGAACTGCATCTGCTCCTCTAAGGAGATTTGAGCAGGTGAATGGAGTTTCTGTCATTCCTGGTCTAGAGTTCATGTGTGAAGGTCAAATATAGGTGGGGACTTGGCAGCACACAACTCTGAGTGAAAGACACGATCAGCGTGATAGACAGGTGTCTTGCTATGTGACTTGCCATTGCGGTCACTGGTTATACAAAGTCTCTGTTTAGAAATAGCAAAGATCCAAGAAAGCAGAAGAGTGGGGGTGGGAGTGGGGCTAAATGTGTTGCTCTTCAGTGGAAATCTGCCCATTTTGTTGAAAAGAAAGGAAACAGGGTACACAAATGCTGTTTGGGAACATTGTGTCAGGATCACCTAGCTTTGACGATGAGAGTGTTTTTTAAAACGGAAACCATGTCATTTTCCTTCTAGAGAGAATTTCCTGGTATGTCAATGTAGCTTCAGAAATAGGTCTCAGTGTTCTGGCTCAGGGCGAGGTTACAAAAGAGGCTTCGGTAGCGTCCTCAGGCCCGCGTGCCCTGTGTTCTTAACAGCCTCATGGGGCCTAGAGGAACTTTTACATGGTAGACACTGAGTGAATACACAGATTCCTAGATTTGAGATATTTTCAAAATAGGGCTAGCATGTATAAAGAATCAAACTTAGTCATTCCATTGAAGTGAAATTGGATTATAATTTAGAAATATTTATAAGCCAGAAATGGTTGTGTAAATGTTAGTTTTCATATTTTGGTTTTCTAAGAGTCACATTTTATTGCCATATAGCACAAAATTTGACAATGAGGTATAGAAATCCAAAATTTTCTTGGGTACAATTGAACAAATCTTTTAATCTCTTCAGTTCTATCTGCCTAAGTGAGGAGAGTAGTTGTGGAGCATTGTAGAAAGGATAAAATGAACATTAGGATACTGAGGGTTTGGTCTGAATTCTGTTTTTTCATTGCTACTGGAAGTGCTGTCTTTGGTATCCTCATGCATACAAGAAGGATTTGGAAAATGTCAGTGAGTTTGAAACTGGCTGTACAGTTGAATGAGCTGGGCAGTTGAAAGTACCCGTGATGCTCTGGCCTTACCTTAGATCAGAGATTCTTATATTTTATCAAGCATCAGAATCACCTGCAGAGCTTGTTGAATGCAGATTGTTGGCCACATCTCCAGAATTTCTCATTCAGTAGATTTGGGATGGAGCCCAACGATTTGCAGCTGGTCCAGAGACCACCTTGTGAGATCTACTACCTGATTTAATTGGTTTGAAGGTGAAGGTGGAGTCCAGGCTTTTTAAAACAGTGTCTGTATTTTCAGAGCAGATAACCAATCAAATTGAGCAGATGGTCTTTTAAAGTCTAAGCTTCTATGGTTCTGTGAAAAAAATTGTTTACATGGAATTTAAATCATTCAGAATTTTTATTGCTTACATTGATCAGATCCATAAAATATCTGTTTAACTATTACATTACCCTAGCTACAGAAATTTGTAAGTTTTCAAAAGCATGAAGGAGTTTAATAACTTGTAAGACTTTCAGAGATTGTTATAATTTTTGCCTCAAAAAAATAAAATAAAATAGCTTGGTGGAAAAGAGCACCTATGCATTCAATTTGTTTCCCTCAAATGCTAAGGGTTAAAATAGTACTCAAAATTGTTAGATGTGAAGTTTTGAACCCAGTGTTTAAACTCAGTGTTTAAATATTTGCATGTCTTTCTATGTGACTGCTAATTTTTAACTACATTATTATCTCTAAGAGATAAATAAACTTTCCCTGTACTTAAAGTTTTTAAATTAAGTATCTTCTGATAACATAAGTAGTATGAGTAAGGAAAAAAAATCTATGTGTACTGTATTTTTAAATTTTAATAAGGTTTGATATGGTTTGGCTCTGTGTCTCCACCCAAATCTCACCTTGAATTGTAATAATCCTCACGTGTCAAGGACCAGCAGGTGGAGATAATTGAATTATGGGGCCGGTTTCTCTCATACTGTTCTTGCGATAGTGAGTTCTCAGGAGATCTGATGGTTTTATAAGCATCTAGCATTTCCCCTGCTGGTACATTCTCTCTTCGCCTGCTGCCATCCATGTAAGATGTGACTTGCTCCTCCTTGCTCTCTGCCATGATTGTGAGGCTTCCCCACCACTTGGAAATGTAAGTCAATTAAACCACTTTCTTTAGTAAATTGCCCAGTCTCGGGTATGTCTTTATCAGCAATGTGAAAACGGACTAATACAACGTGATTGTTTAAATGCTGATATGAAAGCAGTGCTGAATGTGGATCTTCTTATGCCAGATACTGTTATAATTATTCTCTAGAGAGCTGGCCATACAATTTATCTCATTATTTATAGATCTAGCATGAATGCCAGTAAGCTGACAAAGCCAAAAGCCAAAAACTAAGAGTTTGTATTAATCCAGTTAATGCCAAATCTAGTCATCCTCCATCATCCTACCTCTGTGTTCTGCATGAAATATAATTGGCCTTTGTGATGGAACCAGTTTTCTTGCATTGAAAATAAAATTTGTTCCTCAAAATGCTCTAGTTTAAGAGTGTGCTTTTTTTCCCAAACAAAATGGAAATAATTTTCTGTTCCCATTAAGTTCTTGAAGACACTGTATTCTTTAGTTACTGCATATTTGAGAATATTAATTTGTTGCCTTTATACCTGAAAAACAATGTGAGATGAAATTATTTTATTGCAGTATGTTTTTATTAAGATATCTCTAGACCCAGCTTAGAATTTTGAATGTTACTAGAAAAAAGTCAGAAGGCAAACTGATGCCCCCATTTTAGGTAACTAGCTTTTTTCCACTTGGATGAGCTGAGATTTTTAGAGTTACTGATGCCTGATACCTTCACCAGAATGTGTTTTCATCACTCTCTAATACCTGAATATTCTTCATAAATAGAATTATATTTCCATAAACATGAAAGGGACATTTAGACTGGTAAAGTGACCATTTAGTCTGGCAATTCCAAATCTTTTTTCATGTAAGGATTCTTTTACAAATATAAAATTATTCCCAGACTTTCATATGACAATAATGTACTTTTAGTATATGTCAATAAATACAAGATGAAAAATAAAATGAAAAATAAAACTACAGACCTCTATCTCTCGTGGATATAAACACAAAATCTTCAACAAAATGTTGATAAATCATATCCAGAAAGGTTTAAAAAGAATTATATACCATTACCGAGAAGGGTTTATTCCAGGAATGCAAGGCTGGATCAACAGTGAAAAATCAATCTATGTAATCTGCCATATTAGCAGCCTACTAAAGGAAAATTGGACTATCATAATTGACACAGAAGAAGCATTTGACAAAATCCAGCACCATTCATGATTAAAAAAATTCTCAGTAACCTAGGAATAGAGGAAAATATCCTCAATTTAATAAATAGCATCTACAATAAAACTCTAGAGCTAACATGTTTTAATAGTGAAAGACAGACTGCTTTTCCCTTAGATAAGGAAAAAGGCAAGGACATCTGTTCTTATTTAACGTGGTATGGAAGTTGTAGTCACTGCAATAAGGCAAGAAAAAAAGGAAAAGGCATATAGAGCAGAAAAGAGGGATTAAATTGTCTCTATTTACAGCGGACATGATTATCTATATAGAAAATCCCCCTGGCCGGGTGCGGTGGCTCACGCCTGTAATCCCAGCACTCTGGGAGGCTGAAGTGGTCAGATCATGAGGTCAGGAGTTCGAGACCTGCCTGAGCAACATGGTGAAACCCTGTCTCTACTAAAAATAGAAAAATTAGATGGGTGTGGTGATGGGCGCCTGTAATCCCAGCTACTTGGGAGGCTGAGGCAGGAGAATTGCTTGAACCCAGGAGGTGGAGGTGGCAGTGAGCCTAAAATAAAGGACTTGGCCACAGAATATTACATCTGGTTCCTGAGATTGTTCCAGTCTAGTATCTCCTTTCTGTAGTGATCAAAATTTTGAAAGACACTGTGATAAAATCAATAGATTTCAAGTGTAATGACTTTTAATATTGTCTGCTTTACAGTGACTTCCTCTAGCCACATCTGTAATGCTGCAGAGAGTTGCCTAATTTTTCTTTCCACTTTGGCTTGCTGATTATTTTATTTAGTAAGAAGAAGCTATTTTCCTTCTGCATACTTACACACATTTGATATGATTTTCTTTTCTTTCTTTCTTTTGTTTTTTCTTTTTGAGATGGAGTCTTGCTCTGTTGCCAGGCTGGAGTGCAGTGGCGCGATCTCAGCTCACTGCAACCTCTGCCTCCCGGGTTCAAGTGATTCCCCTGCCTCAGCCTCCCAAGTAGCTGGGATTACAGGCATGCGCCACCATGCCTGGCTGATTTTTTTTGTATTTTAGTAGAGATGGGGTTTCACCATGTTGGCCAAGATGATCTTAATCTCCTGATCTTGTGATCCGCCCACCTCGGCCTCCCAAAGTGCTGGGATTACAGGCGTGAGCCACCGCGCCCGGCCTTGATATGATTTTCTCTACATACAAGGGAAAATATTCTGGTTCATTGGTGTTGTCATCTGTGGTTAAGATAATTTTAAAAACAAATACAAAAATGACTGCAATTATGGTGTAAATAAGATCAGTGGGTCATTTATGTTTTTTTTAAGTGAAAAATATTTATTTAAAGAATTCATAGACTCAGCAGTTAAGAGAATATTATATCTTCAGTTGAAGCCATTTTAAAACTGCATATTCCAATATCATCATCTCAAGGTGTAGGTACTATTTAATGATAGAATAAAATATTACTTAATATTGCAGGAAAAAATCCAGGGCTGATGGTTTTCTTGTAAATGCATAAACACGGGGATATATGATGGGTTAGGTAGTTGCTGGGGCATCCATCCCGTGAGGGTGTGTTGCAGCTCGAGGTGTCTTCCTCGTCCCCTTTCCGTAGCATCGCACCTTTTACCTCACTGGCCTCTCACCAGACAGGCTTCTCTTGGCCTTGCACAAAGTCCCTCCACCGTCTGTGTCTTTGAGGACTTCCCTGGGCTCTTCTGATCCGTTGCCCTCCTTCATAATCAGGGCCTGACTCCCATGGCTTTGCCTCCAGCCCCTTGCAACTCACCTGCTCATCCGTCCTGTGTTTAGTTGAACTCAGAACTCTCACTATGCTCATCCAAGAAGCCCATCCACACGTTGATGGGATGTAGAGAAGGAATTCCCTGCCTCTGTCTCCTGACCCTTGACACCTGCAATCTCTTTTTAGATAATTGGTAGATATTGGTGGGTGCAGGCAGTAATGTTCCTTTCCTTGTTCTTAAACCATTCATAACTATAACAACAGGAATCTGAGAAGGGGATTCAGGCTGTTTCTGAAGGTGGTGCGTCCTCTGCTCTGGGAGCCCCCTTAGTCCCTTGCACTCTTCCTTGGCTGGGATGTTGTAGCACGTATCCATTGAGATAGCTTCTAAGGTTCTGGGATTCTAAAGTTTGGGGGACCAGGCCTGAGAAATGGTGTTCATGAAATAATTTCATGCAGGTGTTATTATTTTTTGTACATAGAGCTTTCCTGAGGAGTATATTATTAAGTTTTAAAGCTGTCATTTAAAAAACTTAAATTGGTACACTGAAAGCTGCTAATTGCCTTTCATTCTATTTTGTAAAATGTGATTAAACACATTTGACCTTTTGGGAATAACTGAGAGAAGAAAATGCTTGCAGAGACTTCAAATAAAGGTATTAATATATATATATATATATATATATATATAAATGGCATTCTATCCTCTGAAGTCTAAATTAAGTGTATGATGAATGTCTGTTAAGAAATAATAGGTGGGGAAGGAATAAATGAAATTTCAGAAATTTGTTTCTACCTAGGGTGATTACACTGTAGGTACAGAATACTGGTAAAGTAAATATCCATAAATCTTAATGCATTATCTGAATAATCAAAAAAATAATATGCTGATAGGGTTCATGTTGAATGTATAAGTTACCATAAATTGTCTCTTACAAGAAAGCATTTCATAAATATGATTTCAGGAAGATTATGTTACGTTAATGAATAATAGTTGTGGTCCCAAAATGAAAGTTTCTTTAAGTTGAAACCTTTTTTTCATTTTGCCAATCAATAAACTTTTTTTGAACATCTGTGTGCAATTCACCATGATAGGCATTGCCAGGAATAAAAATGAATATAATATATATTTCTTGTCACCAAAGGAATGTAAGCATATAATTTTAAGAAAGAAGATAGGCCGGGCGTGGTGGCTCATGCCTGTAATCCCAGCACTTTGGGAGGCCAAAGCAGGCAGTTCACCTGAGGTCAGGAGTTTGAGACCAGCCTGGCCACATGGTGAAACCCCGTCTCTACTAAAAATACAAAAATTATCTGGGTGTGGTGGCATGCACCTGTAATCCCAGCTACTTGGAAGGCTGAGGCAGGAGAATCACTTGAACCTGGGAGGCGGAGGTTTCAGTGAGCCGAGATCACGCCATTGCACTCCAGCCTGGGCAACAGGAGTGAAATTGTCTCAGGAAAAAAACCAAAAAACAAAAAACAAGATAGATTGTTGATAAAACAAGATAGATTGTTGATAAGACAAATTGACAAAAATATCAAGGGGCAAATGAGTGATCAGGCAGAAGCCTTATTAAGAGGAACCCCCGCTGAGTAGCAGAGTTACCTGAAAGACTCTATGTGGTAGTTTTTGTTTTAATAGACCCTGTTTTAAGACTGAATTGTTACATGTTTTATGCCCTTGGTCATTGAAACTCTATAAATTTGATAAAAGACATGTATCTAACATCCAAGAAGCTCAACAAACTCCAGATAGGAGAATTTCAAAGAGACGCATGCCTAGATACATCATAATTGAAGTAGTTTGGGTATTTGTCCCCACCTGAATCTCATGTTCAATTGTAATCCCCACGGCTGGAGGTGGACCTGGTGGGAGTGTTTACATCATGGGGATGGGAGTGTGGGAGTGTTTAGATGATGGGGGTGGCTCCCTCATGGCTTGGTGCTGTCTTCATGATGGTGAGTTCTTGTGAGATATGGTCATTTAAACCTGTGTGGCACTTTCACGCTGCCCACTCACTCTTGCTTGCTCCTGCTTTTGCCAGGTGATGTGTCTACTCCCCGTTCACCCTCCACCATAGTTGAAAGCTTCCTGAGGCTTCACTAGAAGGCATGCAGAGGCCAGCACCATACTTCCGTAAAGCCTGCAGAACCATGAGCCAACTAAACCTCTTTTCTTTATAAATTTCCCAGTCTTGGGTATTTCTTTTTAGTAATGCAAGAACAGCCAATATGATAATTAAACTGTTGAAAGACAAAGAGAAAGCTATTGAAAACATCAAGAGAGAAGTGAATTGTTATGCCACAATTGTGTGATTAATAGCTAACTTCTCATCAAAACAATGATACAAGTCAGTGGGATGACATATTCTGAGTACTGAAAGAAAGAAAGAAAGAAAGAAAGAAAGAAAGAAAGAAAGAAACCAACTCTTAACCAAGAATTCTTTTTTTTTTCTTTCTTTGAGATGGAGTCTTGCTCTGTCACCGGGCTGGAGTGCAGTGGCGTGATCTCGGCTCACTGCAACGTCCGTCTCCTGGGTTCAAGTGATCCTCCTGTCTAAGCCTCCTGAGTAGCTGGCACTACAGGCGCCTGCCACCACACCCAGCTAATTTTTGCATTTTTAGTAGAGACAGGGTTTCACCATGTTGGTCAGGATGGTCTCGATCTCTTGACCTTGTGATCCGCTCGCCTCAGCCTCCCAAAGTGCTGGGATTACAGGTGTTAGCCACCACACCCAGCCTTAACCAAGAATTCTACATCCTGCAAAACTAGCCTTTAAATATAAAGAAAAAAATTAACACATTTCCAGATAAATGAAAGCTGAGATAGTTTGCTGCCAGCAGACCTAACCCACAAGAAATACTAAAAGGAGTCCTTCAGGCTGAAATGACAGAAAATTAAACAGTAACTCAATTCCAAATGAAGAAATAAAGAGCACCAGAAAAGGTAACTACGTAAGTATATAGGAAAGAGTGTATGTTTGTACATTTGCTTGTAATTACACCTTTTATTTCCTCTACAATGAAAAAGACAACTGAATAATATAATAATTTAAATGTACGTTGATTGGCACACTATTTATAGATATGTAATATGTGAAAATAACACCATATGGGGGAGAAGAATGAAGCTATATAGGAAAAAAGTTTTTGTATACTATTAAAATTAAGTTGGCACTAACTTGGAAGGGAATTGTTTCATTTGAGATGGTAATTGTGATTGTGAGAGTAACCACTAGGAAAATGACTATACATAGTAAAGGAAATGACAAGAAGCTTAAAATGGTACAGTAGGAAATAACTATTCAACACAAAAGAAGGCAATGATGAAGGAACCGGAAAAAAAGATGTAAGACATAGAGAAAAGGGCATATATAAATCTTGCTTTACTAGTAATTACATTAAAGGGATGAAACGCTTCAATTAAAAGGCAGAGACTGGCAGAATGCATTAAAAAATGCTCCAACTGTGTGCTGTCTGCAACAGAATCACAGTAGAATAAAAGACACAAATAGGCTGGGAGTAAAAGGATGGAACAAGATATGCCATACAAACATATTTTTAACCAAATGGAGCTGGATTGGCCATGCTAATATCAGATACAATAGGCTTTAATATAAAACTTGTTAATAAAGACAAAGAAATACTTTTATAATAAAAATGTCAACCCATCAAGATATAACAATTATAAGGCTGGGTGTGGTGGCTCATGCCTGTAATTGTAGCACTTTTGGAGGCCAAGGTGGTGGATTGCTTGAGCTCAGAAGTTTGAGACTAGCCTGGGCAACATGGTGAAACCCCGTCTCTACTAAAAATACAAAAAATTATTCGGATGTGGTGGTGCGTGCCTGTAATCCCAGCTACTCGGGAAGCTGAAGTGGGAGGATGCTTGAGCCGGGGAGGCAGAGGTTGCAGTGAGCTGAGATTGTACCACTGTACTCCAGCCTGGGTGACAGAGTGAGGCCCTGTCTCAGAAAAGAAAACAAACAAGCACGTCTGCATTTAACAACAAAGTCCCAAAATACATGAAGCAAAAATGGACAGAATCAAAGGCAGAAATAGATACCTCAACAGTAGTAGGAGACCTGAAGACCTCATTTTCAATAATGAATAGAAGACATCGAAGATTAGCAAGGAGAAAGAAAACTTGACGACGATGTACATCATCTATGCCTAACAGGTATCTATAGAGCTCTCTACACAGCAACAGCTCTCAAGTGTACAGGAAGCATTCTCTAAGTACATTCTACATTACACCATCAAACACATCCAATTTGATTTCAAAGGACTGACGATATACAAAATATATTATCTGACAACAGTGGAAGGGAATTAGAATCAATAACAGAAGGGAACTTGGGAAATTCACAAATATGTTGAAATTGAACACATGCTCCTAAATAACAAATGGATCCCAAAAGAAATCAAAAGGTAAATAGGAAACCACGGTGGTGAGTTAAAAAGATACCAAAAATCATGAAAGTAACAGAAGTAGGGCTCAGAGAGAAGGTTAGAGTTGTAAACACCTATGCTGAAAAAGAAGAAACATCTCAAATCAATAATATAACCTTCAACCTTAAGACACTATAAAAAAGAGCAAACTAAATCCAAAGCTAGCAGAAAGAAAGAAGCAATAAAGATTAAAGTGGAAACAGATGAACTAGAGAATAGAAACAGAGTAGCAAAAAATCAATGAAACCAAAAGTCAGTCTTTGAAAACCTTTAAAAGGTTGAAAAAGCCTTAACAAGACTGACCAAGAAAAACAGAAAAGAATTAAATGACTAAAATCAAGATGAAAGGAAGAACAATACTACTGATCTTATAGGGAAAGAGGACGATAAAATAACACACAGTAAAGTGATTGGGTTAGTTATAATAATAAAAAAAACTTCCCACAAGGAGAAATCCAGGAGCAGATGGCTTCACTTGAGAATTCTTTTTTTTTTTTAATTATTATACTTTAAGTTCTAGGGTGCACGTGCACAATGTGCAGGTTTGTTACATAGGTATACATGTGCCATGTTGGTTTGCTGCACCCATTAACTTGTCATTTACATTAGGTATTTCTCCTAATGCTATCCCTCCCCCTGCCCCCGACCCCACGACAGACCCCGGTGTGTGATGTTCCCCGCCCTGTGTCCAAGTGTTCTCATTGTTCAATTCCCACCTATGAGTGAGAACATGTGGTGTTTGGTTTTCTGTCCTTGCAATAGTTTGCTCAGAATGATGGTTCCCACCTGCATCCATGTCCCTGCAAAGGACATAAACTCATTCTTTTTTATGGCTGCATAGTATTCTGTGGTGTATATGTGCCACATTTTCTTAATCCAGTCTATCAGTGATGGACATTTGGGTTGGTTCCAAGTCTTTGCTATTGTGAATAGTGCTGCAATAAACATACATGTGTATGTGTCTTTAAAGTAGCATGATTTATAATCCTTTGGATATATACCCAGTAATGGGATCGCTGGGTCAAATGGTATTTCTAGTTGTAGATCCTTGAGAAATCACCACATTGTCTTCCACAATGGTTGAACTAGTTTACACTCCCACAAACAGTGTAAAACCATTCCTATTTCTCCACATCCTCTCCAGCATCTGTTGTTTCCTGGCTTTTTAATGATTGCCGTTCTAACTGGGATGAGATGGTATCTCATTGTGGTTTTGATTCGCATTTCTCTGATGACCAGTGATGATGAGCATTTTTTCATGTGTCTGTTGGCTGCATAAATGTCTTCTTTTGAGAAGTATCTGTTCATATCCTTTGCCCACTTTTTGATGGGATTGTTTGATTTTTTCTTGTAAATTTTGTTTAAGTTCTTTGTAGATTCTGGATATTAGCCCTTTGTCAGATGGGTAGATTGCAAACATTTTCTCTCATTCTGTAGGTTGCCTGTTCACTCTGATGGTAGTTTCTTTTGCTGTGCAGAAGTTCTTTAGTTTGATTAGATCCCATTTGTCTATTTTGGCTTATGTTGCCATTGTTTTTGGTGTTTTACTCGTGAAGTCCTTGCCCATGTCTATGTCCTGAATGGTACTGCCTAGGTTTTCTCCTAGGGTTTTTATGGTTTTAGGTCTAACAGTTAAGTCTTTAATCCATCTTGAATTAATTTTTGTATTAGGTGTAAAGAAGGGATGCAGTTTCAGGTTTCTACATATGGCTAGCCAGTTTTCCCAGCACCATTCATTAAATAGGGCATCCTTTCCCCATTTCTTGTTTTTGTCAGGTTTGTCAAAGATCAGATGGTTGTAGATGTGTGGTGTTATTTCTGAGGCCTCTGTTCTGTTCCATTGGTCTACATATCTGTTATGGTATCAGTACCATGCTGTTTTGGTTACTGTAGCATTGTAGTATAGTTTGAAGTCAGGTAGTGTGATACCTCCAGCTTTGTTCTTTTTGCTTAGGCTTCTCTTGGCAATGCAGCCTCTTTTTTGGTTCCATATGAACTTTAAAGTAGTTTGTTCCAATTCTGTGAAGAAAGTCATTGGTAGCTTGATGGGGATGGCATTGAATCTACAAATTACCTTAGGCAGTATGGCCATTTTCATGATATTGATTCTTCCTATCCATGAGCATGGAATGTTCTTCCATTTGTTTGTCTCCTCTTTTATTTCATTGAGCAGTGGTTTGTATTTCTAATTGAAGAAGTCCTTTACATCCCTTGTAAGTTGGATTCCTAGGTATTTTATTCTTTTTGTAGCAATTGTGAATAGGAGTTCACTCATGATTTGCCTCTCTGTTTGTCTGTTATTGGTGTATAAGAATGGTTGTGATTTTTGCACTTTGATTTTGTATCCTGAGACTTTGCTGAAGTTGCTTATCAGCTTAAGGAGATTTTGGGCTGAGACAATGGGGTTTTCTAAACATACAATCATGTCATCTGCAAACAGGGACAATTTGACTTCTTCTTTTCCTAATTGAATACTCTTTATTTCTTTCTCTTGCCTGACTGCCCTGTCCAGAACTTCCAACACTATGTTGAATAGGAGTGGTGAGAGAGGGCATCCCTGTCTTTTGCCAGTTTTCAAAGGGAATGCTTCCAGTTTTTGCCCATTCTGTATGATATTGGCTGTGGGTTTGTCATAGATAGCTCTTATTATTTTGAGATACGTTCCATCAATACCTAGTTTATTGAGAGTTTTTAGCATGAAGGGCTGTTGAATTGTGTAGAAGGCCTTTTCTGCATCTATTGAGATAATCCTGTGGTTTTTGTCATTGGTTCTGTTTATGTGATGGATTATGTTTATTGATTTGCATATGTTGAACCAGCCTTGCATCCCAGGGATGAAGCTGACTTGATCGTGGTGGATAAGCTTTTTGATGTGCTGCTGGATTTGGTTTGCAGTATTTTATTCAGGATTTTTGCATCAATGTTAACCAGGGATATTGTTCTAAAATTCTCTTTTTTTGTTGTGTCTCTGCCAGGCTTTGGTATCAGGATGATGTTGACCTCATAAAATGAGTTAGGGAGGATTCCCTCTTTTTCTGTTGGTTGAAATAGTTTCAGAAGGAATGGTACCAGCTCCTCTTTGTACCTCTGGTAGAATTCGGCTGTGAATCCGTCTGGTCCTGGACTTTTTTTGGTTGATAGGATATTAATTATTGCTTCAATTTCACAGCCTGTTATTGGTCTATTCAGAGATTCAACTTCTTCCTGGTTTAGTCTTGGGAGGGTGTATGTGTCCAGGAATTTATCCATTTCTTCTAGATTTTCTAGTTTATTTGCATAGAGGTGTTTATAGTATTCTTTGATGGTTGTTTGTATTTCTGTGGGATCAGTGGTGATATCCCCTTCATCATTTTTTATTGGGTCTATTTGAGTCTTCTCCCTTTTCTTCTTTGGCAGTCTTGCCAGTGGTCTGAATATTTTGTGGATCTTTTCAAGAAACCACCTCCTGGAATCATTGATTTTTTTGAAGGGTTTTTGTGTCTCTATCTCCTTCAGTTCTGCTCTGATCTTAGTTATTTTTTGCCTTTTGCTAGCTTTTGAGTTTGTTTGCTCTTGCTTCTCTAGTTCTTTTAATTGTAATGTTAGGGTGTTGATTTTAGATCTTTCCTGCTTTCTCTTGTGGGCATTTAGTGCTGTAAACTTCCCTCTACACACTGCTTAAAATGTGTCCCAGAGATTCTGGTACATTGTGTCTTTGTTCTCATTGGTTTCAAAGAACATCTTTATTTCTGCCTTCATTTCGTTATTTACCCAGTAGTCATTTAGGAGCAGGTTGTTAAGTTTCCATGCAGTTGGGTGGTTTTGAGTGAGTTTCTTAATCCTGAGTTCTAATTTGATTGCACTGTGGTCTGAGATACAGTTTGTTGTGATTTCTGATCTTTTACATTTGCTGGGGAGTGCTTTGCTTCCAACTATGTGGTAAATTTTGGAATAAGTGCGATGTGGTGCTGAGAAGAATGTATGTTCTGTTGATGTGGGGAGGAGAGTTCCGTAGATGTCTATTAGGTCTGCTTGGTGTAGAGCTGAGTTCAAGTCCTGGATATCCTTGTTAACCTTCTGTCTCGTTGATCTGTCTAATATTGACAGTGGGGTGTTAAAATCTTCCATTATTATTGTGTGGGAGTCTAAGTCTCTTCATAGGTCTCTAAGGACTTGCTTTATGAATCTGGGTGCTCTTGTATTGGGTGCATATATATTTAAGATAGTTAGCTCTTCTTGTTGAATTGATCCCTTTACCATTATGTAATGGCCTTTTGTGTCTCTTTTGATCTTTGTTGGTTTAAAGTCTGTTTTATCAGAGACTAGGATTGCAACCCCTGCTTTTTTTTGCTTTCCATTTGCTTGGTAGATCTTCCTCCGTCCCTTTATTTTGATCCTATTTGTGTCTCTGCACATGAGATGGGTCTCCTGAATACAGCACACTGATGGGTCTTGACTCTTTATCCAGTTTGCCAGTCTGTGTCTTTTAATTGGTGCATTTAACCCATTTATATTTAAGGTTAATATTGTTATGTGTGAATTTGATCCTGTCATTATGATGTTAGCTGGTTATTTTGCCCATTAGTTGATGCAGTTTCTTCCTAGTGTTGATGATCTTTACAATTTGGCATGTTTTTGCAGTGGCTGTTACCGGTTGCTCCTTTCCATGTTTAGTGCTTCCTTCAGGAGCTCTTGTGAGGCAGGCCTGTTGGTGACAAAATCTCTCAGCATTTGCTTGTCTGTAGAAGATTTTATTTCTCCTTCACTTATGAAGTTTAGTTTGGCTGGATATGAAATTCTGGACTGAAAATTCTTTTCTTTAAGAATGTTGAATATTGGCCCCCACTCTCTTCTGGCTTGTAGAGTTTCTGCCAAGATAACCGCTGTTAGTCTGTTGGGCTTCCCTTTGTGGGTAACCCGACCTTTCTCTCTGGCTGCCCTTAACATTTTTTCCTTCATTTCAACCTTAGTGAATCTGACAATTATATGTCTCGGGGTTGCTCTTCTCGAGGAGTATCTTTGTGGTTTTCTCTGTATTTCCTGAATTTGAATGTTGGCCTGTCTTGCTAGGTTGAGGAAATTCTCCTGGATAATATCCTGAAGAGTGTTTTCCAACTTGGTTCCATTCTCCCCATCACTTTCATGTACACCAATCAAACCTAGATTTGGTGTTTTTACATAGTCCCATATTTCTTGGAGGCTTTGCTCATTTCTTTTTACTGTTTTTTCTCTCAACTTCTCTTCTTGCTTTATTTCATTCATTTGATCTTCAATCACTGATACCCTTTCTTACACTTGATCAAATTGGCTAATGAAGCTTGTGCATGTGTCATGTAGTTCTCGTGCCATGGTTTTCAGCTCCATCAGGTCATTTAAGGTCTTCTCTACACTGTTTATTCTAGTTAGCCATTCATCTAATCTTTTTTCAAGGTTTTTAATCCTTGCGATGGGTTCAAACATTCTCCTTTAGCTCGGAGAAGTTTGTCATTACCGACCTTCTGAAGCCTACTTCTGTCAACTTATCAAATCTTTCTCCATCCAGCTTTGTTCTGTTGCTGGCGAGGAGCTGTGATCCTCTGGAGGAGAAGTGATGCTCTGGTTTTCATAATTTTCAGCTTTTCTGCTCTGGTTTCTCCCCACTTTTGTGGTTTTATCTACCTTTGGTCTTCGATGTTGGTGACCTACAGATGGGGTTTTGGTGTGGATGTCCTTTTTGTTGTTGTTGATGCTATTCCTTTCTGTTTGTTAGCTTTCTTTTTTAACAGTCAGGTCCCTCAGCTGTGGGTCTGTTGGAGTTTGCTGGAGGTCCAGTCCAGACCCTGTTTGCCTGGGTATCACCAGCAGAGGCTGCAAATATTACAGAACAGCAAATATTGCTGCCTGATCCTTTCTCTGGAAGCTTCATCCCAGAGGGGCACCCAACTCTATGAGGTGTCAGTTGGCTCCTAATGGAAGGCATCTACCAGTTAGGCTACATGGGGGTCAGGGACCCATTTGATGAGGCAGTCTGTCTGTTCTCCAAGCTCAAACACCATGCTGGGAGAACCACTGCTCTCTTCAGAGCTGTCAGACAGGGACATTTACGTCTGCAGAAGTTTCTGCTGCCTTTTGTTCAGCTATGCCCTGCCCCAAGAGGTGGAGTCTACAGAGGCAGCAGGCTTTGCTGAGCTGTGGTGGGCTCCGCCCAGTTAGAGCTTCCCTGGCTGCTTTGTTTTCCTCCTCAAGCCTCAGCAGTGGTGGACGCCCCTCCCCCTGCCAGGCTGCTGCCTAGCAGGTCAATCTCAGACTGCTGCGCTAGCAGTGAGCAAGAGTCCATGGGTGTGGGACCCACCAAGCCAGGCGCGGGATATAATCTGGTGTGCCATTTGCTAAGGCCATTGGAAAAGCGCAGTATTTGGGTGGGAGCGTCCTGTTTTTCCAGGTACCATCTGTCATGGCTCCCCTTGGTTAGGATAAGGACTTGAATCCAGACTATATAAAAGAGTTTTACAACTCAACAATGAGAACCAAACTATTATTAAAAAGTAGTTAAAAAATTAGATAAACATATTTCCAAAGAAGATATACAATATAAACAAGCACATAAAAAGATATGCACCATCGTTAGTCATCAGTGAAATGCACATCAACGCCGCAAGGAGATACCACTTCACACCCAGCAGATCACTATAATTTAAATGGAAAAGGAAAGTAAATGTTGTTCGGAATGTGGAGATATTGGGACCTTCATATACTGCTGGTGGGAATTTAAAATGATACACCTGCTAGAGAAACTAATCTGGCAGTTCCTCAAAATGCTAAACATAGACTGACCATACACCCTAGAAATCCCACTTATGTGTATATATCAAGAGAAATGAAAACATATGATCTTACAAGAACTTGAACAGGAATGCTCATGGCAGCATTGTTCATGTTAGCTAAAAAGTGGAAGCAACCCAAATGTCCATTAACTGATAAATGGATAAGAAAATTGTGGGATGTGCATACAGTGGTGTGCTATTAGCCGTGTTATAACCTGGAGGATCTGTGAAAACATCGTGCTACATGAGAGAAGCGAGACACCAATGGCAACACATTGTGGGATTCCATTTACATGGATTGCTCAGAATAGGAAAATCCATAAGACGGAAAGTAGATGTATTAATCCATTCACACTGCTATAAAAATACTACCTGAGACTGGGTAATTTATGAAGAAAAGAGGTTTAATTGACTCAGAGTTCTGCATGGCTGGGGAGGCCTCAGGAAACTTACAATCATGGTGGAAGGTGAAGGGGAAGCAAGGCACATCTTACATGGTGGCCGGCGAGAGAGAGAGAGAGAGCAGGGCAAACTGCCACTTATGAAACCTTCAGATCTGTGGGAATTCACTCACTATCGCTAGAACAGCTTGGGAGAAATTTCCCCCATGATCCAGTCACCTGCTACCAGGTCCCTCCCTTGACATGTGGGGATAGCGATTAGAGATGAGATTTGGTTGGGGACACAGAGCCCAGCCATGTCAGTAGATTAGTGGCTGCCAGGGGCTTTGGGGAGGAAAGATTGGGAGTGGTGGTTAAGTGGTTCAAGGCCTCTTTTTGGGGTGATAAAAATGTTTTGAAATTAGGGATGGTGATTTTACAACCTGTGAATATACTAAAAACCACTGAATTTTACCATTTAAAATAGTGAATTATGATAGTAATTATCATATATGAGATATATGAGTTATAGATCAGTAAAAAACAAACCCCTCTCCTTGAACTCCCGTCAGGATTGTTTTGTTTGTTTGCTTTTCTCACTGTGCCACAAGTTTGATTTATTGACCAGGCCCATGAAAATCTTTTAGCATTTTAATTTTAGTAGATGACTATAAGATACATTTATGTACCATGGTACATATTTAATGCTTATTGGGCATCCATATTTCCCAACCACAACTGAACATCATGAGACATTGTTTTGGATTTTTAAAAAAGAGATTTTATTCTGTGGAAATAAGTATCAATAAGTTTAAACAGACAGGACGTTTACACACATCAAAAAACTATTTCTCTCAGAATTTGCCTTTGTTCTAAGGGCCTCTGCCTCTTCTTGGGTTGAGACCGAGTGACCCTGGGTCAGGAAGTGTACTGGGTGTCCACTGCAACTAGGGGAATGTGCTGCAGTGGGTTCCTACTAGCAGGTGATTTTCTCCCAGTTCTTCTATAGTTGCATTTCTCCTAAAAAATAGACAGTGACATTTGGAAGATGCATTATGGTTTACCCATAGATGAAATATATTCACTTTTAGGACCAAAAATCTCTGTATCTGGTAAGCAGGAGTTGTTGGCTCAATGGTGACCGAATTTAAAATAGATGACTTTGGGAGGCAGAGGTGGGCAGATCACGAGGTCAGGAGATCAAGACCATCCTGGCTAACACGGTGAAACCCCATCTCTACTAAAAATACAAAAAAAAACAAAGCTGGGCTTGGTGGCAGGCGCCTGTAGTCCCAGCTACTGGGGAGGCTGAGGCAGGAGAATGGCGTGAACCTGGGAGGCAGAGCTTGCAGTGAGCCGAGATTGCGCCACTGCACTCCAGCCTGGGTGACAGAGCAAGACTCCGTCTCAAAAAAAATAATAAAATAAAATAAAAATAAATAAATAAATAAATAGATGACTGCTGCATACCCTAATTTAAGAGAGGGCAACATCCAACCACACTAATTAAGAATTTTAAAGGCATTTGATTCAGTTTGGCACACTCTTAGTCATGGTTCAAAAAATGTTAGCAGGAAATAAAACACTTTGAGATGTCCTTGCACATCCAAGTCACAGCTATGTAAAAATATGAATATAAGATAAATCAGTACTGAATAAAAAATTTAATAAAGAGGTGAATGAAAAGTAAATCATTGGTAGACTAGAGAAAAAAACCTTTAGCTTTATTGGAGATAATACGTTTATTTATTTACACAATAACTGTTGAGACTTTACACTCTGCCAAGTGATCCAGTTTGGATGTTTGTCCCCACCAAATCTCATGTTGAATTGTAATCCCCAGTGTTGGGAGGAGGGGTCTGGTGGGAGGTTTTTGGGTCATGGGAGTGGATCCCTCGTGAATGTCTTGGTGCTGTCCTCGTGATAGTGAGTGAGTGAGTTCTCATGAGAGAACCTCTCCCCTCCACTGTCTCTCTTGCTCCCTGATGTGGTTTGGCTCTGTGTCCCCACTCAAATCTCATGTTGAATTGTAATCCCCAGTGTTGGGAGGTGGGGTCTGGTGGGTGGTGTTTGGGTCATGGGAGTGGATCCCTTGTGAATGTCTTGGTGCTGTCCTCGTGATAGTGAGTGAGTTCTCATGAGAGAACCTCTCCCCTCCACGCTCTCTCTTGCTCCCTGATGTGGTTAGGCTGTGTCCCAACTCAGATCTCATGTTGAATTGTAATCCCCAGTGTTGGGGGAGGGACCTGCTTGGAGGTGACTGGATCATGGGTGCCGTTTGCCCCTTGCTGTTGTTGTGAGTGAGTTCTCATGAGATCTGGTTGTTTAAAAGTGTGTAGCAATTCCCCTTTGCTCTCACACGCTCTCTCTCTCCATCTCTCTCTCTCTGTCTCTCTCCTCTCTATCACGTCGCCATGTGAAGATGTGTTTGCTTCCCCTTCACCTTTCTGCCATGATTGTAAGTTTCCTGAGGCCTCACAGCCATGCCTGCTGTACAGTCTGCAGAACTGTCAGTCAATTAAACCTGTTTTCTTTACAAACTACTCAGTATTGGGTAGTTCTTTATAGCAATGTGAGAATGGACTAATACATTATCACTCTTGCCATGTGAGATGCCTGATCCCACTTTGCCTTCTGCCATGGTTGTAGCTTCTTGAGGCCTCCCCAGAAGCTGAGCAGATGCTAGCACCATGCTTCCTGTAGAGCCTGCAGAACCATGAGCTAACTAAATTTTCTTTCTTTATAAATTACCTAGTCTCAGGTATTTTTTAGCAGTGCAAGAATGGCTTAATGCACCAAGGATTGTGTAGGATGACAGGGATTATTGAGTGCATATAATCTATTTTGCTTTTCAAGGAGCTCCTGGCCCAGGGGAGAGATCAAAATCCCTCAGACAACACAGACAATCACACGGGACTTGAGCATGTACTGTGGGAACAGAGCATGGCCATCTCTGTCTCCCTGGGAAGGAAGATGTGGAGAGGCTTGGATAATGATTTGATAACACCTTGTGCATCCTCCTAACCCTCCTGAAAAAAACAAAGTGAGGAAAGGAGGAATTTTAGGAAAAAGGAGAAAACCAAGGAACTGGAAGAAACAGAAGAGTACCCAGCCATTTGGGGATGAGGAAGCAGCTTACGATGATGGGGTTCAGTTTGGACTGGGATTGCAGCAGAAAGGGGCACTTGGAAGGCAGGGGGAAGAAGTCTACAGATGACCTTTAGATTTTGGGTTCAGGAGTGTGAATTTTAGCTGATGAGCGAGGGGAGACTTTGGAAGGTTGGTGTTATGGCAGTGCACTACACCCTGCGAAGGTCTCTCTTACAGAAGTGAGGACAATGCATCTCAGAAGATGGAGAATGGAGGCAGGAAAAACAAGAGATGTGTCTTAGTCACTCTCTGAGCTGAAGATTATAGAAAACCAAACCAGAGTGGATCTAACTAATAGTCGTGTTCTGTTGACTTTCTGGTTTGTAAAGAAAAGAACTAGGTAGCCTGTCATTGGCTTAGAGCTCAATAACTTCAGTCTCTATGCCCCTCTATTTCTCTCACATTCTTCTGATGGTCACAAAATAGCTACTGCAATTCTAGTATTTACTCCAGTCAATAAAGGAAGAGGAGAAGGAAGGAAGGGGAAGCCGCAGCAGAATTCCACTCTGGCTTCCTTAGGTGGAGCTATGTCAGATGGCTCCCCATGCCTCCAGGGGACTAAATATTGTTGCTTTTCCAGTCTCTGGATTTGAGACAGGCAAGGGAGAAGGTGGCTGGGGATGTGTGCTGGGAAATCGGGTCTAGAGTGGGTGCCACAGGAGGCCAACATAGACGTTGCTGAGTAAATATTAATTGATTCAGTCTTAGCATGTGGTAGATGGCAATGATGGGACTGGAGGAGGGCTAATGAATTTGAAAGTGATTTTCCATGCAGAATAGACAGGAGCTGGGAGCTTATTGGATATGGGCAGCTGCAAGCAAGGCAAAACCAGGGAAGGTCTAGGAGCAGGCAAGAAAGGCCTGGAGACTTGTGACTTATATGGCAGGAGGGTTAGCGGTGTCAGGAACGGGGACAGATAGGACAGAAAGAGAGGTATTTGGGGAAAAACAAAGACTCATCTCAAGCACACTGAGGTTAATCCAGGGAAAAACATGCAGTTGGCAGTTGGAAATGAAGTATAGAGCAGGATTTCTCAAGGGACTTGGGACGTCTTACTCTCTTGATGATTTGAGGACCCCAAAGAGTTTTGGTTTATGTAGATTGTCTCTACATTTACTCTGTTAGAAATTAAAACAGAAATTTAGTAAAATTCATTAATTTGTTAAAATAGCAATCATTAACTCCTTGAATATTTTTATGCAGATAATCATGTTTTAAAAAAAATTGTAATGAGGGAGTGGCTTTGTTACCTGTTCTTCATTCCTCCTATGGGGCCACTGCCTTGGTTAGTGTTAAACTTCCGCAGTTCTCCCCGCTATTGCTACTGCATCTCCAGTGCAAATTTTAACACAGTGAAAAAGGCAAATAGCAGTGCCAATGTGGAAATGGCTTTTCCCTATGCAGATGACTTTTGGACAATGTCTGGAGCTGAAGGGGAGAATCTGAGTTAGAGACGAGCCTTGCAGGTTTGGATGAGACGACCCAGGAGACTGAGCTGAGCGAAGAGGCTCAAGTGTAAATGTCTATGGAGCAGCCCCACTGTAGGGCAGGCAGAAGAAAAGGTGACCTGAAGGGAATTTGTGAAGAAAGGGCCAGAGGCATGAAGATAACCAGAACTATAAGGTGTCTCAGGTAAGACATAGAGAAGTGATAAACACCGGAAGCCAAAAAGAAGCTAAATAAAATGCTGCTTAAAAGTGCCCGTTGGATTTGCCATTGAGGACAACATTGGTAGGATTAGTTTGGATGGCTGCAGTGGAATAGTGGGAAGTCAGACTTCATGGACTTCAAGCAGGAAAGGAAGGTAACAAAATGCGTCTGTTAATTTTGACCAATGTTTTAGAAAGTTCTTCAGCAGAGGTGTGGGAAGAGATATAATTGTAGATAGAAAGCACTATATGAGTGAAGTGGATCTTGATTTTTTTCTTCTTCCTTTAAATATGGTAGATATGTGTAAGAAAGAGCCAGATTGAACTGTCTGTCTTCTGAAATAGGAAAGAATGAATCTTTCAGGAGAGAACTTAGAAGGTGAGATGGGACAGAAGGTGAAGATAGGATTGTCTGATAGCCTTTCATAGCCTTTAATTTCCATGTTGTGAGATGCTATTTTGTTAACCAAGGGCAAAGTGTGTGGCAGGTGGATCACGAGGTCAGGAGATCCAGACCATGCTGGCAAACATGGTGAAACCCCGTCTCTACTAAAATACAAAAAAAAAAAAAAAAAAAAGAAGAAGAAGAAAAAAAATTAGCCAGGCGTGGTGGCATGTGCCTGTAGTCCCAGCTACTCAGGAGGCTGAGGCAGGGGAATCGCTTGAACCCAGGAGGCGGAGCTTGCAGTGAGCCGAGATCTTGCCACTGCACTCCAGCCTGGTGACAGAGCGAGACTCTGTCTCAAAAAAAAAGAGTCAAGCAAAGTGGTAAAACTTTCTTCTGCATGTTGTGACAGAAGAGGGAGAGAAAGGAAGTGGACCAGGACAAATTAAGAGACCACCACTTTTAATGAGAGCTCACTTAGTTCTAAAGCTACACGTGTAGTGGCAGTGACCTGCGAAGGTGTACTCTGTTTTTCCAGCGAGTCACAGCAGGCTGGGTCTGAGTCTCAGTTTGCCAGATGCAAAGTGATTTTGCTTTCCCGGGGTGCCTGATGTGGTGCGTTTCTCATCCGTGGACGTGGCCTGTGAGGGACCCGGTCTGTGGCTCTGTTTTCACAGCATCTGGCAGTGGTGACTGCAGTAGGAAGTGCTTGATGCAGGCTCATTGTGAAGAGTCAACAGAAGGCATCAAAGCTTTTGAACAAGAAAGAGACAGATTGAAAGTGATTTCGTAGGGCATGTAATTGGGTGGCGCTGATGTGAAGAATTGGAGTGAAGACCTGAGTCAGAAAAATCATGCAAGAGACTTGGAAGGGAACGGGGGCTCTTGAAAGGCTGGGAAAACACAGTGGTGAATGAAAGTGATGGAGAACAGAGCATGCCTGAGGGAAAACAGGTCATTTCATTAGAATTAATGGGCCGACTGCACACCGTGTCTTGGTTTTCAAATTACCGGCCAAATCACCAAGCCAGAACCCTCGTTCCCCACATACCTCATTTTGGCTATGAAACCACCCCGAGATTGATTTAGAAAATGGGTGAGGTCCATGGGGTGAAAGGCCTCCAAGGTGGATTAATTACCTCTGGCTTGCGTTCGATGATGAGCAAACAACCCTAGGCCAAAAGTCATCATGGGAGGGACTTCTGTCCTTAGGTTAACACTCACACATTGTTTATCATCCAGACAAAGCCTGCGTTTTGGGAAGGATACTTTTCTGCCTGCAAAGATCTTTACCACCTTAAAATGCAATTTCCTATGCAGAAAACATGGCAAGAAAGGATCAGGGAAATTTGTTTTTATGTTGAGTTTTGTTTCGTCTTTTTCCATGGATACTGCAGCATCAGATATTTTTAGCTGATTTTGAAAAGGATAATTTCTAAATAAGTCAGAAGACTTGTATGTTTAGTGTTTGGTTCATAACACAAAATTTCAATTTGCTAAGCACCCATTTAATGACCATTCTCATCTCATGCTTTATTATGACATTGACATGTGGTCATATTTCATATCTACATAGCCACTGAAGCACTGAGACCAGGTCATCCTTCAGGCCGGTTTAAGTTAGAAATTGCAATATGCACACAACGGCGATTCAGTCTGCTCCTGCCACAGAACAGTAAGAGTGCCATGCTGTAAAATGCAACCAGGGAACCCCTCATTGGGGATTGCTGTGAGGGTTACAGTTTAAAGGATACTAAACTGTGCCTTATCAAGGGTTAGATGCAATTGAGTGTTAGCTATTGTCATTGTCACCATCATCTTTGTGTCATCATGTCACCATAGTAATGTTTTTATACCTTGGTGGTAGCAACAGGGTTTTCTCTCCCCGTAATTCACTTTGGAATTATTTTAGGAGAGGAGTCTTTCTTTCTTCTTTACCCACAGTGCTCAGTAAATACTTGTTAAGGCAGGTTGAAGATCTTCGTCCCGGGCTTTCCATCACCCGCGGAATGAAGCTCTACCTCCTTCCCCCGGGGTCAGGACCCTGAGCAGCAGGGACTCGCGGACCCCTGCTCTGCCCTGCTCACACTGAGTGTCGCTAGGGCCATGAAGGGCCAAGCTCCCCCCGCAAGCTCGTTTTTTCCCTTGATGCACCATTTGAACTGCTTGGTCTCCCCTTGCACCCAGGTTTCCTCTCCTCTGTACTCATAGGCAGATTACATGCATTTGCATTTTTTTTCAGCACTCAGTTTATCCATCACTTTACCCAGGAAGCCTGTGCTGACTCTTGGATGGAAGGCATCGTGCTCGGGAGCCTCCCTGTGACTGCTTTGACTCATGTGCCCATGTGCACTCCTCCATCTCTTGTGCGTTGCTCGCTGCATGGGAGACTCAGCTGGTCAGGAACTGTGGGTCACCTAAGGGTCATTGTCTTCACAGTTCAGCCCTAGGGTATACCGCAGTGCATCACACCTGCTGGGTGCATAAGTACCATTTGTTGAACATTTGAATAGCCCTATGTAAAAAATACCTGAAGGCAAGTCTGGATAAAGTCTCCTGTTCGCTAAAGACAGGTAGGGTAGATAAACGTTTAACAGTATGAATCTTCTTTGGGGAGTGCCCCTGTCTAGCAGTGTGATCTTACATATGAGACACAAGCACTGCATGCCTCGGCTTTCTCATCTCTGAAGTGGGGTTAATGGCAGCACTGCTGTCTGATGAGCCCGGTGCATGTCATCTGTGACTCACGTGGGCATTGCCTGCAGATGCCTGGCTGATGCTATGGCCAGTGCTGGCATCACCAGCCTTAGGAGCTTCCTATTTTAGGCCCACAATGTGTCTAACGGCTTTATCACAATCTTACATAAAAGCTATGTATATTTGTATGCTGTATATGTAGGTATGCATCTATATGTTAATTCACTAGTGTAATTCTTATTGATTTATTAGTTATAATCCTTCCAAAAGAAGTCATTGGTTTTAAATTCACCAAGTTGAAGGATGTAAGAGAAATACACATATGAGAAGAAGTTGTTGGGCATGGATTATTTTCAGCAAATGGTACCACCATGAGTGTTTGGGAAATGATAATTCTCTCGTCCATTGTACTGAATCAGATTTTAGTTCTAAATTTCCATTCGTCTCATTGAGTGTCATAAATTTGCTTGATGCTCTAAGTTCTTGATGCCTGTGTGATTTCTTATTTTGATGACATTTTCCAATGCCACGTGATATTTTTGAAATGAAAAAATTTGTACATTTTGATCAACTTGCCAGCAAACACCCCTTGAGAGCCCTCCAGCTCCAGGAGCTTAGACGTCGTGACTCCGGCACCCACCGGATGCTCCACTCACTTTGTTTTGGCCTTCACACAACAAACCTGACTTTAATACAAACCCAACTGAAAAGCACTGGACGTTGCAAGACTTCAAAGGCCACTCATCAGCACCTTTCCCAAGCTCCTGCTTGCCACCTGCACATGACAGATGTGACAGCTTAGACGAAACCCATGAGGTTTTTCTCCCCAGCCTTTGGTGCGGAGCTCCCATCTGGAGCCGTGTTTCATCTGGCACTGCGGGGCATGAGAACTAACAGCTGGTTAATGGCCTGGCTCCCACAGCATTGTTCCCCTCACCCCAGCTCTGTGAAGCCGCTCTTGTGCCCAGGTGACCGGCATTAGCAGCTGTGAGCTCCTGTAAGGAAAGCCACAACTTTGGACTCAGAGTCTCTGGTTTTGAAGCCCTTCCCCTTCCCCATTTTTCCCCATACCTGGGGGAGCTCTGTGAGCTTAGGTTTCCTTGTATGTAATAGCGGAATATCAATACCTACCTTATAGGGCTATTGTAGGGAGCACACAAAGAACATATTAGTAAAAGTAAAGCTCTTCAATCAATGTTTGCTTTTCCTGTTGAGAAGCACAGATTTCTGAATTCTACTAGTAGCATAATGAGAAACGGAAAGCTTACTTAGAACACTTTTTTTCAAACCCAAACTCCAGCTTCTCCCCTTCAATGTCCCCTCTCCGAAGTAGCCTTCCTCCTCACTCGGTGATTGGGGTGAGGTATTTGGAACATTGATGGGCACGTGCTGGGGAGTGGGGGTGATATGGAGGCCAAGATTGTTTCAGACTGAACGCCGTCATGACTGCAGCCTCCATAGTCGGTCTGGGCTTCCCTAGCAGACACCTCCTTTACCCTAGAGGCTGAACGTTTAAATGATTCCATCAAGGACAGGTACAGATTGTGGCAGGCCCAGAGCTGTGTTCTAGGTCTCCTGATTATTGAACCAGACCATTTTTAACAGCTGTGCTGACGTGCTATGTGCACATTAAGAGATGGAGGTGACCGTGGTACAAGAGGAAATCATGGTGAATAGGATTTTAAAAAGTGCCTGCAACACAGCAGAGCCAGCAGTGTCACCATCGATGGGATCCTTCGGGTTCCAAGAGACGGAAACCCAAGTCAGCTTCCTTAAGCAGATGAGGATGGTGGCAACAAAATAAAATCAGGCATTTTCACCATCAGGTGTTTGGGGAATCTCGAGTTACAAATGGTTGCATGGAGAGGGGTCAAATGATGTCACCCAGGTGCTTGCCGTCTTTCCTTCTTTTTTTCTGTTCTGCTTCTCTCTCATTTGTTTCTTTCTTGATAGGCTCCTCATCTATGTGATGAGTAAGATAGTTGTCATCAGTCCTCGGCTTATACTTCCAAATTTAATTACCAGCCATGGCAGAAAGGTCCCATAGACGACGCAGAGCAGCTCCGTTTTAGCACAAGTTCAGAGGGTGTGAATTCCTTACTGGCCCTGCCATCGCGACCGCAGGGCTGGGGAAGAGCACTCCTCCAAAAGAAAACTAGGCACTGTTGTAAGAAGAGATTTCATGCAGATGCCAACATAAGGCATTTTGCTATGGCACCCTTCTCTTTTACTGATTAAATGATCTCAAAAACAGTAGTAGTGCCATCTGTTTTTGAGACATGGTCTTGCTCTGTTGCCCAGGCTGGAGTGCAATGGCACAAAAATAGCTCACTGCAGCTGTGAACTTCTGGACTCAAGTGATCCTCCTGCCTCAGGCTTCTGAGTAGGTGGGGCAACAGGTTTACATAACCATGCCCAGCTAATTTTATTTTTATTTTCACTTTTTAGAGATGGAGCGGTCTTGCTATGTTGCCCAGGCTGGTCTTGAATTCTTGGCCTCGAGGAATCCTCTCACCTCAGCATCCTTAGTCACTGGGATTATAGGCATGAGCCACCAGGCCTGGCTACAATGTTTTTTTTGTAACATCACGTGAACATTCATTTTTAAAACCAGTCAAGTATATTTGGAAACCAAATAGGCCCGGTTTAGTAGATCAGTAGCAGAGATGCTCCTGCATTGCTAAACTAAAGTTGGCTGAAAGAAAACTTGAGAAATGGTTTATTTTATTACCCACTTTCATCTAGACCACTACAGCAGATGCAATTTTATCTCAATGTATACTGCATCCAAAGAAAGCAAAAAACCAATGATAAAATCTTAGAGTTGAACATGACTTTACTCTGGTAAAGTATCCTTATGCCTTAGGTTAGGATAACAAAACCCTGATGTAGCACATTTTTTGCTCAAAGTCATTCCACTGGTTTCTCTTTGGCTGTTTGTGAAAGATGAGGCAAAACACTGCTTTCCTGATTAGAGTGATGAATGAACCCACATGATTTCTGGCCTGTGGAGCTGAGAGCCTAGCAGGAATGCCACACATCTAGCAAGCAGCCACAAGTGCAGTGAGTACGACAAGAAGGACAAGCCTGAGAGCCATGTGGGGTCCAAGGGCAATATGACATGCCTGTGAGATATGGTTTGGCTGTGTCCCCACCCAAATCTCATCTTGAATTGTAATAATCCCAGCATGTCAAGGTCAGGGCCAGGTGGAGATAATGGAATCATGGAGATGGTTTCCCCCATACTGTTCTCATGGTAGTGAATTCGTCTTATGAGATCTGATGGTTTTATAAATGGGAGTTCCCCTGCAGAAGCTCTCTTGCCTTCCTCTGTGTAAGACATGCCTTTGCTTCTCCTTTGCTTTCTGCCATGATTGTGATGCCTCCTCAGCCTATGTGGAACTGTGAGTCCACTAAACCTCTTTCCTTTATAAATTACCCAGTCCCCGGTATGTGTTTATTAGCAGCATGAGAATAGACTAACATTGTGTTTGCAGAGGCAAGGAAACTATTCCTAAAAAAGAACGTACAGGTGTCAAGTGTATGGAGGTGGATGAGAAAAATCGCAGGCAGACAGGAAGGTGAGAAGAGAGACCAGGACGTGGTGGATCCACAGACACACAGCTCTTGAAGCAGAAGATTATTTTGCAGTCTTGCATGAAGACTGCATCCTAAGCAGGTCTTTACGGGCTGGAACACTGAAAACCAGCGGCAGAATGGCACAGCGTGAGGCTGCAGAGGACACAGGACCAAGGGTGGGAAGGGCTTGCAGGGGCTAGGTGAGCACTTTGGACTTATCTTTGTCAGTTTTTTTTAACAATATAAAATATATTTGACTGTTTTTAAAAGGCTCAAGCCTCAGTTTTTCAATAGGCTGCACACATCTGTCTCATCTGTTGGACGTCTCTCACCAGATCAACCTGGCTTCAGCTGGCAGCACTTCATTCCATCCACAAGAAAAAGACCAACTTAATTTTGAGAAAAGAAACTCCAGGTCTGAGAACAATGAACGTTAATCTGTAATTGAAAATAAAATTAGGGTGAATGTCTCATGTTGCTTTCTAGAGCCTTCTCCTCACACAGAGCCAGGTGTGTGATCTTCCTAAGTTAGCAGACGCTGATGCTGATGGATGCTGTGCACATGCACACACATGTACAAATGCACACATGCACACACGCACACATGCACACACATGTACAAATGTACACGCACACACAATGCACACATACACACGCACATATGCACACACATGCACTCACACATGCATCAAAAACTGCTGACAAGTCTGCTGCGATGAGGATGGGGGATCTCTCCTAGGTTTGGCATCACAGCAGTGACTAAAATCCTAAATGAGAGCAGATAGAGCTGGAATGGGATTGGAAGAATGCAGATTGGGATATCTTGAGGCAGGAGTAAGAGGTAAAGAAATCGTTGCAGCAGATCTGGTGGCAACAGCACAGAGACTGTTTTATCTTCTTAGCACTGGCGATGGCGATGGTGCCCAAGCACATCTCAGGCTCCTTGCTGCTGGGTGGACGCACGACTGATCCCATCAGTGGGCAGTGGCTGAAGCTTGAAGGAGCTGACTAATGACCAGGGGAGGCCTGTGCTCCAGATGGCGCAGCTGCAAGAACAGCAAAGCATTTGTGGCTGAGCAACTGCGTCTCAGAGGATTGTAGATCAGAGACCTGTTTTGGCCCATGAGACTGCATTCTCTTTAAGGAGAAACCTTAAACATAAAAGTGTTGCCTTTAGGCAGCAAGAATAAGAAATAAGTATTGGGTATGTTAAATCACTGGACTGCCGCGGCTGTTTGCTAGTGCATCCTAAGCAGAGATGAGGTTGGTGGGGCTTCTATTGTGGCAGACACCGAGATACAGAGGTGGTTCACTGCTCAGCTTTACCCTAGCTCATCCTGAAACTGGAAGGGCAGTGCCATTTTAACAAAAACTCAGCATATTCATCATTGGTTCAGGGTCTCGTGGTGCGTGGTGGTAAAACTGTTATCGCTGTCTGGAAAGATGGCAACACGTATTAGCCAAGTGCCTGTAACTGAGGTCAGTGATAACTCGAGAGACAGCTTGTGCAGCAGTTGGACGTACAGCTCTAGGGCAAGAAACCACTCGGTTTTGTAAATACACTACAGGAAAGAGAAAGCATTTTCCAGTTTGCAAGCAGAAGTAAAAGGATATGGAGAAACTCCAGCAATTCTGTGCCTTTCAAATTTGGAAGCACAGGCTGTTTCTGGCCCCCAGATCATGAATATTATATTGAGAAAGATTTCTAGAGACAGACACCTGGTAAAATCTTCCAACTGATTAACTTGTCAAGTGGCAAAGATGAGATTTAAGATGTTGCACCCAATAAATCCTATTAGATAGATGAGAAGAGTCAGATCAACCCATTTATGCCTGAGATTATAATTTTTTGAATTTTTGTGATCAGACCTTGGCAATGACCTTGAGCAGTAGGATATAAATAACTTCCACGTGCTTAGCGTTCCAATAATGGAACGCTAGGCATAAAGGGATCAAGGCTCCCTACAGAAGCCAGACAGCCTCAAGCTGCCTTCTAGTGCAAAAGAGACAGGCGTAAAGGCTGATCCAGTCTGTAGAGCAGACCTGAGGACCTCGAGTGTGGCAGCTGGCATACAGAATCGACTTGAACAAAGGGGATAAGAAGCCTGCAAAGTTTTTAAGTGATTGCATTGCCAAAGACAGCATGAAACAGAATTCGTCATTTCATGAGCATTCAAAATTTTAAATGACATTTGAGCCCCAATTTATTTAAATAGGAAATGGATGAGAAAACTGCATTCTCTTTAAGGAGGGGCCTTAAACTCTTTAAAAAATTTTTTCTTATTTTTTAGACAGAGTCTCGCTCTGTTGTCCAGGCTGGAGTGCAGTGGCACGATCTTGACTCACTGCAACCTGTGCCTCCTAGGCTAAGATTTTTTTGTGTTTTTTTGTAGAGTCAGCATTTCACCATGTTGGGCAGGCTGGTCTCAAACTCCTGGCCTCAAGGGATTCACCCACCTTGGTTTCCCAAAGTGCTGGGATTACAGGCGTAAGCCATTGCACCTGGCCAGGAATATTAAAATCTATAGGGCATTACTTTTATGCAGCAAGAATAAAAAATAAATATTGGGCATGTTAAATCGCTGGACCACTGGGGCTGTTTGCGTCCTAAGCAGGCCTTCTGATACTGACTAGTGCGCAGTGGCACAGTGCTTATCTGAAGTGGGAAAGACTCCACTGAGAAGGTGCTTCCATAAGCGGACTGCAGAGTAGAAGAAATCTTCAGGTGATGCCCAGGCTTTATGCTTGGGGAGGAAGACGCTGTCTTCATGAGGATGTTTGAGATGAGAAGAGCAGAGCTGAGCACTTTGCTGGAGGATGAGAAGAGAGCATATCCAGTGGGGAGCTGAGTGCAGTGACCTGGGAGACATCATGTCCTCAGTGGGGATCTGGAGCCTGCTCGGCGGTATTATTTTTCATCATGATGCCAACGGTATGAACTGAAACTACAGAAATTACAATTTAGCCATGCCACTAGATTTCTTATGGAGGAAGGTAGAATGTGCATCAGGAATTTCTTTCTTTATTGCTCTAAAATTTTATTCTATGAACGTATTACTATTTGCTTACCCATTCTACTGTTGATGGACATTTGACAACATATGCTTGTGGCCACTCAACGAACATTTTCTTATTCCTTTAATTGTCATCTTCTAGAACGTACATGAAAGGATAGATTATTTTCACAGTTCTTGTTTTCCCTATTAGAAGGTCAAGAATGAATTGCTGACAAGTTGCGGTGGTTCAAGCCTGTAATCCCAGCACTTTGGTAGGCTGAGGCGGATGGATCACCTGAGGTCAGGAGCTTGAGACCAACATGGTGAAATTCCATCTCTACTAAAAATACAAAAATTAGTCAGGCATGGTGGCAGGCACCTGTAATCCCAGCTATTTGGGAGGCTGAGGTAGGAGAATCGCTTGAACCTGGGAGGTGGAGGTTGTAGTGAGCCTAGATCATGCCAGTACATTCCAGCCTGGGTGACAGCACAAGACTCTGCCTGGAAAAAAAAAAAAAAGAATAAATTGCTGTGTATTTTCACATGTATTTTCATGAAAAGTATTTGTAAGAGAAGAATTTACAATAGGCAGAAGAAAAAATGGTAAGGAACAGATTTAAGGTGAACATTTATTTAATAAAGACTCACCCCCCCATATTCTCACTTTAGATTGAGTTGTGGAAATTTGCATTATTGGGCAATTCTCATAAGTTTGAAGGTAAACAAATTATGTTTTTTTAAAAAGGTTGAAATTGTCAGAATTTAAAAATGACAATAGATTTTCAGATTTCTAGATGATAACGGAAATTTAAAACAATTTGAGTTCTTCCTCACACTTTAATTAGAAGGTCTTTCATTTCTTAACCTCTTCCAATTATCCTATAATGTATGAATTTATTTTGCTTAAAAATGGAACTGTCTCCCTTTCTATTTCCATCTAGTGGGGAATTCCCCTGCACTGTGCACTGTGCGAGGTGCCAGGTATAATGCAGTGAACCACAAAACAAGAATAAACCCTGGTATTTTGAATTGTCCTTCAACCGCATCACTCCCTGTGCTGTTGCTGTGGCCTCTGAGATACCATCTGTCTCGATATTGCACTAAACAGTGCTCCTTAAAAGCTTAACTGGGTCAATTCGTGCCTCGTGGTTATTTCAAAACACCAACCTTCATGGGTCACCATCAAAGTCAGGAGACTCAGAGGATCCGTCATCAAAGTCAGGAGACTCAAAGGGATCTTGGGTTAAAATGCAAACAAGGCTTTTTGAAAAGACCTGAGGGGAAGTCTATTTTGCCAGCTTCATGGGCAATGGTTCTTTGAATATTAAATCATTGTCATTATCAACTTGCATAATCTGTTTAAAGGTCGCCTATACACGTGGGTTATGGGCACAAGAAAATGGTATAGACATTCGGACCGACCTGGGCTCAGGGCCGGCTGTAGAAGAATGAGCATCCCCACCACGTTGCTGGGACGAGGTGTCTTTGCTCTACTCAGACCGCGAGAGAAGCACAGAGGGAAGAGTGTGTGCTCATGTTAATGCACTTAAATTAATTATTTCAGAAATGGTGGAATTTATTTAAAGTGTTTCTTTTTCATGAGCCATTTAGAAACCAAGAAAATAATGGAAAATTTGTTTTGAATATTTCTCCCCAAAACGTGTGTGTGTGTGCTGTATGAAATTTGCACTTCAGGGATTAAAGAGTAATTTCCTGTGCTCTTGTTGTTTAAAAGTCTGCACAGAAGAGCTCCATGGCCTGAACTTTTCTGGGCAATGTGCAGAGCTGTTTTTAGCTTGGACTACAAATAACAGGTGAATCCAGCAGGATTCCCAGGGGGAGTGCTGATCCTGCGGAGGTATAACTCAGGACTGAAGAGAACACAGAATGCTGTAGGGACAACAGGAAATTGGAGCCCAGTCCAGTCCTAAGTTAGCACATGCGTGGTGCTTTTTGGCACCCTGAAGCAGCTAAAAGCATGGCTCTGAAGTCAGACTTCCTGGATGCCAGTTCCTCACCGCTCCCCAGCTGTGCCGCTGAGACTTAGATTTTCGTTATGTGCAAAACTGGGGTGATAATATTAGATCTGTAGGAGGGCTTCATGCTTTTTATACAGTCCCTAGGACAGTGACGGGCACATAATATTGGCTCAAGATAGGTTAACTATTGTTATTTAAACTGTGCCCAAACCAGAAAAACACAGTGGGGCCAAGTTTTGGTTCTCTAATTGAACACATTAGATATCGCAGATAAACAGGACCCCAGGAAGTGTGGGAGTTTTACTCAGTAATCCTGAGGCTGCAGCAGTCATTCCATCATGGAGAGAGGGTAGGCAGATCTGAAGGTGCCAAGGTAACCTGGTGCTTCTGCAAACCTGAAAAATAGACTTGGCACAGGCTCAAGTCAATCCCCGTATTGCCTTTTCCAATACTTTGCATTCATTTGTCTGTGCAACAGTTTTTTTTTTGTATACCTACTGTGCGCCAAAGCAGTGATGAGCCATGAACACATAAGGTGAACAGGACACCTGGATTTGTGCCCTCACAAGACACAGGTCTGTAAACAAAGAAACAACTCTATCTATCATCTATCTATCTATCTATCTATCTATCATCTATCATCTATTATCTATCATCTATCTATGTATCTATCTAGAAATAGCACTAGTATCTAGAAATAGAAATAGGCACTACAGAACATGAAGTATGAGTACAATTTTACAATGTTGCCTGTATATTATGAAGAACTGATTGAAATTAGATCATGTGTTTTTGTCTATTCTACTTGGGTTCTCAAGTGTGGTTTTTCATGAGACCAAATCTCATGAGATAATTATTTGTGCTTTTTTTTCTTGCGGATTGATTTGAGTTCTCATTAAAAAGTGAGCAAATGAGATGAACAGACATTTCTTGAAAGAAGATATATAAATGGCCAAGAAACATATGAAAAAAATGCCTAATATCACCAATCATCAGAGAAATGAAAATTAAAACCACAGTGGGGGACACCACCTTCCTTTAGCCAGAATGGCCAGTATTAAAGTAAAAAAAAAAAAAAAGATGCTGGCATGAGGTGGTGAAAAGGGAACACGTATACACTGCTGGTGGAAATGTAAATTAGTACAACCTCCATGGAAAACAGTATGGAGATTTCTCAAAGAACTAAAAGTAGATCTAGCATTCAGTCCAGCAATCCCACCACTGGGCATCTACCCAGAGGAAAAGAAGTCACTGTGATGGTTAATACTGAGTGTCAACTTGATTGGACTGAAGGATGCAAAGGATTGTTCCTGGGTGTGTCCATGAGGGTGTTGCCAAAGGAGATTAACATTTGACTCAGTGGACTGGGAGAGGCAGACCCACCCTCAATCTGGGTAGGCACCATCTAATCAGCTGCCAGCACAGTTAGAATAAAACAGGCAGAAGAAGGTGGGAGAAGCCAACTCGCTGAGTCTTCTGGGCCTCATCTTTCTTTCCCTGCTGGGTTCTTCCTGCCCTCCAAATTCTTCAGCTTTTGGACTCTCCGACTTACAGCAGTGGTTTGCCAGGAGCTCTCAGACCTTCAGCCACAGACTGAATACTGCACCATAGGCTTCCCTACTTTTGAGATTTTGGGACCCGGACTGGCTTCCTTGCACCTCAGCTTGCAGAGAGCCTATTGCGGGACTTGTGATCATGTGAGTCAATTCTCCTAATAAACTCCCCTTCATATTTACATCCTACTAGTTCTGTCCCTCTAGAGAACCCTGACTAATACAGTCATGATATCAAAAAGTCACCTGCATGCATTGGTTTATTGCAGCACAATTCACAGTTGCAAAGATTTGGATCAACCTAAGTGCCCATCAACCAGAGTGGATAAAGAAAATGTATTTATACATCGTGGAATATGACTCAGCTGTAAAAAAGAATGAAATCATGTCTTTTGCAGCTACTTGGTTGGTATTGGAGGCCATTATCCTAAGTGAATTAAGTCAGAAATGGAAAACCAAATACAGCATGTTCTCACTGATAAGTGGCAGCTAAGCTATGGGCAAATAAAGGCATATGGAATGGGATAATGGACACTGGAGACTCAGAACAGGGAGGCTGAGAGGGGGTTGGAGATGAAAAATCGCTATTGGGTACAATGTGTACTATTTGGGTGACAGGCACACTAAAAGCCTAGACTTCACTATAAAGTTCCTTCACGTAGCCAAAAACTAATTGTACCCCTAAAGCTACTGGAATTTTAAATAAATAATAAATTAAATGACATAATTCTAAGTGGAGCATTTGGAAAGATTTTTTGATTTCCCGGCCAAAACTTTTGCTATTTCTCATATGTAAATTTCTCTCTTCCAGAGTTAACTGGGAGAAAAGCTTTTGAAAACTTGATGGTGTTATAGGGCTCCTTTGATGCCATGTATAACACTAACATAATCTCACTGATTACATAATGTGAGGAAGGTGGAGTTTTAGGTATATTTCCACAAATGTGAGGAACCATTTTCTGCCACTCCACCTTTGGCATCCTGTTCTGTGACAGTCATCACCCAGGTCTCAGCTTGGTGATGCGGTGAGCTGAGGCCCCAATACCCTCCTGGAACTGGGGAGCAGGGTGTGGAGGAATCGCTGTCACCAGAAACCAGTTTCTTTTGAAATTGCTCCAGCTGTATCCACTCAGCATTGTTTTTGATAACAGAAAGCTTCTATCAAGACCTTTCAATCAAAAGCTGTTTTCCTGAAAAATAAAAGGATTCTCATGTGTGGCTTTGCATTAGAATAGGATGGTGATATTATTCCTATTTTTACAGTAGACGTGCTTCATTGCTGATGTTTGACTCATTTGAAGGAACTAAATAATGACAGAAAGGTGGAGGAGCTTAGCCAAATCAGACTTCAGACATCATACAATCAAAGTGTCTTAGTTTTTAGATGAAGGAAGTAGAGCTTCCCCAGGTTAAGAGAGTTGTCTGGAGCCACAGAGGCTCCCAGGTCATCACCAAAGCTTGGATTGCTCTGTGCATTGTTTCTCCAAAGAAGATTTTGGGTAAAAATCAGCTTAGCAAAGTCTATTAACAGAAGGAAAAATTACTTTCTTCATTAACATAGTGTCCCTCAATTTGTCCACTGTTCCAACATTGGCTTCTCCAATGTAACAAAAAACTTAATAGAATTAGAATGTATATTAAATCCTTTTTAGTCTGACTATTCTTACTTTTTAGATAAATTATTAAGATATTGGTAATTATCTGCAGCATAATATATTGCACCAAATCAGGTAAATTGGATAACTTTGAAAGTAGGATTACTGTTTTAATAGTAAATTCTGACAGAAAATTTTCTAATTTTCCTTATAAAATAATGATTACCTCACAGAATAAGCTGGAGAGTTGAAAGCATTCAAAAAGCTAATTAGACAGGCTTGGTGTCCAAGACCAGGAGGAATCTTTGCTATCTAAAGCATCTAGATTGAGGGAAAACACACCCAGGCTTTCCTTTATTGAAGAGAGACCATATGACATTCTAGAGATGGCTGCATGCAAGCATTTAAAACCTTTGAGAGGATACAGCGCACCAGGGAGACTATTATTATGACTATTGGGAGGATAATACCAAGAGTTTGGAGTATGCTCCTTACCCAAGGTCCCCATAAACCAAACCTCCTAAAATCAAATAGATCAAAGAACGGGCTAGATAAAGAGTTTACTCACTTGTCTAAGCAATTTCTTCATCAATCCTCTACCACTCCATGATCTTCATTTGATGTATTTCCCCATAGACCACAAGTGCCAGCAGCTGCACAGATACTTCTCTGTCCAGCCAATTCTATTATTTAGCATAATTTTCACAAGATAATTTAAAGTCTGTTGTGTAACTGTAGACTTTACAGTAGAATTTCCTATAGAACTTATTATGAGGGCTACATTTCTAATCATTGCTTCTTTTACTTTAAACCATGGAAAAAGGACCTCACAAATGATGCCTTTCTAGAAGAGTGAAGGCCTCCTGGCAATGTTCTCTTTAACCCGTGATGTGGGTTAAGAGCGGTGAACCAATGTTTTGTTTTTGACTGACTATGAAGCAACATGTGTACCATTAAAGTTTCTGACCTACATTAGGCCTTCATCTTTTATCTATCAAAGTATAAGGTTATCCAGGTATAAGGCTGGCTGCAAACTCCTTCACAAATAAAAGTATACCCCATTAGTGTACAGAACAGATGCCTTTTCCACTTCTATTGTTCATAGAGACATAAGCAAGAGAAAGCATTCAAAGATAAGAGTTTCATGATATTGAAGTCAATCTGTGAACTTGGGGAAAGCTGTTCACATCAAGGATGCCATCTTCTTTTTGGTAGAAATTTCCCTGGTTAGTTTTACCTTAAGGGTTCCAATGGGTGTATAGTTCCAAAAGTGTGGAGGGACTCTTCTCAGTTGCAAGACCATGAACCCAAAGCCCAAGGTCCTGAAGTTTTGTTGTAATGTGGATGGCAAGGACAATCTTTCACCGATGTTCTCAGAAGATTCAAACCATAATAAGCTTTTTTACCAGGTGAAAATATACTGTGGCATAGTAATCTACTGTTATAACATCAGCCCTCTTGCATGGGAAAATTTTATACAACCAGAAAACATACACTGAAAATAATAATTGAATGAAATCCCTTTATAAAATGTTTAAATGGCCCACCAGGTGAGCAAATGTACTTGAAGCTTTAATTGCTTTCCCAGGAATATGGGATCAAGCATTGGTTATAAACTATTTTAGTAATTTGTAAGTCACTACACCAATGTATTCAATTTGGATCATTGTATCTTTTCCATGATGAGTCATGGAATGCAGAACTTTTAATAATAAAAGCTTTAAGGACTCAGGAAAGACAAGGTGGCCATCCTGGTTCTCCATGAATCCATGCTTCATTAACATTAGACTTACTTCCTCTTGGATACCAGTTGTTTTTCCAAATTAGGTGCATAGCACTGACAAGAAAATTTGGTTATTTTTGTGATTTACAATAACTTAACATAATAACCATAATTATAATTGACAGCATATACTATTTTAGAAATCCCATACAATTTTGGAACATATATTAGTATTATTCACAAAAAAAATAACCTAAAGAAGACAACATCATTTTGGCAATCCCATGTACCTAAACATATCAAATAATCCTGTTTACCTCTTTTCTGGATGTTTTCAGGGGCCCTCTGATCCGTCCAGAAAGCCAGGTGTTAGGAAAGACAGTTTTGAAACCGAAGTTTGATTTTGGAATTCCAGAGTATCATAAACTATTTATTTTGATAAAATGATGACTCAGAAATGTTAAAGAAGCAAAAACCTTTTATAATCTTTTATAAAAAAACACATTCTACTGTTCTTACACACCTTGCATGTAAAACTGTTTCTAATAGTCTTACTTGCATGTTATAATGGCACATTTTAATGTAAAACCTGGTAAGTTATGTTCTGATAAGGTTTGATTGGGTAAGGAGCATACTCCAAACTCTTGGTATTATCCTCCCAATAGTCATAATAATAGTCTCCCTGGTGCGCTGTATCCTCTCAAAGGTTTTAAATGCTTGCATGCAGCCATCTCTAGAATGTCATATGGTCTCTCTTCAATAAAGGAAAGCCTGGGTGTGTTTTCCCTCAATCTAGATGCTTTAGATAGCAAAGATTCCTCCTGGTCTTGGACACCAAGCCTGTCTAATTAGCTTTTTGAATGCTTTCAACTCTCCAGCTTATTCTGTGAGGTAATCATTATTTTATAAGGAAAATTAGAAAATTTTCTGTCAGAATTTACTATTAAAACAGTAATCCTACTTTCAAAGTTATCCAATTTACCTGATTTGATGCAATATATTATGCTGCAGATAATTACCAATATCTTAATAATTTATCTAAAAAGTAAGAATAGTCAGACTAAAAAGGATTTAATAAACATTCTATTCAGTTTTTTGTTACATTGGAGAAGCCAATATTGGAACAGTGGACAAATTGAGGGACACTATATTAATGAAGAAAAAATGTCCTTCCCCCTGGGGGGCAGGGCAATTATTCCCATTCATTCCTAGGCCTTCAGGCAGCACCAGGGAGTGAGTGACCCCAGCCAATTGCCCTCAATTTCCAAGGAGCTACTAGGAAGCAGCCACTGAAAGACTGAAAAAGAGAGGAAAAAACCCAGGGCCCTTAAGTGAACCGGGCGGTGGTGGTCAGGCGTCTCCACATGGAAACCCCTTAGTTTCACTGGTCATGGCCGGAAACCTGCAGTTGCTTCCATGTTTAGGTGGTGGCCACCAAGGGTCTCTGGTTGGAAAGGAAAAGAGAGAGAAAGATATTCCCCCGTATGGACCAGAAAGAAGAAAGGAGAAGAATAAATCTCAAACTTTGGGCTTACCTCTTCCCCCTGGCTGGCTCACCAAAATATGTTAAAGGTGGACGGTGTCCTGGTTCTTGGCGTCTTCAACAAAGAATTCGACAAAACACACAAACAAAGCAAGGAAGGAATGAAAGGATTTATTGAAAATGAAAGTACCCTCCACAGTGTGGGAGTGGGCCGGAGCACAGAGGCTCAAAGGCCCCATCACAGAATTTTGGGGAGTATAAATACCCTCTAGAGGATTCCGTTGGTGACTTTGGGTGTGCCCTATGTAAATGGAGAGGATGAAGTAAAGCTACAAAGTCCGTTACAACGTACGCACTATAGAGAGAACATTTCCTGGTATAGATGACGTGTGAATCTGCCTTATGTTCCCTGGCTCCAGACCCTATTTTCCTGCCTCAATAGTAGTTATTTCCCATTGTTGTTGGGTGTTGGGGGCAGGCCCACGAAGAAGGCAGAAAAGTCACGGCCCTCACGGATCTTACCTCGCACAGCTTCTACAGACAATACGGCCCTTTACACAGACTAGCAAGTTAAAAAAAGGACATCTCTCTGTGTGTGTATATGCATACACATACTTATTATAAACATATTGATTATACTTAAATATGCATATTTTTGAAACTTTTAATTTCGGGGGTACATGAGCAGGTTCATTACATAGATAAACTCTTGTCATGGGGGTTGGTTGTATAGATTATTTCTTCACCGGCTATCAAGCCTAGGATCCATTAGTTATTTTTCCTGACCTTCTCCCTCCTCCCAGCCTGCACCCTGCAGTAGGCCTAGTGTCTGTTGTTCCTCTCTATGTGTTTATGTGTTCTGATCATTTAGCTCCCACTTACGTGCGAGAACAAGTGGTATTTGGTTTTGTGTTCCTGCATTAGTTTGCTAAGGATAGTGGCCTCCAGCTCCATCCATGTTGCTGAAAAGGACATTATCTCATTTTCAGGTTAATGAAGTTAATAGTTGCATCACATCTGTCTCTTTTTGAAAACAAAAAGCAAATTCAGAAGCATAATTTCATGTCACTGCATGGTAACTTTCATGTATTTGCATATACTTTGTCTCCATCTGAAATAAACAAATAATAACTAGAAAAAGAATATATATATTGACATGCAATCCTGATACTCCAAGCTTCTTCAGCATTTCAATTTAGTGTGCAAATAATAATAAATTAAGGCCCCTGCCTATTGGATCTAGGATGCCCAGTCTATCCTCTCTTCCTCTCCCTCCTTCCTTCTAACTAGATTTCCTTTGCCAAGTAGTCCGGGGAATTTTGCCAGGGTTTTCTTCATGCACCACAGGTCTGCTCTGGTTGCACTGTGTCCTCTCAGCCAGCTGATTGGCATTGGATGCCTTCTTCTGTCTTTGTCCACATCCTGTTTCCCAGGCTGGTCCCTGGGCGTCTGCTCCCCAGCCTGGCTGCTCCCAGGCATGCACTGGCGTCTGCTCAGGGTGGCAGGAGCACAGCCCCCAGATGGTGCCTCTTCATGGGGCTTGACTGGAGACAGGGAGTCCAGGAGACATGAGCTGCACCAGAAGAAGGGCATGCAGACCCAGAGGGTCCCCAAGATCTCCCTCACTCCTGTCTTCTGCCCTGTTGAGAAATTGGCCAACTTCCCCCAATATTTGGAATTGAGGTCTCCTTAGAGAAAACCAAGCCACATTTTCTAAAGGGAAGCTTAATCTGCAGCAATACAACTTCCTGTGCAAGAGCAGTGACCATCTATGCAATTATCTACCACAGTTTAGCACCTATGGTTTAAATCCTTTCTCTTCCTAAATACAGCCTCTATTTCTCTTGTATGCAAAATGAACTATTAAACTATTTTACCTAAATAAAGAAGCTGTCATTAAGAGGTTGAGTTGAGCCTGCACAACTAGAAAAAAAAATTGCTTGGAGATTCACATTGTTCTCTTCCAACTTTTAGCCATTGGCATTTAAAAAACAATATTGTGGTTCAGTCTCGGTGGAGGACTGGATTCTTGAGCAGTGAGTGATTTGACGAGCACAAGAATTGTCTTGTAAGATAAGCGAGGCTGCAGAAAGAGATGAAGACACAAGCCTCATCTTGAACAGCTGGCAAGATGCGAGTGGTTTCTCTGTGATTCTCCTGCCATCTTCTTAATGTAAAATACATTGGTGGAAGAGGACAAGCTAAAAATTACAGAGGATTTCCAGCATCACTGTTGGGGCACAGCTCAACGCAGGTCAACACTGAATTCAGGGCTTTATTCTCAGCTCCCAAGCGTGTTTCTACCACGTGTACTTAATATTTTATTTCATCTCAGTCAGCCATCTGCACATTTGGCTCAGCGGTCTTGCTATCTTTTTAAACAAATAAACTTTTAATTTTTAAGTGTATAGAAAAGTGGCAAATAGAGTAGATAATTCCTATATATGCCTCACCCCCTTTCTCTCACTACTGACATCTTACCTTACTAGCGTACGTCTGTCAAAGGGAAGAAACTGCGATCAGAGTTACCTGTAGCTGAACTCCAGGTGGTATTTGGATTTCACCGGTTTTTCCACTAATGTCTTCTTGCTGCTCCAGGATCCAGTCCTGACCACCATGTTACATGTGGCCATCGTGTCTCCCGGACTCCTCTGGTCTGTGAAAGTTTCTCAGTGTTTCCTTGTTTTTTATGATCTTGACAGTCTCCATTACCTGTGGTGGTAAGTTTTGAGGGTGTACAGCCATGCCTGCCATTTATGGATTGTCTATGGCTGATTTCACACTGCAACAGTGGAGCTGAGTCATGCAGCAGAGTCCAGACGGTGGGCAAAGAGGAAAAAATTCACGATCTCACCCTTTGTGGAAAAAGTTTGCCCATTCTGTTCGAAACTATTGGCCTGTCTTCCTTTGGTAGACTTCAAATTCCTTGAGCACAGGAATCTATCTTTTTATCTCAGTGCCGATTAACCTTCATAAATCTCATTATACGTGCTTAATAAATGTTGACCATTAAATGAGGAAAGACTTCCAATGTGTCTAAAGATAGGAGGTTCCGATAATTGGGTAATTTTTCAGTGAGTTATTTTCTAGAGGGAATTTAATCACATGATACCTAAATCCTATATTCTCTTTTTAACTGGCTGTCTACCTTTTGTCAACTTGTCAAGGAGAGTTTCTGATTTCTATAGTGAGAACTTTTTTCTTGCAGAATTCCTTTCTCAAATACAGATAAGATTTGCTGCACCTTTTAATTCCTTTGAAGACAGATGATTTCCTTGAACAGATTTGAATTTCAAGAAACCAAGAAGTTTGATGGGCTTGGAAAAATATACCTAGGTTTTAAAATATACTTGGGATATTTTCCAAGTTTTAAGAAGAATGTTTGTCTTTTCAATGTGACTTGGGTACCTTGGTTTGCTTAATCACAGGTGTCATTGCCAAGCAAAAGACTAAGCCAGGCCTTACCTGCTTTTGGCAGCATTTCGCGATGCTATGTTTTGGGGGCTTTTCTGACTTTATCTCTAATTCTTAGAATTTTCAGAGATAGAATAAGGGGTCTGTTGGGACATGGACTTGGGACCTAACTCAGTTTCCCAGTTCGCTTTGGGTATCAGACATGTCTAGTATCACATGGATTCCCAAATCCATCCTGCCTGGTGCAGAGGGGGAATATCCAGGTTTGAAAAGCTGTAGCGTTATTTTAGGGCCATCCTTTAAAATCCAGTTTTCATTCCATTAGTTTAATAGAGCAGCTTCTGTTGTAGGGTTTATTTTCTAGGTTGAATTTAATAGGATTTTTTTTCCTTTAGTAATTTGTGTGTCTGTGGTATGGATGGATAGGTCTTTAAGTGATTTCTGTGTTTGAATCCTCATAATAGACAACAGCTGTTGCCATAGGATGACCTTCCTGGGAAGATCTAGATGAGGCTGAGACCAAGGACTCTGTTCCCATCAGAGAGGATTTAGGAAAAGCACTCTCTTTTCAGTGCTTTCAGTGGGTCCTTGCTGGGAACCTAGCTGAAATACTGAGAAGAATGTGGAAGGAAAGCCTCTCTGAGCCCCCAGCTCACCGTGTGGAGCTTCAGTTTACTGGAAAAATAAGGTTATTTCTAAGTTTCTTTCCAGCTTTGACATTGAAGGGCTTTATGGTTCATTTACTGGAATAAAACTAAAATTCTTAGAAGAAAGGTGCCCTAAATATTGCCTTATTGTGTTATTCATTTTTTGACAAATGCACTTTAACATTTAATTTTGATCTAATAACATGTAATCATTATTTGATGGTTCAAGACAAAAAGAAAGGCCTGGTTTCTACCAAGACAGTGAGCTGCAACTGGGCTGTAACTAAATTGCCTTCCCTGTAGCACACCACGTTATTAGTTTTCTTTTTTTAATTTGCCAGCAGCCTCTGTTGAGTATATTTTTATTATTATACCCTCTTTCATTTAAGAACTTCTTCCTCATGCTCGTAAGGCATATACCTACATGATTACATTATGAATAGAAACTAAATTAAAATACAAACTCTGGTCAAACCCTCTTGGGTACGGTAGTTTGCATAATTTTGAAATTCTAATATATTTTACCAGTTCTTTTTGCCATTTTCAGTTTTCACAGTTGCTTTGTGTGAATATGTGGGACACTCCTCAGAGTTATGCATGTTGTAGCATACTAGGTCTATTTTGTGGACAGTAAGATAGTAACCCAGAGATACTCAGTAAAAATCCATTTATGAGTAAAAATCCACTTGTCCCCAGTAGATTTTTAGAGTATTTTAATTTTCTGTGCTTTTTTTTTTTTTTTTTTCTATTTTTGTCACGACTGAAGGTTTTTCCTCTGTGGCTCAGGGTTTTTTTTTGGGGGGAAATGTTGGTTTCTCCTCATTTTGAGGGACCTGGCAGCCTTAGCAGTAAAGGCAAGACCACGTTTTCTATTCATGCAGGTTCGTAACCCTTTAGAAAAGATAAAGAAGTAAAACAAAGGATTAGGATTTACATTTATTCACCTCTCCTATTTCTCCTCCTCCTCCTCCTCCTCTTCCTCCTTCTCTGTTTCAGCAGTGAAATTTTACGAAAAATGTGTTTACTTAAATATATGTTTGTCACTTAATCACCTAAGGAATTTCATTTCTCAGTATGGGATAAAAGAGAAGAGTAGGAATATACGTGTGCTTATGAACGAGATGCAGCAGGCCCTTCTTAAGGGCCTGCGGGTCCCTCTGCACATGGAAATACAGGAAAACCTTGAGTTCTTTCCTGAGAAGTAAATAAGCAATGTTATAAGCAAGAAGGTAATAGTAGCTTAAAACAATTGCCAAGGAAGCTCGAGTCGCGGGAAGCTAAAGATAACATCCTCATATATGTCCCTGAGTTGTTTTGGGGGAGCCTGGCCCCCCACCAAACAGATCTACTGGCACATAGACCTCGGATAAAGGGAAGCTGAGACTGAACTCGGACCACTGCTCTTTGTTCTAAATTTCCTCCTGAGGGGTCTAGAGGAGGTCCCCCTGGTGAGCCAGAGCTAAGGTTCCTTTCTGCTGACCCCAGCTTTTAAACAGATTTTCTCTTCTTTAACCAGTTGCAAATCAGAAAATCTTTGAATCCACCTATGACCTGTAAGCCCCCGCCTCAAGATAATTCACCCTTTTAGACCAAAACCAGTGTGTAACCTTCATATGTTGATTTACTATTTTCCCTGTAATTTCTGCTTTTCTGAATTTTACCTTTGCCTTTAAAAAACCCTTTCCTGCAAGGTATTGGAGGGTCAGAACTTAAGCACTAGCCTCATGGTCCCCCGTGCTCGGCGCCCTGCAAATAAACACCTCCCTTTCTCCACTGCAAGCCTTAGTGTGGACATCTGGTCTAACTGCATGGGAGAGCTGACCCCGGTTTGGTTTGATAACATGAGCAGAGTATTCAATTAAAAAAAATTTAAACTTCCAAAGCATATCAGGATTGGGAATTTCTGGGAAGGTGGCAATGTGGTATCCCTCTTACAAGACGCTTTTTTCTGGCTGGTCCAACTCACCACCCCAAATATAGCTAATATAAAGTAAAATACTAAACTCACTCTTTGGAGCATGTTGCTGCCCATGCACCATGGAACACTGCTGCACAAAGATTCTGGTCAATATGAGATTGATATATGTGCCACCCTGACTTGAGACACTACAAACAGTAGCAACAAACATGGACACTTGTGAATGTGTACAGCCTGGAGGCCAATAAGTGTGCTGATAATTGTCCCGTGACTGTTTTGAAATCCTGATGTGGCTGAGGGCACCTGTTCTTCTGCTGGGATTGCTGGTGCTTGTGATCCTCTCTCAGTGTGGCTGCGTAGTCTATGATTCCCCTAGAGACACATGCTTGTGTTTCCTGCTATTATTTAAGCCTTGGCAGTCCTTGAAGGAGCTATTAATAACCTGTGAAGAAGATTGTACTAAAGGCTGCTTGAAAAGCCTGGCACGGCAGGACGCAATCTTCCACATAAACACTTCACACTTCTGTAGACTGCTGTGAAAGCCATCTCAAAGACAACCTTACAAAAATGTTATTGTCAGCATTTTAGACAGTACATACATTTGTTTATTATGTGTGTAAATATATTTACTATATTAAACATTTTGCGTACTAAATATATTATTAACAAATGTAGTTAATAGATTAAATATATCAATTAACCAATAATAAATATATTTAATATATCAGATAAATTAACCAGTAGTTAATATATTTAATATATTGATTAATGTTTAACACAATAATGTTTATCGTATTAACAATTTATACAATAATTAATAATTTAATACAATAAACATTATTGTATTAAACTACTTATTGTATTAAATTATTAAAAGCATAAACATAATTATTATTTGATATTTAGCAATATTTAGTATACTAAATATATTTAATGTGTGTATATATATCTTTATATATGTATACACACATAAGCATACATGATATACATGTAGGTATATGTATACACACAGATGCATATGTATGGTGTATTCATACACACAGAATTTTCTGGCTCCTGTTCCGTGTTCTGCGGCTTCCTCCTTCTGAGAGATCCACCCCCTCACTTTCTGGTACCTCTGCCAGCCCTGCCCTCCATCCTCTGACCTCTGGAGTCTGAAGGTCAGTCGACTCCTGAGTCCTAGCTGCCCTGCACGTGCACGCGCACACGTGTGCTGGGGAGGAGGAGCTCCTTTTTTCAGGGAGTGACTCACCTCCCACATCTGCCTGTCCCTTATCTCTCTCCAGTGCCTTCCATGGTTGTTTTCTGTATTTCATTCTGAGTTTATCGTTGTTACCTGCAGAAGGGTTAGTCCTGTACAAATGACACAGCCGTTATCAGAAGTGAACAGCTGTGTTTATTCCAAATAAAAGAGTGAGGAAAGACTAGAACATTTATCTGTGCGACGCAAGTCCTTTTAAATGATCAGGCCCAGAGAGGCATTAAAATAAGCTGGTAATCGCGTCCTGCTCCCCCGACTTTGAGCTGTGCGTTCTCCTGAAACTGCTTGCACTGCGAGCAGTTATAAATTAACTGAATAATGCTGCACTGGACACTGGACACTCTAATCCATACTCTGAAGCTTAACAATGTCTAGCCAATCAACAGCTTATGTTATTTTAAGGTAAATTCTTGGTAAACAACTCAGAAACTGCCTCTTCTTTCCCTTTAAAAATCCACTTGTTACTGCTGCTAATGAGAGTGTACGTTCAGGGCACCTTGAATCTGTGCTCCCAGGCTGCAGTACTAAGGTTTGGCTCAAATCAGCTCTCTACTTACGCAATTTGGGCCAAGCCTTAGTACTGCAGCCTGGGAGTGTAGATTCAGCTTTTCCTGTTAGGTCAACAAGAGATCAAACGTTCAGAGATGTAGAGGTACAGATTTGCTGGATCAGACGGACTCGAAGCAACCATGCAGCACTTCCCTCATCGCCAAGGAGCAGGAGAGGCAAGCCCCGTGGTCAGGCCTGGTCCTGATGTGGCAGGAAGGCCGATGGGATCTGCACCCAGGGAGTCAGGGCTCACTCCGCAGGGCTGTCACGGGGAGTCTGGATTTCACTCCGAGTGCACACTCAGGTTGGAGATTTTGAAAGTTTGCTCCAGTTGCTGTGTAGAGGGTAGACCATGGAAGGGCAGAACCCTGTTAGGAAACTTTTATTTTAGGCAAATGATACATGATAGTGGCATGGATTTAGTGGTGTGATCTGGGCGTGAAAAGCGGTTTATTTGGGATGTAACTTGAAGTTAGAGTCAACAGGATTGGCTGTGAGAGGTAGAAGTAAAAGAGAAACACAAGATAACTCTCAGGATTTTTATCTGAGCTACTGAAATGGGACTGATTTATGTAGAATGGAGGCTGGGGAATGAGGAATCAAAGCTATTCTTTGGACATTTTAAAATCGGAAGTGCTTTTTGGACATCCGAATGGAGATTATCAAGTAGAGAGTGGAAATACGTGAACATGGAATTTAGCAGAAAAGTTGGGACTGGAGATACAATTGTGAGTGTCATCAAATCAGGAATAAATTGCATTTAGAATCTTGGGTCATCCAAATTGAGTGTCGACGAATCAGAGGGATGAAGAACGAGCCCAGAGCGCTCCAGTGTTGAGTGGGTTGAAAGAGGAGTGAACAGCTGTGTTGTAGGACATATGCCAGGAGCATGTGACATCGCATAGCCAAGTGAGGAAGGTGTTTCGGGAAGAAAGGTGTGTGCAGTGCCGAGGGGAAGACAAGGACTCAGAGTGACCATTGGCACCCCACAGGCTGTGTCAAATCTAAACTTGATTAAGTGAATATTCTATGCTACAGCATTATTTGCCACAGACCCCTCTGCACTGAGGTCATGGAAATTTTTAAATGTACAAATAATGGCTTAATAAGTCCCTCTCCCAGGAACTGAAGCTTAATAGAGTTGGAGCCACATCTCTCTTGTTCACATTTAGAGCACCTCCTGTAGCGAGTACTCAATAAACACTTGCCAAGGGAGCACGTGCCAGGGCATCGGGGAAGCATGTCACACGGGGTGGTGGTGAACGGCTTAGGAGCTGTGCGAACAGCATGGTGACAGCAAGCTGGCTTGCTGCAATGACATCCGGTGTGTCCTCGGCAGGTTGGATGAAGGTGGGAGGAATGGGCTCTTCAAATGGAAATTCCAAATCTGGAGTTGAAATCGTCTCTGGCAGCAGAGAAGGAGCATCTCTGTTCCAAAATCCTGGGCACTGGAAATATATTTTCCCAATAAATTCTTTCAGAAGTGTTTCCATGTGTTCTCAGCAACACTGCCAACTGCCGAGAGGACTTTCACGATATCACAGACAATGTAAGTGAGTACAAACAAAAAATCATCCACTGAAGAGAAGTGCAGCTAAATTAGAAAATGCAGATTAAAACCTGTTACTGTGCCATACACGCTCACACAGTGCAAGTGCACTAAAAAGATAAAATCCAAGGTTGTGGGGACTATTTTGAAATACTTTGCATGTGGCAATATCCAATAAAAATAGCGCTGCTAGTGCTTCTTGATTTGAAATTCAACTTTGGGGAATGAATCTCAAGGAAATAACTCCCTTTGAAATTGGACAAATATAACTTCAGTGACATTGTGTAAGAGGAAGAACTTGGGAATCTCCCCGAATAACCAAGCAAATGGCATGTTTCAACAACCTATGTCCTGATAATAGAGTGGACTGCCACAGCACCCACAAACAGTCAAACATGTGGCTGTATCCATAACTGAACGTGTGCATTTGAAGTGAAGTGAAAAGCACAACACAGCGTAAAAGAACACATCTACTCTGAATGCCTTTGGGAAGTCTTAGGTACCTAGGAACGGCAGATTTTTTTTCAAAAATGGCTTATTTTAATAAACAAATATTATTTTTATAAAAATAAGTTGTCAGGAAAAATTCTATGTGTTTGGGATTCCATTAATAATGCAAGCAGGTCATGATCTTATGTCTCATTCAAAGTTAAGATCAATTGATGGACAACAGTGATGATCCCAGAAAGAGTTTTGCTATGACCATAGCACTTAGAAGAACTATCTTTTTTTTTTTAATCTCCTGCTCAAAACACTTGGCCATTAAATTTAACAAAATAAAACAAAACAGCACCACAGCCAAAGCACCGTGAGTTTTAAATTGGTGAGAAACGTGGAACAATTCGCATGAAAACCGTCTTCACGGTGCAGAACTAGCAATTAAAGACACAAAGCAGGTGCGATGAATAGTGTATTAGAAATGATGATTACAATGTCAAGTTTTATCTTGAATAACACATACTGAATAGCAGAAAAGTCGTTATGGGAAACTGGAATGTGATAGAGAAAATGTTCCCAAGAAACAGTAGTAGTGTCCACCAGAGGCTCACATCCTACAACAACCTGAGGGCCAGATGCTGGCTATGGGGCTAAGAATGATCTTTACATGTTCATTTGCTGGAAAAAATTAAAAGAAGATTTCGAGACACATGAGAATTCTGGGAAATCCCGATCTCAGTGTCCCTGAGTGAGATGTTACTGGAACACAGCTGCTCCCCTGTGCTTTGGTGCCACAGTGGTGAGTTTGGAGAACCCTGAGGGGGACCGTGTGACCCACAGGACCTAGAGGACTTACTGTTTGGCTCTTTACTGAAAAAGCTGGCTGCCCCCTGGTGCACATCACTCCTTCGAAAACTGAGTGCCAGGTTGTGACTAAAGAAATGTCCAGCCACAAATGTGAGTGAGCATTGCGGCACCTGGGTGCCCACCAGTGATGTAGCAGCTCTGAATACACAGGGTTGATTTAAATCAAAATAGTTCATCTCGTACGAGTGGAATCTGCATTTCCAGCCTTCTCATGAAAGCACTGCAGGCTGTGGTCCACAAGAGGAATCTTTTCACTTCTTTAGTGTGCTTTGAGTGCTTTTCTTACCATACACATGTTAGGCCATTGGTGCAATAAATTGTAGCCTAGGGCACATGAGCTCATAAAGCCCAGTGAGACTTAAAAAAAGTATATATATTGTTTTAGTATACAGATACATCGTGAAATGATTACATAGTCCAGAAAATTAACATACCCATCACCTTCCATAGCCATAGATATGGTAGTTTTGTGTGTGTGATAACAGCACCAAAATCTTCTCTTAGCAATTTTTTGGTACACACTACACTATTATTAAATATAATAATTATAGTTGTTATAATTTTATTATAATTATTAACATATTATGTTATTCTAACTATTATAATTGTATAATGCAATATATTAATTTTAGAATCCTGATGCTGCACATTAGATCTCTGGTCCTATTCATCCTACATAATTGTCACTTTGTACCTTTTAACCTACGTGTCTTCATTTCTTCCCCTTTTCTGCCTTTGGTAAACACTGTTTTCTCTTTCTATATATTTGACTTTTTTAAAGATTCCCCATGTAAGTGAGATCATGCATATTTTTCTGTCTGTGTCTGGCTTATTTCACCTAGCATAATATCTTCTAGGGTTCATCCATGTTGTCACAAATGGCAGAGTCTCTTTTTTATTTATTATGCTTTAAGTTTTAGGGTACATGTGCACAACGTGCAGGTTTGTTACATATGTATACATGTGCCATGTTGGTGTGCTGCACCCAGTAACTCGTCATTTAACATTAGGTATATCTCCTAATGCTATCCCTCCCTCCTCCCCCCACCCCACAACAGGCCCCAGTTTGTGATGTTCCCCTTCCTGTGTCCATGTGTTCTCATTGTTCAATTCCCACCTATGAGTGAGAACATGCAGTGTTTGGTTTTTTGTCCTTGTGATAGTTTGCTGAGAATGATGGTTTCCAGCTTCATCCATGTCCCTACAAAGGACATGAACTCATCATTTTTTTATGGCTGCATAGTATTCCATGGTGTATATGTGCCACATTTTCTTAATCCAGTCTATCATTGTTGGACATTTGGGTTGGTTCCAAGTCTTTGCTATTGTGAATAGTGCTGCAATAAACACACGTGTGCATGTGTCTTTATAGCAGTATGATTTATAATCCCTTGGGTATATACCCAGTAATGGGATGGCTGGGTCAAATGGTATTTCTAGTTCTAGATCCCTGAGGAATTGCCACACTGACTTCCACAATGGTTGAACCAGTTTACAGTCCCACTAACAGTGTAGAAGTGTTGCTATTTCTCCACATCTTCTCCAGCACCTGTTATTTCCTGACTTTTTAATGATCGCCATTCTAACTGGTGTGAGACGGTATCTCATTGTGGTTTTGATTTGCATTTATCTGATGGCCAGTGATGACGAGCATCTTTTCATGTGTCTTTTGGCTGCATAAATGTCTTGTTTTGAGAAGTGTCTGTTCATATCCTTTGCCCGCTTTTTGATGGGGTTGTTTGTTTTTTTCTTGTAAATTTGTTTGAGTTCATTGTAGATTCTGGATATTAGCCCTTTGTCAGATGAGTAGATTGCAAAAATTTTCTCCCATGCTGTAGGTTGCCTGTTCACGCTGATGGTAGTTTCTTTTGCTGTGCAGAAGCTCTTTAGTTTAATTAGATCCCATTTGTCTATTGTGGCTTTTGTTGCCATTGCTTTTGGTGTTTTAGACATGAAGTCCTTGCCCATGCCTATGTCCTGAATGGTATTGCCTAGGTTTTCTTCCAGGGTTTTTATGGTTTTAGGTCTAACATTTAAGTCTTTAATCCATCTTGAATTAATTTTTGTATAAGGTATAAAGAAGGGATCCAGTTTCAGCTTTCTACATATGGCTAGCCAGTTTTCCCAGCACCATTTATTAAATAGGGAATCCTTTCCCCATTTCTTTTTTTTGTCAGGTTTGTCGAAGATCAGATAGTTGTAGATATGTGGCATTATTTCTGAGAGCTGTATTCTGTTTCATTGGTCTATATCTCTGTTTTGGTACTAGTACCATGCTGTTTTGGTTACTGTAGCCTTGTAGTATAGTTTGAAGTCAGGTAGCATGATGCCTCCAGCTTTGTTCTTTTGGCTTAGGATTGACTTGGTGATGCGGGCTCTTTTTTGGTTCCATATGAACTTTAAAGTAGTTTTTTCCAATTCTGTGAAGAAAGTCATTGGTAGCTTGATGGGGATGGCATTGAATCTACAAATTACCTTGGGCAGTATGGCCATTTTCATGATATTGATTCTTCCTACCCATGAGCATGGAATGTTCTTCCATTTGTTTGTATCCTCTTTAATTTCATTGAGCAGTGGTTTGTAGTTCTCCTTAAAGAGGTCCTTCACATCCCTTGTAAGTTGGATTCCTAGGTATTTTATTCTCTTTGAAGCAATTGTGAATGGGAGTTCACTCACGATTTGGCTCTCTGTTTGTCTGTTATTGGTTGATAAGAATGCTTGTGATTTTTGCACATTGATTTTGTATCCTGAGACTTTGCTGAAGTTGCTTATCAGCTTAAGGAGATTTTAGGCTGAGACGATGGGGATTTCTGGATATACAATCATGTTATCTGCAAACAGGGACAATTTGACTTCCTCTTTTCCTAATTGAATACCCTTTATTTCCTTCTCCTGCCTGATTGCCCTGTCCAGAACTTCCAACACTATGTTGAATAGGAGTGGTGAGAGAGGGCATCCCTGTCTTGTGCCAATTTTCAAAGGGAATGCCTCCAGTTTTTGCCCATTCAGTATTATACTGGCTGTGGGTTTGTCATACGTAGCTCTTATTATTTTGAGATACATCCCATCAATACCTAATTTATTGAGAGTTTTTAGCATGAAGGGTTGTTGAATTTTGTCAAAGGCCTTTTCTGCATCTGTTGCGATAATCATGTGGTTTTTGTCGTTGGTTCTGTTTATATGCTGGATTACATTTATTGATTTGTGTATGTTGAAGGCAGGGTCTCTTTTTTTTAAGGCGGAATAATATCCAATTGCATGTATATACCATAGTTTCTTTATCCATTCATCTGTCCAGGGACAAATAGATTGATTTCATATCTTGGCTATCGTGAAAACTGCTGCAGTGAACATGGGGACTGGCAGCCATCTCTATGAGGTGCTGATTTCATGTCCTTTGGGAATATATCAGAAGTGGGATTGTTGGGTTACACAGTGGCTCTATCATTACTTTTTTTGAGGAAGCTACATGCTGTTTTCCATAATAGCTCTACCAATTTTCATTTCCACCAACATGCACAAGAATACCCCTTTCTCGACGTTCTCACCAATATTTGTTATCTCTTGTCTTTTTGGCAGTAGTCATCCTGGCAGGTGGGAGGTGCTATTTCATTGTGCTTTTGATTTGCATTTCCTTGATGGTTAGCGATGTTGAACACCTTTTCATATACTTGTTGACCATTGTTATATCTTGGTTGGAAGAATTAATATTGTTATAATGCCCATGCTACCCAAAGTGATAGACGAGTCAATGCAATTCCTATCGGAATTCCAACATTTCATTTCAGCATTTTTCACAGAAATAGAAAAAAATTCTAAAATTTGTATGCAACCACAAAAGACCCCGAGGATCCAAAAAAATTTTGAGAAAGAAAAAGAAAGATGGTGGGACCACACTTACTAATTTAGAATTAGGTTACAAAGCTATAGTAGTCAGAACAGTGTGGTACTGGCGTTAAAGCAGACAGATGGATAGATAGAACAGAACAAAGAGCTCAGTAATAAACCCATATAATATATATGGTCAAGTAATTTTTGACAATGCCACCAAGAAGACACAATGGGGAGAAGACTGTCTCTTTAATAAGTGGTATTGGGAAAACTAGATATCCACATGCAAAAGAATAAAGCTGGACCTCATCTCACGCCAGACACAAAAGTCAACTCAAAAATGACTTAAAGACTTAAATGTAAGAACTGCAACGATGAAATTTCTTAGGAGGAAACAGAAGGGGAAGTCTCCTTGCTATTGGCATTGGCAATGATTTTTGCATATTATACCAAAAGTTAGGCAACAAAAGCAAAAATAAGCAAGCGGGACTACATCAAACAGGAAAGCATCTAACAATTTTGAAGCTGCCAAAAAATCTTTTTGCATTTTTAGAAGCCCAAATTGCTTGTTTATTGCTGAGTTTGCCAAAGCATGTTTGGCAGAATACTAATGGTATTAGTAATGGTGTCGTCAGATGCTTCATAAAAAACAATTCTAGGATTAAAAACAAATGCAAAACCAAAAATCAAGCAATACCTAAAAGCTTTGAGTATGCCTGAAACCTACAGCCTCTCTTGGAGATATAGAGGATATATGATCAGCCTGTTAAGATTTAGAGACATACTGTAGTAAAGAGACCAAATTAATTCAGTGTCTCAGCTTTTTGACCACAGAAATCTCCTCTCCTCTGCACCACAAACAGGTCTCTGCATGTGGGGAGCCAAACTCTAGAGAAGACATCAGTGAACTGCTGATTTGGAGTGACTGACACTTATTCCTGAGAGTAGGTGATTCTTCAGTATCCAAAGAAATGTATCAAGTTTGTATTAGATGGAATATAGCTTACTTTGTTGCTGAAACATTTTTTAGCACTGACTATACTTGCAAATGTAAGGCATAGTACATGAACATGGCATTAAATTTATGAATAAGAAAATATGCTATTCAAATAGAATTTGTTGTATTTTATGTGCTGAGAATTGTATCATATTATTATGATATTATGAATTATATCTTATTTTCTCCTGTGCTCATTTCTGAAGAAGTAGGGTAAGGTTTTTAATAAAATATATTGATGGCTTTCATGTAATTATAGAAGTAAGGCAATTAGAGATAGGGACACTTCAATAGGAAAATTTAAAACTACCTAGAATCACGTTATTGTTGTTTGGGAGCCTGCTTTTCTAGTTAATCAAAATTTTTGATCACATTCCTAAGTTGTTGATGGATACATGATCCAGTGTCCTTTGTATGCATTTACCATAATGAATACAATCTAGTGTTTCATATCTAGGCTTCTTATTTTTTCTTTTACAAACAAAACTACAGTGAAGTGCCCTAAAACTAAGTCTTTGATCAAATTTTTGCTTTTCACCTCAGGATAAATATTGAGGTGGTGCCTCCATTTATGTGTATTTAAAAATCTTGACAACTTTTTCTTGTTCTCTTTATTTTCATATTTACATCTTTATGTGTTGATATTAATTATAGTAATATCAAAACAACAATGTAACTTTTTGGTGTGTTTAGAAAAGTTTTTAGAATTTCCAATTGTTGAATATTTTTTGGTGTGTGCTTTTTGTTATAAATTTTTAGTTCTGTTGCATGTGGCTAGGAAAACGTAGCCCACATAATTTATCTTTTTGGAATTTGCTGAGATCTTCTGTGTGGCCTGATAGATGGTTTCTAGGAAGGGAGATCAAACATTCTCCACATGTGCAGAATAAATATCTATTACCATGAGCTGCATTTGGCTTGGGGGTTGTAGTTTGCTGACCCTACCCTCAATTTCTGTTTTCATCTTACCTACTTGATTGAGAGATGTGTTAAAGTGTTTTACTACTATTGGGCACATTTATATTTTTGGTCAAAGAGAGAATGAGGCAGTGTGTGTGTGTGTGTGTGTGTGTGTGTGTGTGAGAGAGAGAGAGAGAATCACGACTCATGGTCTTAGTTACATCCTTACTTGTACATGATATGTTTTATCAATAAAACAATGACTTTTTAAGTACTGATTAATACATTGAATCTTGAATTCTATTTTTTCCAATAGTAATATTGCAAACTTCTTTCCTATTGGTTTGCATTTGATTGTTTTAACTTGCCTGTTCTTTAAGTTTTAATTCTCCATGTCTTGTATTTCAGCTTTGCGTTTTGTGGGCATTGGGTAGGTGGACTTGGAGGAATTTCTACAAGCTTGCTTTATTTGTAGTTTTTCTCAATATGAGATTTTTTGAGTTTAAAATGTAATATAATCCATGTCAATTCATAATTGATAGATCATCTTTTCTGTTTGGTTTTGCTTACATCTTATTAACAATTTCTTTGGCTTTTTATCTTAATTTCATTTGCAATATGAATTGTGCTTTCTTTGATTATCTTTTGTCAGTAATTTCACTTATATTCTGTATGTCTCAGACAGAGTAGGGAGCTGCTCTGTGTGTATCTGGCTGACCAGTTACCTAGGGGGAGCTGGTCCTGATGGCCTTACTTGAAAGGTTGGCCGAGTGAACCAGATTTTCCCTTTGATGAACTTGTATTAAGAATTCTCACTAAGAAATATGGAGAACAGTTGAGAATACTAGTTGTCCTCTCCCTTGAGCCCTTGGCAACCGCTAACATAGTCTTTGTCCCTGTAATTTGCCTTTTTGAGAATGTTGTAAATGCAGTCGGAGTCTGCAGATGTTGGAGGCTGGCTTCTCTGCTTAGCTAATGGATGTGAGGCCCATCCCTGTTGCTGCAGTTTATTCCTTCTTATGAGGACTGCTCTGTGGCTTGGATGGTTCGTATCCACATTCGCTATCTATTCCCCAGCTGAGGAACACTTGAATTCTTTCCAGTTTTTGGAAATTATGAAATTATAAATATTCATGTGTCAGCTTTTAAAATTTCACTTTGGTAAATGCCTAGAAATGGTATTGCTAGAGGTTATATTAAGTGAACGTTTGGCATTTAAATTTAAAGGGCCACCCACTGTTTTCATAGAGGCTGTGCCATTTTGCATTTTCGTCGGCAACATTTGGCTGTTCAACATCTACCCCAGCACTTGCTCATGTCAGGGTTTTTTTTCATTGTAAGAGCTGTAGCGTGGTGTCTTGCGGTGTTCATTTACAGTTTCTTTAGGATTAAAGATGTTGGCTTCTTTCTACTCTGTTTTTTGGCCATCCATATATCCTCTTTGGTGAAATGTCGGTTCAAATCTTTTGCCTATTTTTTAATGTTGGGTTATGTTTTTTCATATTGTTGACTCTGAAAGTTTTTTTATATACTCTAGAAACAAGTTTTTTTTTCAGATACTTGATTTGTAAACATTTTTCTTTCCATCTGGCTCTTATCTTTTCATTTTCCTAATTGTGTCTTTAGAAGGACAATTAGCTTTTTCATTTGAAAGTCTAATTTTTCAATCTTTCCTCTATGGATTATGCTTTTAGTATCATATTTAAGAACATTTTACACAACCCTAAAATCACAAAAATCACGAAGATTTTTCTCCTATTTCTAAAGAAGTCTTGTAATCTTGTGTTTTACATATGCTTATTATCTTGTTTATGAACTATTTTAAGTCAATTTTTGTGTAAGTTTTGATACATAGATCAAGATTCTTTTTTTGTTTGTTTGTTTTTACATATGGGTATCCAGTCTTTCCACCACCATTTACTAAATAATTTGCCTGTGGATCTTTGTCAGAAAATCAACTGAGGCGGGGCGCAGTGGCTCACGCCTGTAATCCCAGCACTTTGAGAGGCCAAGGCGGGCGGATCACGAGGTCAGGAGATCGAGACCATCCTGGCTAACACGGTGAAACCCCGTCTCTACTAAAAATACAAAAAATTAGCCGGGTGTGGTGGCGGGTGCCTGTAGTCCCAGCTACTTGGGAGGCTGAGGAAGGAGAATGGCGTGAACCCGGGAGGTGGAGCTTGCAGTGAGCCGAGATCGTGACACCACACTCCAGCCTGGGCGACAGAGCTAGACTCTGTCTCAAAAAAAAAAAAAAAAAAAAAATCAATTGAATGTATTTATGTGGTTCTACCTTTGGACACTCTATTCTGTTCAACTAATCAATGTGTTTATCCTTTTGCCAATACCACACTATAGTTGTTTCTTTGGCTCTATGGGAAGTCTTGAAACTAGCACGAGTCCTTTAACTTTGTTCTTGTTTTTGAGATTGTTTTGACTATTCAAGTCCTCTGACTTTCCATATAAATTTTAGAATAAGCTTATGATCCATGAAAAATCTTACTGCTATTTTGATTGGAATTGCATTAAATCTACAGGTGTATCTGGGGAGAATTGAGGCTTCAATGCTATTGCATCTTCCAAGCCGTCAGCGCAGTATATTGTTCCGTGTATTTAGATCTTCTTTGGTTTATTTTATCAGTAGTTTTTTTTTTTAATTTTCTGCATAGAGGTCCTGCAATTTTTTTGTTATATTTACACCTAAGTATTTCTCTTTTAAGAAATGTTATTGTAAATGGTATTTAGTTTCATTTTTTCTTTGTTCATTGCTATTATGTAAAAATATAATTGTTTTGGTATATTGATTTTTAAAAATTTGCAGCCCTACTAAAGTCATTAATTAGTTCCAGAAGTATTTTTGTAGATTGCATGGGATTTTCTATGAAAAAAATCACCATACTCTCGACATAAAGAGACAGTTGTATGAGTTTCTCTCCAGTCTGTAGGAATTTTATTTCTTCTTTCCTTATTGCTCTAGCTAAGTTTTATGCATGATATTAAACAGGAGTGGGGAGAGCCAACAGCCTTGCATTCTTCTCTTCCTTAGGGGGAAACACTTATTCAGCATTGGGAGTGATTTGAGTGCTAAGTTTTTGTGGATGCCTTGTTCCCATAGAACAGGTTGATTATTTCTAGAATGTCCTTTTATATTAGGATTCTCCAGAGAAACAGAAACAATAGGAGATAAGAGAGACAGACAGAGACAGAGAGATAATGAGAGACAGGAAGAAAGATTCATTATGAAGAATTGGCTCATATAATTATGGAGGTTGAGAAGTCCCCAAATCTGCAAGCTGGAGACTCAGGAAAGCCAATAGTGTAAGTTCCAGTCCAAGTCCAAAGGCCTGAGCATCGGGGAAGCCTGTGATGCCAATCCCTGTCCAAAAGCAGAAGAAAGATGAGAATTCCCGGCTCCAGGAGTCAGGCAAGGAAAAAAGAACCAAATCCATCCTCCTTTGGCCTTTGCTCTATTCAGGCCTTCAATGTATTCCCCCATTTGGTCTTCTATGCAGAGTTCAACAACCCCTGGACCATTCATTCTGGTGGCCAATGGCAACGACAATTTCTTATCAAAGTTGACCCTCTAGGGTACTCTGGGTGTTTCATGCCCCACAGTTACCAAATACAGAGAAAGGTCTCACTGGTCTCTGCACCTCTAAACTCGTTTCAGCATACAGACAGGTAAACCAAGTCATGTTTCTGACACACAGTACACCTCGGATGCCACCAACCTCATCCTAGACAACCCACGAAACCTCAGGACATCCAAGGACCTCTGCCCTGAAGACCTGGGCAGAGTGTGAGTGACCTCCATCTTCGCTTCTGTGCCAACAGAGTGACTGGTTCATGTGTCTTCAATGGGTAAACATGCCCCTGGTCAAATATACTCAACGGACACAATTCCAGTGGTGACACACGTCACAGGCTGCAGCATCCCTCCAGGCCACACACTATGCTCTGACCACGGGAGGCACCTGTGTGGCCACATTACTCTCCCCACCCACTGGCGAGCCCCTCTGAAGCCACCATGCAGGACTCACCAGAAATTCCTTATCCCTTTCAAGGTCTAGACATTCTTGATAGTGACCAAGGCCCTCATTTTATATCAGAACACAAAACACTGGGCTCTTGAACAAGGCATTCGAGGGAGATTTCACCTCCCTCAGCAGCCTCAGGGGAGGGGCCTGGTAGAGCACTTACTTCTACAAATCCTGCTATTTATAAAACAACATATGATCTTCTAAAGCACTGTCCCTCCTGCACAAGGCCATGCTTATGCCGAACTCCTGGTCATTAGGGTCCACGCCTCCTTTTCAAAATGCATTTACTACATCCCAAATGCCTTTCTTTGCCCTTAAAATGACATGACACTATGGGGCCCAGGAGGACTACATCGCACCTCTTCCAGCTACCCGTCCTCCATCTCAGCTCCCAAGCCTGGCCCCACTGGGACAGGGCTGCACAGAAGGTGAACCTTGAGCTGCGACCCCTTCACTATTTATCCAGATGAGAGGCATCTGTGTAAGCCACAAGCTTTACCAAAATTTCCAGCTGCGAAGGTGATTCCATTGGTAAGACTAGGAATGATCTGACTCAGAAAGCAGAAACCACCACGATATGGATCCACACCCACATCTGTGCAATGGCAGAAAGAGGCCAAGGAAAGTCAAACGTGGTTTCAACCAAAAGCACCCTCCCCAGTGGAATGCAGCCGTTCCTGACCACAAAGACCTGGAATGGGAGTGTAACCTGTCCACACTGTGACTATGAAGGTCTAGGTCCCCAGGCCCCTGGGGTGTGGCACCCTATGCAGGCTACCGCTTGGCCTTCTGGCTCTTCATAGCTTGTTTCTGTCTATTCTGGGGAGTAGCCTGGGCCAGGACGTTGCAGTCCACTGCACAGAACCAACCTTGTAATGCAGTACTCACTGGGCTATTTTTATTTTTGCCAACAGTGCTACCCACATTTACTTGTCTCTTCAGCAGTTCGACCATAGTCATCCCCTCATCTCCTCTGCGGATGCCAAACCACTGCTGGCACCAGGTGGAAAACATCTTGCAATGCTTGGAGCAGCCCCTCCCTAATAGCCATTGCAAACCCACTAGGGAGTCACACAGCCCAAGAGGCGGACCAAACACTCACCAGAAGGCTTCCAGCGGTTGCCTCTGCTCAAAACTGGCCATACCAATATGTGGTTAAAACATTTAGAAGATGCTGGGAAAGACCATCCTGGATTATCTGGGGGACCCTGGTGTCCTCACAGGGGCCCTTCTAAGAGGGAGGCAGCAGGGTCAAGGGCAGAGAAGGCGATGAGTGGATGTGAGCAGTGGGAGGAGGTGGAAGGGGGTCGAAGATGCCACGCTACTGGCTTTGAAGACAGAAGAAGGGACCATGAGCCAAAGAGCACATGTGGCATCTGGAACCTGGAAAGGCCAAAGACAGATTCTACCCTGGAGCCTGCACAGGGAACCGGCAGCACAAATCCCTTGGCTTCAGCTCAGTAAAGCTCATTCTGGACTTTTGGCCTTTAGAATTGTAAGAAGAAACAAGAAAGTGTGTTGTCTTAAGCCATCACGTTTGAGGTAATTTGTTACAGCAGCCATGAGAAACTCATACACGTTCCCTTAGGGAGCAGTTTGGGCCACTGGATTCCTAGGAGCTGAAATGCAGTCTGTCCAAGAACTCCAGGCCATGGAGACCTTTCATGGGATTGCCTCGTTGCAACGCAGATCTTCGTGAAATGTAAACAGTATCAAGATACGATTATATCCACTAACCAGGGAATTAACATCACATGTCATCAGTTATTCCCAGTGCCGGGGTGTCAGTTAACCTCCAGTGGTTTCCTTCTGAAGATTCTCTGGAGGCTACGAAAATCAAATTTTGGGGAGGTAAACTTGTCTCCACAATCACAACACTCTTGAAATTGAGAGAAAAGACGAACAGAGTTTTCTGTAAAAGAAACTGGAAAACATCAACTACCCAAGGAGACATTTCTAATCACTCTGGGCTACAGGGATGAATCTTTCTAAGATACCAATGCATCCTGGGAAATCCTCTTCAATTCGAAACATGACTACAAATAGGAAGGACAAGATCCCAATCTCCCCCCGTCCCCTCCCTTTCTCCAACATGACAGCTCAGACAAGAAAGCAGCTGCCTCTCGGTTCCTACCACATGCACCTGCCTGGAGGAGGACTTTTTTCTCCTTCTCTTCACTGGTTTGGAGGTGATTCTTTGTCTGTTCCTACCATGTGCACCTGCCTGGGTGAGGCCTTTTTTCTTCTTCTCTTCATTGGTTTGGAGGTGATTCTTCGTTAAAGAACAAAGTGACCTTGTCAGAGAATTACAGGCAGACTAAATGTTCAACTTAGCAGAAAGTCTGCCTTTGACTTACAGTATAATCGCCAAATGCAGAAGCTTTTTCTGTGGTCAGAAGGCTGAATGCCGAACATCAAGTCTTTCTGCCATCAGAGATGAAGCTTTGAAGAAGCCACGACCTTTCTTTGTGATGCGCGACACTGGGAAGTGAGCAGGGCTATTCAGCACCAATTGAGTGCTTTAAATAAAAAATCCTGCTTTTTTTCCCCTGTACCTGAAGCCTATCAACCAGTGCCTATTAATCAAAGCAATGCTAGCTGCCACACTGATTCTCTGCTTTCTCATTTCTAATGAGGAAACATCCGGGTATTCCAATGACTTTAAACAATATGCAGTCCCTTTGCACAGTGTTGACACAAAGGGTTCTTCATGGTGAGACATGTTGGCTTGAAGGCATGGCTCTTTATTAAGTGAAAGTCCGAGGTTTGACACGAAGAGATGAAACAATGTTAGCTACTCACTTGGATGGTCTATCCGTTGCTGACTAGTGTAATTAAACAAACTAATTGGTAAACATTGTGTAACCATACAAATGCACTAGAAAACAGGAAAATGTATCCACATATAGAAAACAATCCCTAGTGAAAGGCTGAGACAGGAATTTTATTTTTATAAAAGGAGCAGGAGAGCAGGAGGAACTGATGGGTAGCACACTGTGGACAGTATACTTAGAAAGCTACAGACAAGGTATCGTTTATTTTCAAAACAATGCCAAGAACATTAAAAATGCTGTTGTACATAACTTTATTGTATGTTTTCAGTTTCCATTCTTGAGGAAAGGAAAAGATTGGCATTTTTCTTAAATGAGTAATGCATTTAATGAAGTAATTAAGCAGCTCAGACACTCACGGCTTTTGCATGACAAATAAGTGTTCAGAAATGAAAACTGACAGGCAAAATGCCCTCTTTAGGAGGAATGACATGAGTCTGCATTCTTATGGGGAGGGCTGGCAAAAAGTGGGTTTTCAAGTGGAGGTGCCCGAGGTGGCAGGGCGAGTGGGGCAGCCCCACAGGGGTTGAGAGGAAGGAGACAGGTAAAGGGAGGCTGGATCTGGGGGTGGGTGAGAGAAGAGGAGGGAGAAGTGGGTGGAGGAGCCACCCCAGCTGACCTCTGAGCCTGACAGTCAGCAGCACAGACCCCCGGAGGAGGCTGGGCATTGAAGATGGCATCCTCCCATGAGGGAGAGGAGAAAAGTGGTCCCAGACACTGCACCCATGTGCACTAATTTAATCCTCACACAACATACTCAACGGATTAGGTGAAATTTCTTTCTTTTCTCAATGAAACCGAGTCACAGACATCAGCCATGGTGATCAAGGTGACCATGGTCAAGGCTGAGAGCTCGGCTGGAGTGTCTGATTGTGCTCTGCCCACGGGGTGTGTGGGGCCCTGGGTGGAGGGGAGGGGGGATATACCCCATGTGGCACAGCTGGTATCACATGGTTTCCAGAAGCAGGCGGAACCACATGCCACGGGTTCCTGAGACCGTGGGACAGGAGACATATTGGGACAGTCACAGGGAATAACTGGCTCACTGGTGCTTTGGGTCTTGATCGGACCTGCAGTGTGGTGTGCCTGAGTTTCTCACCCAATACTCTACTACCACACCACGTGCACACAACAGTTCCCTTCACAACTGGAGGGACAACAGCCTGGAGCCAAGGGTTTCTGGATTGCAGCTTGAACTTTAAAAAATGCTCAGGGCAGAGCACTCCCCACTCCCACACTCTTGCTGCTGCCCGCACGCCGGGTTGTGAAACTCCCAGGGGTCTCTCTGCCTGGAGTTGTCCCAGCTCCTTCACAAGTGGGGGCAGGGATGTGAGAGAGATTGGGCCAGGTGTCAGCCCACAGGCTGTGCAGGGCTAAGGGCATGCAGGGGTCGAGGGGAGCCAGGGGCTGGAGAACTCTGCACACAGGAGTCCACCCAGGAGTGGGTGGCAGGGAGCTCCAGGCAGGGTGAGGGCTGGCAGCTCCTCTGCCTGGGTGTGGTGGCAGCTGTGACCTGGCTGGAATAGCCCATTTCCCTGCAGCAAGAACCTGAGAAGCAGGTGGGCTGGGCCTGTCTGCCCATCTCATCTGGGGAGATCTGTGGCCACTGGCCACGTGCTCTAGGACACCAGGATCTCTGGGTCTCAAAAGTTCCCTATTAAAATGCTAACAGTGCTCAGCGGGCCCCCAGCTCATCACCGAGCCCTGCAGAGGGATGTGGTTCTCGAGCCTGTGTCTCTCCTGAGGGAGCCTGGATCGCAGCTCCCTGGACCTCCATAGCAGTGAAAATAACAGCTTACGTCACTGACCGCCTCTCAGATACTTCATGCTGATGGGACAGAATTAATTGAATTCCAGAGCTGGAAAGGACTTAAGAAATCACTGATTCCCAATGTCTCCTTATGCATATTGAGAAACCAGGGATCCCCAGGGCAATGGGCTATCTGTGTGTTTTCCCCAAATCCATGCCTGGAAATCCTCCTTTTCAGCATGAGGATGAGCAGGTGGGGCTCTGGGAGGGGGTTAGCTCACCAGGACAGAGCCCTCAAAGATGGGGTGAGTGCCCTTATGAAAAAGACCCCTGAGAGCTGCCTTGCCCATCCCACCATGTGAGGATGTGGCAAGAAGGTGGCCGTGAGCTGGGAAGTGGCCCTCACAGGATACCAAACCTGCGGGGACTTGATCTTGGACCTCCAGCCTCCTGAATCCTAGAAGTGGGTTCTGCTGCCTATAAGCCACCTGGACTATGGTATTTTGTCATAGCGACCCCAGCTGACTGAGACATCCTGTGGGCTTCAGCTATTTCCAGCAGAGGCATCAAATTTGGGCCAGTGACTGTCCTAAGCAGGGCTATGGGCAGACACAGACCATGTCGAGCCTCTCCCTTGCACCTCACTCAGGACTCCAGGGCACTGCCATCCGCCTGCGTTACCTGTCTGTTTGCACCTCACTCAGGACTCCAGGGCACTGCCATCTGCCTGCGTTACCTGTCTGCTGAGGGGATTTTGTTTTGCAATGCACTATGGTGGAAGAAAGATAGGATGTTGTATTTATCTTTTAGATTAGGAGGTGGAGACTCAGATTAAGTGACACAACCATGAAAATAAAAACGAAAACAAGACACGCTGGGCACAGTGTTTTCTGGCTCCTGGTCTGAGGCTCCTTCCATGCCAACTAACTCAGTGTCCTGGGTAAATGTCCGCCACAAGCTAGTCCCTTTGGGGCTTCAGCTCTGCGACCCCTCAGGAAATAACAAGGAGTGTGTTATCTTGAGTTGAGATAGTTAGGGGCTTAGGCAGGGCAGCGCTTCAAGCAGAAAGGCATGGAGAGCAGTGAGAAATTAGGGAGGAAGGCGACATCCCTTCCCCATCCTGCTCTGTGCCCAGCAGGCTCCACACCTGCCCAGGTGAGGTCTTGGTAGCTCCCGGCAGATGAGGGGCCTCCAGCCAGGGTACTTGGTCCCTTGGTCCCACGATGTCTGTAGCACTCACATCAGGTGGGGCCCATGGCCACCTGCCTGGTACGAGCAAGAGGACCACCTTCCTTCAGGTGGGGTCCACGGTCACCTGCCTGGTGTGATCAAGAGGACCACCTTCTGCACTCACAGCATGTGGGGTGAGTTCTTCAAAACCACGTGGTGTGGGGTAAGGAACAGGGCTTATGGGGAAAATGTAATCAGGCCATGGCTCCAGCAGAAGAAGGCTCAGGTCGCCCATCTTGCATCTTCCTTCACGGGCACACACTGAGGGTCCGCATTCCAGGGAGGACCACCCCTCCGTGGGAAAGCGGTCTTGTGGGGGAATCCTCGCGGCCGGTATGGGGTGCCAGCTGCTGAAAGCTGTTTGGGAAGGTCAGGGGCTCTGTCCTTGCAGATGTCGGTCCCTCCTGTTGAGGAAGGGGGCCTCTAGTTGTAGGAATCTTGGGGGTGGCGGTGCTGGCTCCTGCAGGATGGGGAGGCCAGCCCCATCTCAGCTGTTGTGCACCAGCCAATCACCAGCATATAGCTTCCTCTTTAGTTATTTATATTAAATAACTGCACTGCAATGAGAAGAATTTTCCAAAATGGCTCTGGGAGCTTACTCTGGACGCTGAGAAGAGAAGACTCGCAATCGCGGGAGATGCCCCAGGGCCCTGGAGGACAGCCCGGCTTACTAGCGCCATCTGACTGACTGGATTGGCCCTACCTGTCAGAAAAGAGAGGAGCTTCCCCAGAAGACACCCCTGGCAGACTGTTTCCTGGCCTGCTTTTTCAATAGGACGGGAGTGCCTTGCTTTGCGGATGACAGTGGTGGGCCTGGAAGGAGATGAGGCTCCTACAATCCCACTGAGAAACGGAGTCATTTCCTAGCTCCATTGTTCATGCTCAGATTGTTAAGATGGGTACAAACTCCATAAGCCAGAGAGGTCTTTGCTCTGAATTATCCCAGAGCCCTAAAGGGCCACAGCTGGAGGGCTCTGGTAAGGGCCATGGCCATCTTGCTTGGGAAAGGCCATCTGGTGAAAGCAGGGTGAGGGCACCCCTCCCGTGCGGCCTGCAGTGGAGGAGACATCAAAGCCAGCAGCAGCAGCTGAGCGCAGGCTGAATGCAGGCTTCCCACGAGGTGCATACTAACCCTGTGTCTGTACAATTCCAGGGGCAGGTTTTTCATTCCCTGTCACACTGATTCGCCCAAAGCTCCTCCTTGCTGGCAGATTCTAGGGCTGAGATTTAAGGACAGCTGTGCCTGCCCCAGGTCGGTGGCTCTGTGTTCCCCCTCTCCAGGGACACGCAGCGGATGGAACACATCGTCTTGATCTCTGATGCCTTTACTGGAAAATCAGATAAGAAAATCTCATGTAAAATGGTAAACATGTATTGGTCTGGGAGATCATGTCATAAAACATACAAGGAAAGGATTTCATGTTAGTAAAATGTAAGTTTAAAGATCCAACTTTGACCACACATACTGTTTCTAGGGGCAAGGTTTTAAGTGTGGCAGGGGTTGGGTGGCCACCTTCAGGGGCGTCCTTGGCAGTAGGAAGCCTGTGCAGGTGTCCAGGGCTGTTCAAACAGGGGTTGTAGACATGCGTCTGTGAGGACATGGGGTCTGTCGCTGGAATCTGGAGCCAGCAGTTAGGCAGGGACCAGGGAGCACAGCCCATGGCCTTTGTGGGGCCTATACAAGTGAATGTGTGGCCAAGGCATGCAGCCTGGTGCCCAAGGCCCTAGAGTACAGAACTGGCACCAGCGCTGCCAGGGTCCCAGGGTCCCAGGGCTGGGTCAGCAGAAGCAACACCGGTGCTGCGAGGCTCCCAGGGTCGGGCGAGCAGAACCAACACCAGCGCTGCCAGGGTCCCAGGGTCCCAGGCCAGCACAGCAGAACCAACACAAGCTCTGTGAGGGTCCCGGGCTGGGCCAGCAGAACCAGCACCTGCCCTGTGAGGGTTCCAGGTCTGGGCCAGCAGAACCAGCACCAGCTCTGTGAGGGTCCCAGGGCAGGGCCAGCACAGAAGCCAGCCAGCAGTCTCGGGCACTAGGCGGCCATGTCGGGGGCTGTCCCCAGATTCTGCTGATGTGGAGCTGCCCAGCACCCCTCAAGTTCCCTCCCTCCCGGGACCTGGTAGTGGAGTTAGGGTAGATGAGGACAGTTATGTGGTCCCAGGGATGGGGCGGAGCGCAGGGTTTAGGGTCAGGCTCAGAATATGGAACCTTGACTCCTCCACTCAGTGGTACAGCATGGCCCGAAGAGGAGGAGGAGGAGGCTCTGGAAGGGAGCAGCACCCACGTGTTGGGGAGGGGGTGTTGGAGGCGGTGTTGGGAGGGGGTGTTGGGGAAGAGGTGTTGGAGGGGGTGTTGGGAGGGGGTGTTGGGGGGGTGTTGGGGAGGAGGTGTTGGAGAGGGTATTAGGGAGAGGGTGTTGGGGAGGGGGTGTTGGAGGGGGTGTTGGGAGGGGGTGTTGGGGGGGTGTTGGGGAGGGGGTGTTGGGGAGGGGTGTTGGGAAGGGGGTGTTGATATTTGGCCAATAATTCAGTCATATCCAAATCTCATCCTTGGCCAGTCTCCCCCATTCTCCCAGGAAATGTTTAAAAGGGGCAGGGTCTAGCAATGGCATCCCTCTTTTTTACTGTGATTCTGTTGATAGCACAATTCCTTCTCGCCTTAGTGTGCACCTGGGTCATCTGGGATCCTGACTTGCAGACCTGGGTCTGGCAGCTGCGAGGCTGAGTCTGAGGGTGCATTTGTAATGAGATTGGGGTGATGCTGGTGGTGGTGCCACCAGGAGCAGGAACACAGGTCCTTCCTCGGTTGGTGTCATGGCTCATACCTGTGTGTAAGGGGTCTTCTGTGTGAGGCAAGCCACGTCGTTCCCCACCCAGCAGTTCTCACAGTGTGGTGCCTGCGCCAGTGGCATCAGCTTGGAACTTGTTAGAGATGCAAATTTCTGGGCCTTACCCTAGATCTGCTGAAGCAGAAACGTGGGGGACGGGACCCCGCAGCCCAGGTCTAACAAGCCCTCCTGACACTCGGGCGGGTTTGAGAACCATTGTCCACCAGCGGCTGGCAGCCCATGGATGCTGCTTCTAGGCACTGTGGGGCCCACTGACCTCCTGGCCTTGGTCTCTGGAGGAGCTCCCAGCACAGCCCCCAGCTTCCTGAGGAGCACGTGGCCTGGGCTCCTAAAGTGCCTTTCTTATTCCATTTTTCTGCATCTGTGCATACTCCCCACTTCTTTCCATCCCGTCTCTAGCCATCCCCAGGAGGTTTTCCTCCACTTCCTCCACTTCAGGCCCCTTGTCTGTACTGAGAATAAATAAACATAGAGGGAGTGCTGGCCTCCCGCAGAGCTACCGGCCTTTATGAAGGATGAGGCTCTGAGGAGTGATGGAAACTTGCCCCTCGCACTGGCACAAGACCCTGTGGGCCAGGCCCTTCAAGGGGTGCATTGTGGCAAATCCCTACCTCTCTCTGCCCTGCAGAGCAGGTTTGTAGGAGGAGGAAAAGACTCAATCAAGTTTCTGTGTCTGCCTCCACTTTCAGAGGACTCTGTGAGCTCTGCACCCTCTCTTGTCACGTTCTCTTCCTCTGGCCTGGGGTCCTTGGCTGGCTGTGCTGTAAACTTCCTTCCTAAAGCTTAGCCCCTTTGAATGGATTCTAAGCGCATAATCTGATCATATTTATGTCTGTTTTTCCGCTTGGATATTAGCTCTCAGATAATTTTGACTCAAGCTCTGTGAGGCCAGCCTCCCTCCTATCACACCACCTGCCCCCCATTTGAGCTTCCCAGAGACTATCACTGGCTGATTGCCCCAGATGGTGATAAAAGTCTTAATGCCTTAATGTGGTTTCAGTGGCTCCATCATGGTCTGGCTGGAGGAGTAATAAACTCTGGTCTACAAACTTCAGTTCCAAGATATGTACAATAAGACTGTTTTTTTAAAGCCAGCTGAAATGATGCTGACTCCTCGTCTCCTCCCATTTCACCCTCTGGGCAGCAACAGCCACCGGGTTCACTCTCGGGGCTCCTGGTGGCAGGCTTGATGCTGCATGTCCTGTGGTCAGTGTGGTACTGGTCATCTAATCACACCGATACCCACTGAGGGGTGCCAGTGTCCTCAGCCCACATAATCCGCCCGCTGGAGGTGTGGGCTGGTTAACTTCGGACCCGGGGAACTAGAGCCTGGATCTGGCTTTCCTGAGATATTGAATTTGATTCTCTCAAAGCTGTCGTAGATGTGGGACCTTCCAAGAGGCTGCATACAGTTCCCAGTGTTCGTGGGGCCAGTAGACTATTCACACTTCATCCAGGAAGGCTCGCTGCCAGACCCTCTTACATTATTTCCAGATGCAGTTTTTCATTTTTTCTGAAAGTTCTAAAGTTTTAGAAAATAACCTTCCCCAGGCAAGGAAGCACAGAATGTACACATTATTTAGGTTGAGAAAGGGGTAAAATGGAGAAATATGGTAAATTAAGATCTCAGGAAGCTATATTCTTACCTGGCCTATGCTTACTTTTCTGGTCCTTTGTGAAACTGCCTTAAAAACGATATTGCCTCCCTTCAGAAGATGTGAGGGTTAACTTCACATCAGTGTGACTGGGCTGAGGGATGTCCAGGTAGCTGCCCAAATATTTTTCCTGGGCATGTCTGCGAGGTCGTTTCTGGCAGAGATGACCAATCCAACCAGTGGATGGGTAAAAAGATTGCCCTCCCCAGTGTGGGTGGGCACCATCCAGTCCACTGAGGGCCTGAACAGAACAAAGGCAGAGGAGGGGGAATTGACTCTCCCTGAGCTGGGACCTCCTCCTTCTCCTGCCCTTAGACATTGGTGCTTCTGGTTCTCAGACCTTTGGGTTTGGCCTATGATCTGCACCACCAGCTTTCCTGGAACACCAGCTTGCAGATGGCAGATTATATAGGCCGGGGGAAGCATAACTTCTTTTTATTTGTTTTTTCTTGAGACAGGTTCTCATGCTGTCACCCAGGCTGGAGAGTGGTGGTGCAATCTCAGCTCATTGCTGTGTTGACCTCCAGTCTCCATCCATCCTCCCACCTCAGCTTCCCGAGTAGCTGGGGTTACAGGCGCACGCCATCATGCCTGGATAATTTTTGTGTTTTTGTAGAGACAGGGTTTTACTATGTTGCTCAGGCTGGTCTTGAACTCCTGGGCTCAAGTGATCTGCCTGTCTCAGCCTCCCAAAGTGCTGGGATTATAGGTGTGAGTCACTGTGTCTAGCCGATAACTTCTTGAGATGTTAGTTAATCTTGTTTCTCAGTGTCCATAATGGCATGAACCCATTCCTCATGATAAACCTCTTTCTATATGTCCATATAGATCCTTCTGCTTCTCTGGAGAACCCTGACGAATACAGTAGATTATGAGCAAACTGGAACAAGGGACCACACCTAACAAATACATGGGCATTTTCATTTGTGATTTTTCCATTGCTTAGATTGCTTACTTGACAACATACACATACAATTTTGTAAAAAAAAAAAAAAAAGTTTTACAAACAAAATAAAAAGCAAAAAAATAAACTAGGGAGAATTGCCAGAAATTTCACAGACATTGAGTTCATAGACTCTGAGTTCATCAGAGTCTACACACTTGGCAGAGAAGACTCTACATCAGTGATTCATAGGAAATGGAAATGTGTCATAAATAAGCAACAAGGTTTTATTTCAACAATTCTAAAAGAGATACTGGTCAACTACAAATTAGCAAAAATGAGAAGCCCAAATCATATTCAGTGTTGATCTGAGCCCAGACACAACTATTCCTCTCACTGTTAGTGGAAAAATAAACTGGTGCAACTGTTTTTAAAGCTGTTTTACAATATTTGTCAAGATATACAGTGATATTAAGATTCTTCGATTTAATAATTGCAGCTTCAAAAACACATCCAAAGGGTTAGTTCCAGATGCAGACAATAATGTATGCATAAAAAGTGATATTAATTGGCTGGGCATGGCGGCTCAAGCCTGTAATCCCAGCACTTTGGGAGGCCAAGGCAGGTGGATCACGAGGTCAGGAGTTTGAGACCAGCCTGGCCAAGATGGTGAAACCCTGTCTCTTCTGAAAATACAAAAATTAGCTGGGCGTGGTGGCAAGCACCTGTAATCCCAGCTACTCGGGGGCCTGAGGAAGGAGAATTGCTTGAACCCAGGAGGTGGAGGTTGTAGTGAGCTGAGATCATGCCATTGCACTCTAGCCTGGGCAACAGAGGAAGACTCCATCTCAAAACACAAACAAACAAACAAACAAACAAAAAAACAAATTTACACTCCCAACAACAACAACAAAAAGCATTCCTATTTCTCCACATCTTCTCCAGCATCTGTTGTTTCCTGACTTTTTAAAGGATGCCGTTCTAACTGTGTGAGATGCTATCTCATTGTGGCTTTGATTTGCATTTCTTTAATGACAAGTGGTGATGAGCATTTTTTCATGTGTCTGTTGGCTACATAAATGTCTTCTTTTGAGAAGGGGCTGTTCATATCCTTCACCCACTTTTTGACAGGGTTGTTTGTTTCTTTCTTGTAAATTTGTTAAAGCTCTTTGCAGATTCTGGATATTAGCCCTTTGTCAGATGGATAGATTGCACAATTTTTCTCTTATTCTGTAGGTTGCCTGTTCACTCTGACGATAATGACTTCTTTTCCTCTGGGTAGATACCCAGTAGTGGGATTGCTGGATCAAATGGTAGTTCTAGTTTTAGTTCTTTAAGGAATCTCCACACTGTTTTCCATAGTGGTTGTGCTAGTTTACATTCCCACTAACAGTGTAGAAGTGTTCCTTGATCACAGCATCATTGATTTTTTTGATTATGGCCATTCTTGCGGGAGTAAGGTGGTATCACATTGTGGTTTTGATTGGCATTTCCCTGATCATTAGCGATGTTGAGCATTTTTTCATATGTTTGTTGGTCATTTGTATATCTTCTTTTGAGAATTGTCTATTCATGTCCTTAGCCCACTTTTTGATGGGATTGTTTTTCTTGCTGATTTGTTTGAGTTCCTTGTAGATTCTGGATATTAGTCCTTTGTCAGATGTATAGATTGTGAAGATATTTCTCCCACACTGTGGGTTGTCTGTTTACTCTGCTGACTGTTCCCTTTGCTGTGCAAAAGCTCTTTAGTTAAGTCTCAGCTATTTATCTTTGTTTTTATTGCATTTGTTTTTGGGTTCTTGGTCATGAAATCTTTGCCTAAGCCAATGTCAGGAAGGGCTTTTCCAATGTTATCTTCTGGAATTTTTAGAGTTTCAGGTCTTAGATTTAAGTCCTTAATCCATCTTGAGTTGATTTTTGTATGAGGTGACAGATGAGGATCCAGTTTCATTCTCCTATATGTGGCTAGCCAATTAACCCAGCACCATTTGTTGAAAGGATGTCCTTTCCCCACTTTATGTTTTTGTTTGCTTTGTCGAAGATCAGTTGGCTGTAAGTATTTGGGTTTATTTCTGGGTTCTCTATTCTATTACATTGGTCTATGTGCCTATTTTTATAACAGTACCATGCTGTTTTCCTGACTATGACCTTATAGTATGGATTGAAATCAGGTAGTGTAATGCCTCCAGATTTGTTCTTTTTGCTTAGTCTTGCTTTGGCTATATGGGCTCTTTTTTGGTTCCATATGAATTTTAGAATTTTTTTTTCTAATTCTGTGAAGAATGATGGTGGTTTTGTGATGGGGACTTCACTGAATTTGTAGATTGCTTTTGGCAGTATGGTCATTTTCACAATATTGATTCTACCTATCCATGAGCATGGGATGTGTTTCCATTTGTTTGTGTCATCTATGATTTCTTTCAGCAGTGTTTTGTAGTTTTCCTTGTAGAGGTCTTTTGCCTCCTTGGTTCGGTATATTCCGAAGTATTTTATTTATTTATTTATTTTTATTATACTTTAAGTTCTAGGTTACATGTATACAACGTGCAGGTTTGTTACGTAGGTATACATGTGCCTTGTTGGTTTGCTGCACCTGTTAACTCGTCATTTACGTTACGTATTTCTGCTAATGTTATCTGCCCCCAAGCCCCCCACCCCCTGACCAGCCCCAGTGTGTGATGTTCCCTGCCCTGCTGCCCTGTGTCCATGTGTTCTCATTGTTCAACTCCCACCTATGAGTGAGAACATGCGGTGTTTGGTTTTCTGTCCTTGTGATAGTTTGCTTAGAATGATGGTTTCCAGTTTCATCCGTGTCCCTGCAAAGGACATGAACTCATCCTTTTTTATGGCTGCATAGTATTCCGTGGTGTATATGTGCCACATTTTCTTAATTCATTTGGGTTGGTTCCAAGTCTTTGCTATTGTGAATAGTGCTGCAATAAACATACGTGTGCATGTGTCTTTATCGTAGAATGATTTATAATCCTGTGGGTATATGCCCAGTAATGGGATGGCTGGGTCAATTGGTATTTCTAATTCTAGATCCTTGAGGAATCACCACACTGTCTTCCACAATGGTTGAACTAATTTACACTCTCACCAACAGTGTAAAAGCATTATTTCTCCACATCCTCTCCAGCATCTGTTGATTCCTGACTTTTTAATGATCGCCATTCTAATTGGAGTGAGATGGTATCTCACTGTGGTTTTGATTTCCATTTCTCTGATGACCAGTGATGATGAGCATTTTTGCATGGACAAAGACTTCATGACTAAAACACCAAAAGCAATGGCAAAAAAAGCCAAAATAGACAAATGGGATCTAATTAAACTAAAGAGCTTCTGCAGAGCAAAAGAAACTATCATCAGAGTGAACAGGTAACCTGCAGAATGGGAGAAAATTTTTGCATTTGCAATCTATCCATCTGACAAAGGGCTAGTATTCAGAATCTACAAAGAACTTAAACAAATTTACAAGAAAAAAACAAACAACCCCATCAAAAAGTGGACAGGATATGAACAGAAACTTCTGAAAAGAAGACATTTATGTAGCCAACAGACATATTTTATTTTATTTTTATTTTTTGCAGCTGTTGTAAAAGGGATTGAGTTCTTGATTTGATTCTCTGCTTGGTCAATGTTGGTGTATAGAAGAGCTACTAATTTGTGTACATTAATCTTGAATCCAGAAACTTTGCTGAATTCTTTTATCAGTTCTAGGAGCTTGGAGGGGTCTTTAGGGTTTTTTAGATAAACGATTATATCATCAGCAAACAGTGACAGTTGACTTCCTCTTTACCAGTTTGGATGCCCTTTATTTCTTTCTCTTGTCTGATTGCTCTGGCTAGGACTTCCAGTACTATGTTGAAGAGGAGTGGTGAGAGTGGGCATCCTTGTCTTGTTCCAGTTCTCAGAAGGAATGCTTTCAACTTTTCTCCATTAAGTATTATGTTGGCTGTGGGTTTGTCATAGTTGGCTTTCATTACATTGAGGTATATCCCTTGTATGCTGATTTTACTAAGGGTTTCAATCATAAAGGATGCTGGATTTTGTCGAATGCTTTTCCTGCATTTGACACCTTCTGCACAATCATGTGATTTTTGTTTTTAATTCTGTTTATGTGGTATATCACATTTATTGACTTGTGCATGTTAAACTAACCCTGCATCCCTGGCATGAAACCCACTTGATCATGGTAGATAATCTTTTTATACGTTGTTGGATTCAGTTAGCTAGTATTTTATTACAGATTTTAGCATCTATTTTCATCAGGGATATTGGTCTGTGGTTTTCTTTTTTGGTTATGTCCTTTCCTCATTTTGGTATTAGGGTGATGCTGGCTTCATAAAATGAATTTGGGAGGGTTCCCTCTTTCTTCATCTTGTGGAATTGTGTCAAAAGGATTGGTAACAACTCTTCTTTGAATGTCTAGTAGAATTCTGCTGTGAATCCGTCTGGTCCTGGACATTTTTTTGTTGGTAATTTTTTATTGCCATTTCAATCTTACTTCTTGTTATTGGTCTGATCAGGGTATCTAATTCTTCCTGATTTAAGCTAGGAGAGTTGTATCTTTCCAGGAATTCATCCATGTCTTCTAGGTTTTCTAGTTTATGTGCATAAAGGTGTTCATAGTGGTCTTGAATGATCTTTTGTATTTCTGTGGCGTCAGTTGTAATATTTTCTGTTTCATTTCTTAATGAGGCTCTTTGGATTTTCTCTCTTCTTTCTTTGGTTAAAGATTAACCAAGATGCTAACAGTCTATCAATTTTATATATCTTGTCAAAGAAGCAGTTTTTCATTTCATTTATCTTTTGTATTTTTTCTGTTTCAATTTCATTTAGTTCTGCTCTGATCTAGGTTATTTCCTTTCTTCTGCTGGGTTTGGTTTTGGTTTGTTCTTGTTTCTCTAGCTCCTTGAGGTGACCTTAGAATGTCAGCTTGTGCTCTTTCAGTCTTTTTGATGTAGGTGTTTAGGGTTATGAACTTCCCTCTTAGCACTGCCTTTGCTGTTTCCCAGAGGCTTTGATAGGTTGTGTCATTACTGTTGTTCAGTAGGAAGAATTTCTTAATTTCTATGTTGATTTCGTTTTTGACCCAATGATCATTCAGGAACAGGTTTTTTAAATTTCCATGTATTTGCATGGTTTTGAACGTTCCTTTTGGAGTTGATTTCCAGTTTTTTCCACTGTGGTCTGAGAGAGTGCTTAATATAATTTCAGTTTTCTTAAATTTGTTGAGGCTTGTTTTGTGGCCGATCATATGGTCTTTCTTGGAGAAAGTTCCATGCACTGTTGAATAGAATGTGATTTCTTCGGTTGTTGGATGAAATGTTCTTTATATATATATATGTTAAGTCCATTTGTTCCAAAGTATAGTTTAAATCCATTTTTTCTTTGTTGTCTTTCTGTCTAGTGCTGTCAGTGGAGTATTGAAGTCCCCCATTATTATTGTGTTGCTATCTATTTCATTTCTTAGGTATATTAGTGATTGTTTTATAAATTTGGGAGCTCCAGTGTTAGGTACATACATGTTTAGGATTGTGATATTTTCCTGCTGGACAAGGCATTTTACCATTATATAATGTCCCTCTTTGTCTCTTTTAACTGCTGTTGCTTTTAAGTTTGTTTTGTCTGATATAAGAATAGCTACCCCTGCTCACTTTTGGTGTCCATTTGCATGAAATGCCTTTTTCCACCCCTTTACTTCAAGTTTATGTGAGTCCTTATGTGTTAGGTGAGTCTCCTGAAGGCAGCAGCTAGTTGGCTGGTGAGTTCTTATCCATTCTGCAGTTCTCTATCTTTTAAGTGGAACATTTAGGCCATTTACATTCAATGTTAGTATTGAGATGTGAGGTACAATTCCATTCATCATTCTATTTGTTGCTTGTGTACCTTGTTTTTTTTTTTGTTGTTGTTGTTTGCTTTTAAATTGTATTTTTGTTTTATAGGCCCTGTGAGATTTATGCTTTAAAGAGGTCGGATTTGATGTGTTTCCAGGATTTGTTTCAAGATTTAGAACTCCTTTTAGCAGTTCTTATAGTGGTGGCTTGGTAGTGGAGAATTCTCTCAGCATTTGCTTGTCTGAAATAGACTGTATCTTTCCTTTATATATGATACTTCATTTAGCTGGATACAAAATTTTTGGCTGATAATTGTTTTGTTTGAGGAGGCTACAGATAGGGCCCCAATCCCTTCTAGCTTTTAGAGTTTCTGCTGAGAAATCTGCTGTTAATCTGATAGGTTTTCCTTTATAGGTTACTTGGTGCTTTTGCTCACAGCTCTTAAGATTCTTTCCTTTTTCTTAACTTTAGATAACCTGGTGGCAATGTGCCTAGGAAATGATCTTTTTTATGATGAATTTCCCAGGTGTTGTTTGTTCTTCTTGTATTTGGATGTCTAGATCTCTAGCAAGGCTGGGGAAGTTTTCCTCCATTATTCCCCCAAATATGTTTTCCAAACCTTTAGATTTCTCTTCTTCCTCAGGAACACCGAATATCCTTAGGTTTGGTTGTTTAACATAATCTCCAGACTTCTTGGAGGCTTTGTTCATATTTTCTTATTCTTTTATCTTTGTCTTTGTTGGATTGGGTTAATTTGAAGACCTTGTCTCGAGCTCTGAATTTCTTTCTTCTACTTGTTCAATTATATTGCTGAGACTTTCCAGAGCATTTTGCATTTCTATATGTGCGTCTAATGTTTCCTGAAGTTTTGATTGTTTTTTCTTTATGCTATCTATTTCCTTGAACATTTCTCCCTTCACTTCTTGTATCGTTTTTTGGATTTCCTTGTTAAAGAAAAGGCTGTTGTTCAGATTCTTTTGTCCCACAGGGTGTTCCCTTGATATAGTACTGTCCACCTTTTCCTATGGATGTGGCTCCCTGAGAACCAAGCTGTAGCGATTGTTCTCTCTCTTCTGGATCTAGCCACCTAGCAAGTCTACCCAGCTCTGGGCTGGTACTGGGGGTTGTCTGCACAGAGTCCTGTGATGTGGACCATCTGTGGGTCTCTCAGCCATGGATACCAGCATCTGTTCCAGTGGAGGTGGCAGCGGGTTGAGATGGTCTCTGAGGGTTCTTAGCTTTGGTGGTTTAATGCACTATTTTTGTGCTGGTTGGCCTCCTGCCAGAAGGTGGCGTTTTTCAGAAAGCATCAGCTGTGGTAGTGCAGGGAGGATCAGGTGGTGGGTGGGGCCCTAGACCTCCCAAGAGTATATGCCCTTTGTCTTCTGCTACCAGAGTGGGTAGGGAAGGACCATCAGGTGGGGACAGGGCTAGGCGTGTCTGAGCTCAGACTCTCCTTAGGCAGGTCTTGCTGCAGCTGCTGTGGGGGATGGGAATGAGGTTCCCAGGTGAAGGAAGTTGTGTACCTAGGAGGATTATGGCTGCCTTTGATGAGTCATGCAGGTTGTTGGGGAAGTGGAGGAAAGCCGGCAGCCACAGGTCTCACCCCATTCCTGTGTAATCTGAAGGGCCAGTCTCACTCCCACTCTGCCCCCGTAACAGCCCCAAATCTGTTTCCAGGAGGACCGCGTGCAGGGCTGAGACCTTGCCCAGCCTACCTGCCTCTCAACGGGAAAGAAAAAGTCTTAGTTCCTTCCCCGCCTATGGAGTCTGCACAGTAGATTCGCACCCTCCCCCAAGTTCTGGCCGGGAAGCTTCTCACCTGGTTCAAATTGTTAACAGAGTTCAGCTGGAGACTTCCTTCTCGTTGCGTTTTCCCTGTGCCTCTGGCCACCCTCCCAATGGATCCCTGTGGTGCCAGGCAGGAATGGTCTGCTTCGGAACCCAGCGAGCTCCCAGGGCCTTTCCTGCTGCTTCCTCTACCCCCGTATTTCCTTGGCTCTCTAAATTGACTCAGCTCCAGGTAAGGTCAGAAACTTCTCCCACAAACTAGACCATCAGTTTCCCCAGTGGGGGAGTGTGTGCCAGGGTGGAGGAACTCTCTTTCCCACTTCCGCAGTTTGGGCATTCACAGTAGTATTTGGGGTGTCTTTGGGTCTTGCAGGTGCAATCCACTTCCTTCAGAGGGTCTGTGGGTCCTCTCAGGTTTCCTGGTTTGCTCCTCCAGTCGTTCTGGAGCTAAAATTCACCATGCAAGCCTCTGCACACTGCTCTGTCTGTCCGAGTCAGAGCTGCAGTCTAGTCCTTCCTCCCCTCCGCCATGTTGATCCTCCACCTATGCCAAAATATTAACAACAGTTATCTCTAGGTTGTGAGGTTATGAGGACTTTAATCTGTTATTTATACCTATTTTCACATTTCATCAATGAGCATACATAAGGCTTATTTTTAAAAATTACATATATTCTTAAATCATGTAACCCTCACATCCATGCTCTTCTCAGAAGTCATTATTGTTACAATTAGCTTTGTAAACTCATTCTGTTTTTTTCTATGCAATTGACATGAAAAACATTAAAGAAGCAAATATCACTTTTGTTTTTTTTTTATGTGACTGATGTACCATACTCACATCTTGTTGTTTTTTTTTTCCAAATATTTTGGAGCTATTTTCAAGTCATGACATGTTGTTCAACCTATTTTATCTTTTCTCTGTGATGTGAGAAGCTTGATCTCTGTGAACACTCTATATTGATTTGTTCACACAGATAATAAATAAATTAGGTAAGTGTTGCCCGTTTCAGAACATTTTCATGCTTAAAATGAAGGCTATTTATATGAAAGTCTGTTTCTATGATTGCAAAGTGTTACTGTAGCTCAATTATAATTTACAGACCACCTAGCATGTAATGGGCTATGTAAGACAGCTGGTGGGCTCACAGATAAGCAGACATGGTATTAGACACACTACGGGGTTGCAGAACAGGTTCTCCCCTCCAAATCCAAACCTTATACAAAACCAAAACCTTTGGTTTTGTATAAACGTGGCACAGCTGGCCACGTCTTTTCTTCCTAAATGTTTCTCTTGCTTTGGCTTCCATAACATTCTCTTCTCCTGGGTTTTTGCTAATTCTCTGCCTCCTTCCATTGGCCCTTTACTAATTTTCTTTCTTCTACACTATTTTTAAATATTGGGGCTCTTCAAATCTTGACACATTCTTTCTTTTTCTCTGCACTTGTTCACCTGGCAAACTCACCAATCCTATTGCTTTAAATATCAACTATATTTTTAGGGCCCCAAATTATATATTCTTAAACTTTAGACCTATATATCCAACTGCCTATTTGTAACTGCCATGCGAAAGTCTACAGAGCACCTCAAATTTCATGCTCTTTGGTTTTTCTCAGTTTCATTACTTTTTTTATCACACAAGTTGATAGATTCTGATAGTAAGAAGTAGATGATGGCTAACATCTTTCTTTCTACAACCTAGTTACCATGTGGTGTGTTACCAGGGAAGCAAGAATCACACTGAATTCTGCCATGTCTAGAAACATGACCAGAAGCAAGGCATAAAGGGATGAAGGAATAAACGCATAAAGGGATCCAGCCTGCTCTCGACGACGCCCAGGCTTTCTACATGCTTTTAGGCTCTTGATGAAGTCCTTGCATGAAAGGTTTACTTGGGAGAGAGGCAGCAGTATCACCAGCAGGACTAAGTGAACCTGCTTATCAGGACTACGTGCGTGAATTTTCTGTGAGTGGCAGACATAGGCCCGCAAGGAGCTCTAAGCGTCCTGTAGTTGTCAGGTTGTTATACCCTGTTCATGCAACAAGGGAGGGTCTGTGCAGCACGTCTCTCCATTTCGTGTGTCTCAAATGGCTTTCATTTCACTGGTGAAAGATGACTTCTAGCATCTGTTGTGCTAAAACACAAACTCTGGTGCTGACCCTAAGTAAGACAAGTTAGAGTTTGTAGATGTTCCAGTGTGGTTTGTGAAGTGTATATTCTAGGTTGGAATAGTTCAAATATTAACCAACACCCCCAGGATGCACAGATGAAAACTAACCCTTACACTTGTATTGATTGTGCTGTCTCTGCTTAAGTATTTAAAAGTAAATGATGGCGACACCCAAAGCCCAAACTCCTTCCTGCCCCATGATCTGCTTCTCAGTAAAGGCTGCCTTTATCTTCCCCAGAGCTGAACTGGGCATTGTCCTTGATAACGCCTTCTTTTACCTCCACCCTCAGATACCCGTCCCGTCCCACCCTGTTGGTTATCCTCTAAGACATTCCTGCAGTGTGTTCACTTGACTTTATTTTTCCTTTGGCAAGACATCTTGTCCAGACCACAGCAGAGGCTGATTTGCTCTCCCAAATCCCCTCTTTCCTGCTCCATTTTCCTTGCACATGCTACCCCCTCATCCGTAAAGTCATCGAGACTCACTCTTACAGGAATGATTGCAATCCATGCTCTGAAAATGGCCAATGCATTCTCTTTGACTATTTCCAGTGTATACATGATGATGGGTTTGAGGCTATTGTTGTACGATTGTGTATTGATCATGGATCAGATATGTGTAGAGCAACGATTCCCATCCATTCTGTCACTCACACTGTAATGTGTTAGGACTATCTTTTGTAGCACAGAAGTTTTACATTTTTTAAGTTGAGTTTGTTAGGGTTTTTTGCTTTTTTCCCCAGTGCTTTTGTAGTTTGTTTTGCTTCCTTTACATTGAATGTTTTAATCCATCTGTAGTTGATTTTGGGGTGTGATAAGAGAGGCAATTTTATTTCTTTCCTCCCTGGATAGTTAATTATCTCACAGCATGGAGTGTCTTGGCCAAGCAAGGGAACCGAAGGGCTATTGCCTCTTGCATGCTGCCATTAATGGATCTCATCCCCAGTGTTCTCAGTCTCTGTGTCTTTTTATTCCAAATTTTAAATTACTGGGAGAGAAACTCTGATCAAATCAATTTTGATTATGCAACTCTGTTTGGATCAATCATGAGAGCTGGGGTGGCCGCCTAGGGTCTACTCTGCATCTCAGCTGCTCTTGCCAGGGGAAACAGTGGTCCAGGCAGCCACAATTCTTACTGTTGGCTACAAGAGTGAACTAAATTTATGACCACAATTCCAATGCATTAGGCATCACCTCAGGCTGGCCTTTAAGAAAGTGAGGAAATGCTAACCTGAGACATACCCTGAGAGCACTGTATTGCCACGTGTGCACCAGAAAAGCTCCACCAAGGAGCCTAGGTTTCTTGATTGCTTTTTTATTGTAATTATTCAAGACTTCATGACATAAAATAGCATAGAAGAGATATTTGAAGAAAGATTTTCTGCCATATCTACGAACTATCACTATGAACATTTCTGTTAAATTGAAGCTATGAGACTAAAGTTAATTTGAATGCAAAAGTCCTGAAACTAGGGGTGATATGTTTTTTTAAATTATTATTATTATACAAGGAATAAGGAATGTAGTCATGGAAAATAAATTCTACAGGGTCTTGGCTCTTGGCTTGTGTTTCCCCAGTTTAGATTTTTTTTTTTAATGGAGTCTTGCTCTGTTGCCTAGGCTGGAGTGCGGTGGCGTGATCTTGGCTCATTGCAACCTCTGCCTCCCGGGTTCAAGTGATTCTCTGCCTCAGTCTCCCGAGTAGCTGGGATTACAGGTGGCCACCATGTCCAGCTAATTTTTGTATTTTTAGTAGAGATGGGGTTTCACCATCTTGGCCAGGCTGGTCTTGAACTCCTGACCTCATGATCCACCCACCTTAGCCTCCCAAAGTGCTGAGATTACAGGCATGAGCCACTGTGCCCAGCCCCCAGTTGAGTTTTTAACTTGCTGAATGCATTTGAGTAGCCACTTCGCCACTCTAGGATTCTGTAGAACTACTGAAAAAAATTAAGCAGTTGGTCCGAGTGTCAATTTGCTTTAAGGCTGTAACCTTCTATCGATATATGGCTCTCACAACTTTCCCATGAGTGAAAATGAAGAACATTTGTGCCGTTGGATGTTCCCATTCATAGCTCGAGGGTGGGGAGAGAGGAAGATGGAAGTTGGGATTCATCAAGAAGTCGACATCATAGAAGTCAGAATCCAGTGTCCCATCAGAAGATAACTTATCCCTGGAGTAACATAGTCCACATGACTGAGATTTCCATCTCTTTTGGGTACTAGAACTGCTGATTTGAGAGCATTTTGACACTTTTGTTTAACAGGCATTTTATAGATTCAGAGACCTCTTACAATAAAATGTTGGGTGATTCCTGCCATGGTTTGCTTTTCTCTGAGGTTTCAAGAGGAAGATCACTTCTTGTGTTAGTTCAGGGAATACCTTGATAGAATCTTTGACACACTGACTCCTGTCATATGAACCTGGACTTTTCAAGCTTCCTTGAAGTTAACCATGTAAAGCCCAAGAGAAATCTAAGCTGAGTTCTGTGAAGCTCCCCTGTGACTCATGGGCCTCTGCTGGGGAAGGCATCGTTCACTTTTGTGTGACTCTGGTGTTACTAAGTCCCTCACATCTATGGAAGCATCCCAAGTCACTACCCCCCTCCCCCATTATCAGATTGTGGGAGGAAAAGGCAGTGGAGAGGAGAAAAATAGAGCCATGGCTGTGAGATGGGTCGTTTTTAATTTCCTTCTCAGCTCATTCACTGCTGGTGTCTGCAGGAGCTTAGGAGGAGCATGCCTGGGCTTACCTGTGCCTCCTCCTATGAAACTATATACAGAGCAGGCTCCAAACTTGTTTCCCTTGGGGGTGCTGGGGCCCCTCTTTTCTACAGTGGACTGGTTCCAGGACCTTGCAAAGATCAGCAGTTGTTCAAATCCCAGATACAAAATGCCTTAGCACAGCCAGCCTTCATATCTGCAGATTAGAAACTCACAGATATGGAGTGCTGACTGCAATCTCAGTTTAACATCCCTCATGGTAAATGTGATTTTTCTCCTTTGGAAATGAGAAAACCAAGACTCAGAGGTGGCCAGCCCTGCTACATGGCCTGTTCATGACAAAACCAGGCATCAAGTCCATAACAATATAGCAACAAAGATTGTACTTGTTGCATAATTAGGATGTTTCCATTTTGTGAACTTTTGGGGGTAGGCAGAAGTTGTTGTAACTAATACCAGTATAGAAGACATTCTTTTAGTGACCAAATATCAGTTAAGGACGTTTCAATGGATGCTTTTGTTTTGTGAATGACTAGGCCAGATAATTTTAAAAGATTCATTTTATTACTATTAATTTGTTATCAAATTACTGGTAGTTTCAACCAACAAGCATTCGTCATTGGTCTCTGATATGGTTTGGCTGTGTCCCCACCCAAATCTCATCTTTAATTGTAGCTCCCATAATCCCCACGTGTCATGGGAGGGACCAGGTGGGAAGTAATTGAATCATGGGGCCAGGTTTTCCTGTGTTGCTCTTGTGATGGTGACTAAGTTTCATGATATCTGATTGTTTGATAAAGGGGAGTTCCCCTGCACACGCTCTCTTGTCTGCCACCATGTAAGACATGGCTTTGCTCCTCCTTCATCTTCTGCCATGATTGTGATGACTCCCCAGCCATGTGGAACTGTGAGTCAGTTAAACCTCTTTTTCTTTATAAATTACCCAGTCTTGGGTATTTCTTCATAGCAGTATGAAAATTGACTAACACATTCTGACTTTAATTCATGTCAGTAAGTCTCAAGTGAACCCTCAAGAAAACCTAAAAATACCACTACATTCTCTCATTGCTCAAAAACAACTATTTCAGCCTTTCTCTCTTTAACGCTTTACACTTGGATGATGATCTTGTTTCACACCGCACTGAGAAATTGGTTAGAAATGATTAGAAGGAAACTCTCTTTATTTTATCACTTTTGAATCTACCAATCTACCTTAATCTATATTCACTCTCTCTGCTTTCACTTCCTCCTCTTATATAAGGTTAATCTCTTCACTTGTATTATAAATTCTACTTGCTTATTCTTTCAAGCCTATAATTAAGCCCTTCCTCCTTGAAAGTTCATAATCTTCCTTCAACATCTTCTTATCAACACACAAACATGCTCTAGTATTTCCTATACTGAAATATACAAATGACAGAATCTGACCCCCTACACAATTCCCTCTCAACAGGAAGGCTCTATTCTTAGCTCTCCTCACAGTAAAATAATTCTCCAGTTCACTGTAATTAAGAACTTAATTTCAGTTCCCTTTTCTTTCCTGGACTTACTCTATCTGTGCTCTGCTCACATGTCTGTCTGAAATTACTCTCCTCAAGGTTATTGTATTAGCATGTTCTCATACTGCTAATAAAGAAATGCCTAAGACTGGGTAATTTATAAAGAAAAAGAGGTTTAATGGACTTACAGTTCCACATGGCTGGCAAGGCTTCAAAATCATGGTGGAAGATGAAGCCAGAGCAAAGGCACTTCTTACATGGTGGCAGACCAGAGAGTCTGTGCAGGGGAATTCCCCTTTATCAAGCCATTAGATCTCCTGAGACTTATTCACTATCAAGAGAACAGCATGGGACAGACCTGCCCCAATGATTCAATTACTTCCCACCAGGTTCTTCCTATGACACCTGGGAATTATGGGAGCTACCATTCAAGATCAGATTTGGGTGTGAACACAGCCAAACCATATCAGTCATCTATCACGAGCTGGCTGGATCCCATGTCTTGCTCTGTCCTGGTCTTCATTGACCAAATTTCAGCAATCAGTACCACGGACAACTCCTTCCTTTTTGAAGCACTCTCTCCTCTCCATGACATCCTCCCAGATTTGCCTCATTCCACAGTGGCTTTTCCTTTATTCTGTCTTTACTGATTGGGGTGACTTTTCTCCTCTGGTAGAGTTTCCGTGTTGGCATCCCTTAGGTCTCCATTTCTATCTGTAGGCTCTGCTTACCTAAACACATTGTGTAGAATGAATAATCCCAATTTTATATCTTGGTGGCAATTTCCTTCATTGAGCTCTGAACTCAGGTAGACAAGGTCCTGCTCAGTATCACCATTTGAGTGTGTAGCATGTGTTTCAAACTAACATGGTTGAAACCGAACTCTTGGATTCTCTAAATCTTGACCCAAACCTTATGTCTTCTCCTGCTACCCCATTTTAACCTCTTCTTTTTGTTGGACATGAAGTGAGTTCTATTCACTAAAAGAAAATTTCAAAATATCATATGCTTAATATAGAAAACAAGATCCACAAATCTGCAAATAACCATCATCAATGTGTTGGTTTAGATCCTCCCAGGTGCTTTTCTATGTACTTTCACTAAAGAAGTGGTTTCTTATTGGCTATGATTCTTTCAGTTTCAAAACACAGAAGGTTAAGTCAAACTGTTCTAAGTAGAAAATGAATTTACTCCCTCATACAACTGAAAAGGCCAGTGGGTGACACTGCTAATTACAGGGGCTCAAACGAGGTTGGCTCACAACATGACATGGCAATGATGGCCTCTTTCAAGAAGATGGACTGGCTTTAACTGAAAATCTCCCAGCAAAAGAGAATGCTGTTTTCCTGTAAGCACGAGCAGAAACACCAAGGAGGACTCTCGTTGGTCCAGCAGGATTACAAGCTCACTCCTGAGCTGATCATGGTGGCAGGAGGATACCCCATTTGGTAAAGTGCTTTGTCCCAAACCCCATGCCACCCACAGGACTAGGAAAAGAGGGAGAGGGAGTTCCCTTAATGAAATGGTGAGCAGACAAAAAAGTTCATCTCAGCAATCATACCACAATAATATTTCTACACTGTCTCTCATTAAGCAAGATATCAGAAACGTCTTTCTGTGTCAATAAATATATCTTTAGTAACAGCAGTTTCAATGATTGAACTGTGGTCAGATCTGTGGAAGTTTAATAATGTAACCACTCCTTGCTGATAAACATTTAGGTTGTTTCCAGTTTTCTTTAAGACGTTCAATATCACAGGAATATCCTTTTAACGAAATATTTGCCCACACACATTGAATTCACTGTTACCATGCTTAAATATTTTTAAGAAATGGAATCTGAATCAAAAGGCACACATGTTTAATGCTATTGGTAGATTTCATTAACTCACATTTCTAAAAATTATGCAAATGTACACTCCTACCAGCAAGATATGCAATTATGGATTCTTTTCATCATATTCATAACAGCAAGGTTTCCTCATCTTCCAATTATATAAATCACTTGCTTCGTGTTTTTACTTTGAATTCATATGATTGTGAGGAATGATAAATTTTTTATTCCTACTGTCCATGCTATATTTTCCAGCAGTATAGCATAGGCTGCAAGCCAGCTGAAGCTATAATAATAATTGGATAAGGAATGTATATTAGTCTTTTTTCACCCTGCTGATAAAGTCATACCCAAGACAAAAGAAAAAGAGGTTTAATGGACTTACAGTTCCACATGGCTGGAGAGGCCTGACAATCATGGTGGAAAGCAAGGAGGAGCAAGTCATGTCTTACATGGATGGCAGCAGGTAAAGACAGCAAGAGAGCTTGTGCAGGGAAACTCTCCTTTTTAAAACCATCAGATCTCATGAGACTTATTCGCTATCATGAGAACAGCACAGGAAAGACCTGCCCCCATGATTCAATTACCTCCTATTGGGCTCCTCCCACAACACATGGGAATTCAAGATGAGATTTGGGTGGGGTCACATTCAAACCATATTGGAATGATAATTGTCATTTGCCGAGTATTTACAAAGGGACAATCATTGCACCTAACCATCACCATTGTCACCTCATTTCTACATGACCTCCTGTTTAACCACTTCCCCAACTTCACCACGCCCTCATCCTCACACTGCATGGGGTCCCATAGGTATTTTCCTCCTCAATTATGCTTAGTTTGTTCTTAAGCCATTTGCTTTTCTTGACCTTTCTTTTGGAATAATCTGCCCTGAGCATCTGCACAGCCACCACCTTGATATTATCCTAATTTCAATTTCATTATCAGCTTCAAAAGGAAGCCTTATTTCATTGCCTAATCTAAAGCAGGCCCTGCCTCCCCCAACCTAGCCATGTTCCCTCACTTTGTTTCATGGTCTTCTCAGCACTTGTTGCTGTCTGAAATCATCTTGACCATTTGTTTGTGTTATGATTGTCTGTTTCTCCCACTAGAACATAAGTAGGAGCTTGTACCCTTCTACTCCTATATCCCAGCACCTAGAGCCCTTCTTCTTCAGCCCCTGATACATGTTTATCACACAGGTTAGCACACGAATGGATGACCTCAGTTACCTGGCTGGAAAATGCTGGATTCCACCTTGACTCATGTTTTCTTTTCATTAGGCTTATTCATTTGATTTTCCTCTTCTGCATCCTCTTGTTTCATTCCCGTTCTCTATTGCGGCAGCCCAAGTGTAATATCTTATCACTTCTGGACTATTTTAATGCCTTACTCAATGCTCCAACTTTTTCAGTTTCTTTTTCTATTAATTCTTTTTATAGATCAGTATGGAATTAATCTTTCCATAAAGGAGATGAGGAAAAATCTCATTTATAAATAAAAACTAGTTATAGCTGTTTCTATCTCTCCGGTGGAGGAAATTATATCAGTAGGGAAATAAAGTGGTACACGATTCCCTTCAGCAACAACTCACAGCGGTTGACTGGGGCGGGAGAAGGGAAATGGGGCTTCTGGGAGCATCTGTTAACCTTTCTGTTCTGTCAAAGGGCATAGTCTGAAGTCTATTTCTCTCCATTTGGCAGGCAAATGATTAGGTGTTGAATATGCAGAGTCAAGTCGAGAGCCCTGCAGGAGGTGGGAAACAAAATTCTTTGCATCATAAACTGAGGGTAATCAAGTTTATAGAGAAAACCTGAAGGAGAGGGAGCTGATTATAGGAAACAAAGTTTGGAAGCAGGTGGAGCAGACTGTGAAACACAGAAATGGAAGAGGCTTTCGTTGTCACAAATGTTCAGTAAGTCAGCAGCACCCACAAATGCGTTGGATGCTGGGAGCTTTGTAGGCAAGGTACAGGGAGGGATCCTTATTCAGCAGAGGTGCAGCAGAGCAGAATGAGGAAATAATATGTTAGTCAACAAGATGCAATTATTAAGTACACTCAGCTCACACGTGACAAGAAAAATTCCAGCCAACCCCCACTTCTTGATAACTGAATTTCATTTTCCCATGAGGAGTAGCATTGGAGTCCATTTCATTTGGATTTCTGCGAGTTGGATGTCAAGGTTGACATCTGGGACATGTTTTGGAAAGGTGCTTCCCACCTGTAAATCATCTCCTGGGCAATATTTGGTGGCTTCTCTGTCACTAGACGAAGTACAGACTTAGCCCCACACTCAAGAACCTCCACGCTCTGACCCTCACCTGCCTTTGCAAACTAATTTCCAAAACCTGCCCTATGTGAGCCATTGTCTCTACACAGAAATGGCCAAGGCTAGGCCATACATTCTTTTTGGTACTGTGTTTTAAATCCCCTTTGGAATGATGACAAGTTTCAGGCCCATCTCAAGGAAAACATGGTGACAGGCATTTAGTAGATAAAGCTTACCTGTAGAGGAGAAAGCTTAAGGACAACACACATTTCTTTCACTATTTGAAGAATACTGAGTAGGAGCAAAGTGGCAAAATGTTTGTAGCTCCCAAGGGTAACTGAGACCTCTGGGTGAAATGTAAAAGAAAGTCAATTTTGAAGACATGCAGAAAGACCATTTTGACAACAGAATTGGAATAAGCTGACTCAAGAAGCAAGTTTCCTGACTGGAGATGTCCACACGCGTGGGTAGCTCTGGGTAGGGATAGTGCCTCTGAGCACAGCCAGTTGCCATAGCCTCCATGAAAGGTCCTTTCAAACTCTAAGAATATATGTTTACAGAATGGCCCAATTATTCTTGCAGTTTTTCTTGTCAATATTTTAGTTTTCCCTCTCTAAACCTTTATGGATGATCTTGCTTGTACCAATCTTCTGTTTTGTTTTTAGTTACCTTTTCGTGTACCTGTCTGGTATTCTCAATTAGACTGGAAGTGCACTGAGGCCAGGGACTGTATTTTATTCTCTGCATCTTAAGTGCCTGGTAAAGGCCCCGTTCCCACCACCTGGTAACTACCTACTTTAGCCCAACTTCTGGTTTCCTTCAAAGTTGCTTATTCTAAGAACGTCCTTAGATAGGTAGTCCTTTTACATTTATGGAAGAAAGTGATGAAATTAAATAATTGACCTAGGGTATTAACATTGGAAAATCTAGTGAATTTTGCCTTTTCAATAACACTCCAGGAGAAAGTAATGTTTTAATCAAAAAGAACATTGCTATCTAACAGGGGACTCTCAGACCCTGGTATAGGAGCTGGTGGATGATTCCCAGAATCTGTAAAATCTGACGATGGCTGCCCCTTCATCTTATTCAAAGACTAGTGCTATTCTCATTCATAATACTGTCTCCTCACACATTCTACTTTGCAGAAGTCTCTCTTCTATTTGATGGTTATGTAGTTAACATTTCCTTTTGTGGGCTGGTGTTATGTGTTCACAGTTACTGAGACTGAGTTTAAAAAGAGTCTTCTTTTCTCAGGAAATTGGACGAATGTCCATTTCCTGAGCCATTTCTCCTGGGAGATGTTCAGACTGACTAGATTGGAGGTCTTTCAAGTCCTCTGGTTTGACTGTGAGTGGAAGTCCTACCACAGTGGCTCTCTGGTAACTTTCCAGATGTCAGACATCATGTGTTAGCTCTGCTGGAGTCTCTAGATCTTGCCCCAGATCTACTATCTAAAAACCTACACAGGCTTTGCATGTCGCACTTGCCATAAAGTAGTTTTTAGGACTGGAGACTCTCTGGAAAACCGTGGCTTCTTGTGATGTCTTCTCCACAGCAACAGCCCTGCCTGCACTGCATTCTTCTGCTTGTCCCGTTTTGAAGAGCACACGCTCCCCTCTCAGTTGTGGGTGCTGTATTCATTACTGCACTTTGGTTTCCTGTGTCTTACGTGTTTGTGGATGGGCTTTAACAAAGAGCCATGTCTATGACAAACCAAGTGTGTTTATCAGGCTCAGCTAGCTCACACTCCATTCTGACCTCATCTAGTGTTCCTCCCTATCCTGCCAAGCCTGGAGCTAAAAACCACATTTCCCAGATCCCTTGCGAATCAGTTTGAATGAACTATTGCTTGGGAAGCTGGGCAGAAGCCCTCGGGTTGTGTCACGGATGCGGGTGGAGATGGTGCTGTTCCGAGGCCTCAGCACCCTGATGTGACCCTCCTGAGGAGGCTCCTCTGCTCCCCACGGTTAGGTACCACTCTCCTGGGGTGAGGAGCCTTTGCTGCACCAGTGATTCAGAAAGCCACCTCATCCCGGCTGATAAGCCTCTGTTTGCTTAATCTGGCTAGAATGGTTCTTACTGTCAGCAATTGAACCCTAAACTAATACAATTAGAGATTATTAAAATTAATTAACTTTAATGAATAAACCAGTGAACTGTATTTCAGTTTACAAATAAGTTTTCAGCACTTAAGAGTTTTCTCGGAGAAGCCCTTACCCATTTTGTAAATGAAATTTTTATTTCCCCAAACATGTCTGTTTCACAGAACCTCCATTGCACGCTGGAAGCAGGAATGGGCTCTGAGGTTAATGTGTAAGAGGGCACCTCTAACTCCCACACGTTTTTGTTGTTTTCCACCGGAGCTAAGGGCAATAAAAGCTTTGCTCAGAATTGGAGCCTGCTCTGTTCCAGGACAAGAAAAGTCAGAGCCAGAAGGTCTCTTCCTGGGCCCGGCTAGCCGCTGGAGATGAGAAAACGGCATCCTCCGTGTGCAGTCAGCCCCGAGCCTAGGCCCTGCGGGCAGCACAGAGAGGCAGGAAAGAGCGGCCGTCAGAGGCAGGGGATCCAGCCCTGCAGACGGGCCGCCTGCCTCTTCTGACGCCCGTGAGAGGAAGTGAGCCCCGCTCAACAAGAAGGCAGAGAGCCTCCGAACTCCTGCTCTCACACTTTCTCCTCCTTAGGCAGTAGTTTTGCCATTTATTTAAAAGTCATGTTTATGGAGGTATAATTGTTTACAGAGTAGAATTCATCCTTTGGACTGTGCAGGTCAGTGAGATTTGACAAATACTTTCAGCTGTGTAACCACCGCCACAATAGTTTCCTTGTGAATCTTTGGAGCCCATTCTCTCCCCCCGCACCAGCTCATGGTGGCCACTGTTTGCTTTTCCCAGCGTGTCAGACAGATGGGCTCATGCGGTATGCAGCCTCTGTGTCTGTCTTCTTCCATTTAATGACATAACGCTTCTGAGATTGATGCATTTGCAGGAGGCAGCAGCTTATTGCTCAGGCAGTTCCACGATGCGCATGCTCTGTGATTTGTGTCTCCAGCCGCCGGCTGGTGGACACTGGGGCTGTTTCTGCTTTTTTTTTTTTTTTTTTGGAGATTATGAGCAAAGCTACGGTAAACATTTGCCTGCAGGTCGTTTTATTTTTTATTTTTTTCACAGATCTTTTTATTTCTATTGGAAGAATGCCTATGGTAGATTGCCAAGTGAACACGGTGGGTGTCTGTTGAATTTTGAAGAAACTTTCAAACTGTTTTCCAAAGTGTTTGTGTGATTTTTCACTCTCCACTGCAGTGCATGAAGATTTCAGCTGCTCTGCATTCTTGCTGGCTTTTGCTATCAGCAGGTTTCTGGGTTTTAACCTTTTAAATTTAAAAAAGCCACTTTAGTAGCTGCGTATTGATTTTCATTTTCCTAACAGCCGGTGATGAAGAGCCGCTTTCTCTGCATGCTCATTTGCTGCCTGTGTCTCCTCGTTGGTGAAATGTCTACTGAAATATGTGGCCTCCCCCTTTTTTTTTTTTTTTTTTTTTTGATGCAGAGTCTCCCTCTGTTGCCCAGGCTGGACTGCAATGGCGTGATCTCAGCTCACTGCAACCTCTGCCTCCTGGGTTCAAGCGATTCTCCTGCCTCAGCCTCCTGAGATTACAGGCATGCACCACCATGCCCAGCTAATTTTTGTATTTTTCGTAGAGACGGGGTTTCACCCATGTTGGTCAGGCTGGTCTTGAACTCCTGACCCAGTGATCCACCCGCCTCGACCTCCCAAAGTGCTGGGATTACAGGCGTGAGCCACCACGCTGGGCCATGTTGCCCTGAGTTGTAAGAATTCTTTACATATTTATACGTCTTCTGGATAAGCCCTTTATCAGATATTTGTTTGCAAATGTTTTCTCACAGTCTTCTGACTTCTCATTTTATTAATAGTGTATTCATTTATTAATTGAGTACTTTCTATAGTTCCACATTTTTTTTCCAGTATTGGCTTACTATTAAGCCTTTTTAAAAGTTTTAAAATAGTTACTTTAGGGTTAAAGTATACATCTGTGCCAGTAAAAGTAAAGGCTTCTCATATTCTCATCATATCCTGTCTTCAAAGGATATTATACCACTTCATTTATAGTACATGCTCTTTGTGTGATTCTTATACATTTGACTTCTACATATTGTTATATTCATTTTCATAGAAAATTACTGCTGCAACACCTTACCACAGAAATTATGCAAATTTATTATCTTACAGTTCTGGAGGCCAGAATGTCTGCAAAAGTCTCCCTGAGCTGGAGTCTAGATGTTAGTGAGTTGTGCCCCTTTCTGGAGGCTCCAGGGAAGAAGGTTTCCCTGTCTTCTCCAGCTTCCGGAGGCCATTGCATTCATGGCTACAGCCCCTTCGTCCACCTCCAGGACCAGCCAGGCCTCTGTTGCTGCCTGTTCTCCCATAGTCCCACCTCCCTGACCACAGCCAGGAGACAGTCTCTGTTTTTAAGGCACTTGTGGTTAGATTGAGACTCCCGCAGATAAGCCAGGAAAACCTTCCCACCACAAAGTCCTTAATTTAATCCCATCTGCCAAGTCCCCCTGCCATGGAAGATGATATAATTGAAGGTTTCAGGGTTTAGGATGTGGACATCTTTGGGGTCTATTATTCTGCCTAACACAATATGTGAGAGACTGAATAGTGTACTGTTACTGTTTCAGTGTTTGACCTCAGTTATACGTTTAAAGTGAATAAAAATTAAAACGTGTTTTAGATTTACCTGTATTTTACCATTTCCAGAGCTTCATTTCTTTGTGTAATCCAAATGACCGTTTGGCATCACACTCCTGCCTGAAGAATTTTAGCATTTCATGTACAGCAGAACTGCTGGTAATACATTTTCTCAGCTTGTTTTTTGGTCTGGAAAATCTTTATTTTACCTTTTCTGGGGAAGATATTTTCTCTGAGTATGAAATTCTCTCTGACAATCATTTTCTCTTTCATTATTTTAAAGATGTCCCTCTATTACCTTCTGGCTTGTGTAACTTCTGAGGAGAAGTGTGCTGAGATTCTCTTTGGTGTTCCTCTGTAAGCAATGTGTAATGCTTCTTTCTCCTGGTTGCTTTCAAGATTTTCTCTTTATTTTTTCCCCTAGACATTTGAGGATATTTTTGGTTGTCTGTTGTTTATCCTTCTCAAGCTATCCTGAGCTTCTGGGATCTGTGATCTTCTTCTTTCTTTAATTTTGGAACACATTTCTTCTCTCCTGTTTATTCCTGTCTTTCTTCCTCGGGTACCAATTACACGTATGTTAGACCAAGTGTAGTATCCCAGTGGTTTCTTCTTCCTTATCCCCTGTCTTTTTCTCACTTTTGTTTTTCTTTGTGTTTTAGTTCATGTGACTTCTCTCAACCTAGCTTTAAGCTCACTGATTCTTTCCTCAGCTGTCTTCAGTGGGAAGACACAGGATACCATTTTTTCTCCTGTATCCACAAGGTAGTTTCTCTGCCCTTGGGAGAAAGGGCAGGGGCAGTAAAAAAAAAATCCTGATTTTATGGCCAGATGCCCAGGCTTGCCCAGTGCCAAGGCTGGACCAGCAGAACCAGAGGCCTCCTGCTCCAGCCTTTGCTTGACTGATTCTAGCACTGAGAAATCAGCAATGACTGAGCACCCGGCAGGGAGCCAGAGTGGAGGAAGACCCAGTCCATGCTGCAGGCATCTCGGGCCTGCAGAGAGAAAAGGGAGGCAGGGACACAAACCCTTCTGAACCCAAACCCTTTTGAATCCTTGCCCTGCTCTGAGCCCAATGTAACCATAGTCCCCTGGCTTTCCACGTCTTAAGCAGAAGCAAGCCTCTAGACCATAACATGCTATTTAAATAAATTGTGAGTGCCAAGACTAGCAATGCACAAAGAACTGTATGTCAAGATTCCGAAATCAGTGTATGCATGCAGAGATTTTATGATACTTAAAGGCTTTAGATCCTAGGCCATTGACACTCCAGTTCCCAGTAAGTTGTTGTTTCTTCTTCTTCTTTTTTTTTTTAACTTGGAGCTCAAAATTCCCTTCTCATTATCTTTTCTTTTCTGAGATTCCCAAATGAGCAAAAAATTTTTAAAAATGTCATGGACTTTAACATATGAAAGGTCAGTAAAATGTATTTATTAGATGAATGTCACAGACATAATAATTTTCTCTTTTTCCTTTAATGAAAATGTCAACTCACTTTGTGGTTATTTGGGAAGTAAATAATAGATTACTTCTCAAAAATGTTATGATACAATTGTTTAAAGGAAAACAGCCACATAGGTTCAATAAATTTGGCATAAAGAGGTAAAATGACTATTATCCTAAATTTCCTTCCTCAAAAGAAAATTTTACCTTAATGGGATAAAAAACAAGAAAGCCTTACTATCAGAATAAAGCAGGTGGCTTAATTAATAATCTGGAGACCTTAATGATATTCTCCTTTTCCCCAAGGGCTTTCTGAAACTAGAATTGTGTTTGAACTATGTGTGTGTCCTTGTCATTCAATACTAAGATTATTTTATCACACTTCTATGTGCAGGTTTTCTGAGCTGCATTACTTTTCTAATTACAATAATTATCTGCACATAATTTAGGCCAAATTTGAAGCACTTTTCAACTTATGATTTCTAGATAATTGCTGGCAGTGCATGATCCATGAATGAGTTGGGTTCTAACAGTCCCAGAGTGAGTTGTGTAGTTTTGACTGTGTCCTAGAAAAAAAATACTATATGATGGTTCTGTCTCTAGGCCTTCCAACAACATCCTTTTTTTTTTTTTTGAATTATACTTTAAGTTCTGGGATACATGTGCAGAATGTGCAGGTTTGTTACATAGGTATACACGTGCCATGCTGGTTTGCTCACCCATCAACCCATCATCTACATTAGGCATTTGTCCTAATGCTATCCCTCCCCTAGTCCCCCACTCCCTGACAGGCCCTAGTATGTGATGTTCCTCTCCCTGTGTCCATGTGTTCTCATTGTTCAGCTCCCATTTATGAATGAGAACATGTGTGTTTGGTTTTCTGTTCCTGCCAACAGCATCCTTTTTACCCCATCGTGTACCTGAGGTATAGCGTGGTGGTGAAATTGTACTCCAGAATGGAATCATTCCTATAATATAATAATGTTAAAAGTGCATTTGGACATTTGTTAATCAGATTTTCAGAACAGAGCTTCTTAGGGAGATGGTTGGACCACCATAGTCCTGCATCTTCAGGGAGCTGCTCACCATCCCCACTACTGCAGGCACCACTGATCCCTGAGTGAGACCCAGGCACTAACAAGACATGAAGAAGGTGCTGGGTTCCTGGCCGGTCCTTTTGACCCATAAGTGTGGTTCGGTTCTTGGCACTGATGGGCTGGTCGGATGGTGGTGAGGTCAAGCACTCCTTCAGTGCCTGAGGCGTGGCGAGTGGACTTTGGGACCTCTTCCTGAGATGATGATTGCTTCTCAAGGGTGGGAATGAGTTCTTCCAGGGGTCAGCGGTGTGTCATAGGCAAGCACAGCACATTACTAGAAAGCATACGTTTTATTAAGTAGAAGGTATCTTTAATTCCCTGAATAGTAAGACATCTTTGGATTGATGGAAAGGTTGCCCTGGGAAAGGTGGAATATTTGTTGTCATGACCTAAAGCAGCATGCCTAACACCATGTTTGCCAGAGCTCATGCCCACACTGCCATCTCGGGGTTTTCTAAGGGAGAGGAAGCAAGAGGAGGCCCTCGAATTTCTAACCGATTGCTGCAGTCAAAAAATTGCTAAGAAGGACTCAGTGGAAAAGGGAAAACTCAAAAGTGAAGTATGCTGTGCAGAAGCCAGAGCTCCACTGGCTCCCAGGATTACAGTAACAGTCAGGCTCCTGATGTCTGGGCCCAATAATGCCATGCGCAGCATCCACATCAGCTGTCCTGAGAACCAGCAAGGCGTCCAAGGCTTAGTGTGTGTTAGAGGCCAATACTGTCCCTGCTGTTCATTCTCAGGCTAAACCCACGATCTTAGTAAGCACAGATGCAGAGACACAGTTTGTGGTATTGCCGTCATTTTCTTGGGAATGTATCAACAGAGTATACAAGGGTAACAGTTCTTTCTATAAAAAAAATCAACATTTATTTTTATTCATTAATTTACCATGAAAATGATTTTTTCCCAGTAGAGAAGTCAGTCTGGGAAAACCAGATAAAAACTAGAAATGATCTTGTTCGCTATGATGGAGGCGGCGCAGGAGGCCCGGGAGCTGGATCACTTGACTTTGTTTTCTCTCCTCCTCTGCTTGCAGAACATCTCTGCTACAGTGGAGGACCCACACTCATAGTTCAGCTCCCCACCTCACACCCCAGCCAAGCCCAGGACCCACACTCATGGCCCCGCTCCCCACCTCACACCCCAGCCAAGCCCAGGACCCACACTCATGGCCCCGCTCCCCACCTCACACCCCAGCCAAGCCCAGGACCCACACTCATGGCCCTGCTCCCCACCTCATACCCCAACCAAGTCTAGGACCCACGCTCATGGCCCCGCTCCCCACCTCACACCCCAGCCAAGCCCAGGACCCACACTCATGGCCCTGCTCCCCACCTCACACCCCGACCAAGTCCAGGACCCACGCTCAGGACCCCTCTCCCCACCTCACACCTCAGCCACGCCCAGGGCCCATGCTCACGGTTCCGCTCCCCACCTCACACCCCAACCAAGTCCAGGACCCATGCTCATGGCCCCACTCTCCACCTCATACCCCAGCCAAGCCCAGGACCCACACTCACGGTTCCGCTCCCCACCTCACACCCCGACCAAGCCCAGGACCCACACTCAGGACCCCTCTCCCCACCTCACACCCCAGCCAAGCCCAGGACCCACACTCACGGTTCCGCTCCCCACCTCAAACCCCGACCAAGCCCAGGACCCACGCTCACGGCCCTACTCCCCACCTCACACCCCGACCAAGTCCAGGACCCATGCTCACGGTTCCGCTCCCCACCTCACACCCCGAGCAAGTCCAGGACCCATGCTCATGGCCCCGCTCTCCACCTCACACCGCAGTTGCAGCATCTGAGGGGAGGGGCAGGACAAGGTGGCAGAGGTGGGGCATTTTTACCCAGAGAAGACCAAAAACAGTCAAAGGGATGGTTTAAATACCTGTCTTTTCTATTTTTTCACTGACTCCATGGTAACAGATTTTGCAGTAAGAACCAACATACACACATCCCTAAAACATATTTCATCAGATAATGCTGACATTATGTGTAGCACATGCTGATATTTTCTATTCTATTCTCATTTTCTCTCTCTTTTTTTCAAACAAATGATAATGAAAATCCACTAAGCTAAGGGTCATGACCAACTAACGGGTAACACCCTTCAGTTTGGAAATACTGATTTAAATTTTGGCTTGCTCTAAGCTATAATTCACATTTGACATTTAGATCATATTTTTCCCCTACTGACTCTCAAGTGGGAGCTGAGAGGCAGTACCTAATAAATACAGAGAAAAAGAAAGAAGGAAGGAAAATTGATATTTACAACACAACCAAGTTTTAATGTGAGTTAAAAAAACGGGTTTCTTTTTGATGGAAATCTTCTAAAATTGTGCTGATGGTTACACACTTCTGTGAATGCACCAAAAACCATTGAATTGTACATTTTAAATGAGGTCATTGTTGCTCTGTGAGTTATATGTCAACAAAGCCGTGAAAATCAGCAAACGAGAACAAACAGTTCTGGCCTAGGCCCTGCGAGGCCTCTTTCTAAGGCCGCCGCACGCCCATCTGGGCCATTAAACTCCTCAAGGCGCTCTGACTTCCTTGTGTAAGAGATATTGCTGTTTCTTATAAGGCACTGATGTACTTTTGCTTCCTTATTGGGGTAAAATTTAAAGACCATAACACTGATGGTTTTAAGAGTGCAGTTAAAAAAAGTTTTGACAAATGTATAAACACATGTAACAACCGCCCCAATCAATACACGGCACATTTCCACGGCCCCAGCAGGTTTCCTTGGTCCCCTTCCCAGCAAATCCCTCCCTGGTTTCTGATTTCAGGTGCTGTGCTCTGCCTCGCCGGGAGCCCCACACAGGGAGGTGGAGTCCTGTGGGCGCTGCTTGCAGAGTGGATCCTCATTTCGTGGCTGGAACGTTTTGCGCATTGTCCCTGTGTTTTGTAACTCTCCAGTGTCTTCAAGCAGTTATCTTTAAAATGTATTTTTCCAGAGTTTTTCATTGCTATGAGCAAGTGCGTAATTCTATAGGAGCAATGCTAGCAATAGAGGGCACTAGAAGAAAAACTTGTTTTTGATTTTGTCTCCAGAAGTCTCTGAAAATTCCTTAGGACATCCTTACATTTAAGATATTTTGAAATGTTATTCTCTATCAAGCTAAAAAATGAACCACTGTTAACATTTTTCTTCTCAAATTATGCCCAGCTAATTTATTCAGCCTCCTTAGAGTTTGCCCCATAGTAAAAACATATAATCTAAGCAAAATAATAAAAATACGACTAATCTAAAATGTATGCTTCCCATTATTCTACAATATTTAATTATGCAAATATCCTCTTGCTAATAGCCACATGCCTACAGTATTTAGATACTATAAGTAAAATCTGGAAACAGGTGCAACCACCTATCTGAATCGCCTCACAGCAGTGTCTCTCGGCGAAGGGTCACTGTCGTGTAGAGGACTTCAGCAGGGTCCAGAGGCCACGCAGACTATTGTGGCGTGGGAAGGCCCTTCTGCGGGCTGTAATGGATGGAGACGGGGATGCTGCCAAGCATCTCTCAATGATCAGAATGGCACCCCGCACCACACAATTGTCCAGAAGCAACGTCTGCGGCGCCACGAGTGAGAAACCCACTGTGTCCTCTAAGTGCAAATTCTCTCATATAATAGTACTACTGGGAGTGGGCTAGTGGGCAGTAAAATATTGCAGCTAAGAGTAAAAAATGTCAGCCTTCAAATCCATGCTAGTTACCAGCATTTGGATTCTTGACAAAATGCTTAAATTCTTTCTTTCTTTCTTTTGTTTGAGACAGGGTTTCCCTCTTGTCACCCAGGCTGGAGTGTAGTGGCGCAATCTCAGCTCACTGCAACCTCCACCTCCCAGGTTCAAGCGATTCTCCTGCCTCAGCCTCCTGAGCAGCTGGGATTACAGGCGCACGCCACCACGCCCAGCTAATTTTTGTATTTTTGGTAGAGATGGGTTTTCACCGTGTTGACCAGGCTGGTCTTGAACTCCTGACCTCAGGTGATCCACCCGCCTCGGCCTCCCAAAGTGCTGGGATTACAGGCGTGAGCCACCGCGCCTGGCCCAAATGCTTAAATTCATAAAGCTTCCATTCTCATTTTTTGTAGTATTATTTTATTTTTATAGAAGCTGCAATGTCTTTATTTTCATTATTCACATAATATTAAGAAATAGTTTATATATTTTAGGTGTACAATATGATGTCTTGATTCACACATTTTCATCTGTAAATTTGGAGTAAGGATACCAACGTCATGAGGACTAAAAATAACATTTGTCTTCGCACACAGCCCAGCTCAACATGGTTTTGGAGTCTTGTCTAATACATACCACAAGGAAGACTCACGTGGGGCGGGGCGGCCACAGTCAGGATCCGTAGCTCCAAGACTGGCTGCCCCCTTTCCATTAACCTTGGACTTGCAGATTCACAGAAGCCCATTCCCTGGGCTGCAAGCGCTGCTCGGTAACGGCGCTTGTTTGCTTCGTTTCACGGCGGACTCCCTAGAGCTTGGAATGGTGCCCGGAACACAGCAGCGCTCGAAGAACAAACACCGTGGGGTCTCTTCTGAGGTGCCATTGGCATGGTACAGAGAACAATCAACTGGCGACACTCCGGTGAATTTTTGTTTACAATGTTTATTTTATTTTACAATACGTTTTTATTTTACAACTTTATTCACAATTTTCTGTTGTGTGTAGTCTAACCCCGTAGAAGTTTTGTGTGGACGAGTCTTCACTTGTCCTGTGCACACCTGAGAGTGGCGTTGCTGGGTCGTGCGGTGGTTTTCTGTTTAGCGTTCCGAGGACCTGCCAGGCTGTTTGTGGCAACCAGCCCTGCAAGGTGTTTCTGACCTGCCGCCGTCCTGAGCAGCCCTGGTTATCTTCTTTTAGCCAGACTGCCTGTGGATCATTCCATATCAATAGTCCAATTAACATATGCGAATGTATTATCACATTAATAGGTTAAGAAGTTAGCATCGTTACATATGTATACATGTGCCACGTTGGTGTGCTGCACATGTCCAGGTCCCTTCTCTGGGCAGGAACTTGCCTGCTGCATGCACTGAGTGCTCCATGCACACACTCAGCTCCAGGTTCCTGCAGCGGCCTCCTCAGTCCCAGAAAGGAGTCTCCAATGTGCCAGCTCCAGATCTTACCGCCACACAGGTAGAATTTCTGTCTTCTGTGCGAAGACAAATGTTATTTTTAGTCCTCATGACGTTGGTATCCTTACTCCAAATTTACAGACGAAAATGTGTGTATCAAGACATCATATTGTACACCTAAAATATATAAACTATTTCTTAATATTTTGTGAATAATGAAAATAAAGACATTGCAGCTTCTATAAAAATAAAATAATACTACAAAAAATGAGAATGGAAGCTTTATGAATTTAAGCATTTGGGCCAGGCGCGGTGGCTCACGCCTGTAATCCCAGCACTTTGGGAGGCCGAGGCGGGTGGATCACCTGAGGTCAGGAGTTCAAGACCAGCCTGGTCAACACGGTGAAAACCCATCTCTACCAAAAATACAAAAATTAGCTGGGCGTGGTGGCGTGCGCCTGTAATCCCAGCTGCTCAGGAGGCTGAGGCAGGAGAATTGCTTGAACCTGGGAGGTGGAGGTTGCAGTGAGCTGAGATTGCACCACTACACTCCAGCCTGGGTGACAAGAGGGAAACCCTGTCTCAAACAAAAGAAAGAAAGAAAGAAATGGGGAGGCATTGGCTGCTGGAAGTAAAGGGCTAGTGTGTCCCCACCCCATGCACTGGAGCTGTTGGTTGTCAAAGGGAGCTTCCAACCATGATTCCAAGTTGTCAACCTTTGCTACATGCCAGCATCACTCACAGAGCTTTTAAAATCTGGATACCCGGGCTTCCCAAAGCACGTATGTCGGTGGTTACAAACCTTCCCCAGGGGACCCCAGGGTGCAGCCTAAGTTGAACTCATAGTCCTATCCCTTCTTCTGGGCAGCAGAACCATTTCTACATGTACTTAGGTCAGACCGTGCATGCTCAGCTTATAACAGTGCACACCCAGCACATACAATGAACACTTGGTAACACACAGTGCATGCTTAGCACACACAGTGTACACTTGGGACACAGCACATGCCCGGCACACGCAGTGCACACTCAGCACACGAAGTTCACTCATAGCTTACACAGCGCATGCTTGGCACACTCAGTGCACACTTGGCTCACACAGTGCACACTCAGCACACCGTGCACTCTTGGAACACACAGCACCTGCCTGGCACACACAGCACCTGCCTGGCATGCACAGCACCTGCCTGGCATATACAGTGCACACTTGGCTTACACAATGCATGCTTGACACACACAATACACACTCCGTACACACAGTACACACTTGGCTCATAGTGGTCCCAACTGCTCTGGCCTCTGCAAAAAATCCCATTCCTGCCAAGATCACAGAACCTCCTTGCTGACAATAATGGGCTTGTTACCCAAGTAGCGCTTCGGTTCCCCTTTGCTAGTCTCACTGCACAAGTGAAGCCTGTTTCCCTGACAAGCGCATCCACTAGAATGCTGTTCTCAAGACTGGCTGCACAATGGAATCTGTTCGGGAGCCTTAGACATTCCTGAGGCTCGGATCTCATCATAGGACTTCTTCATCGCATGCCCTGTGGCCTGGGTGTTAGGAGTTTGAACACTCTCCTAGGTGGATGTAATAAGCACTTGAGGCCCACTGGTCTAAACCTGGTGCTGACACCTACTGTGGCTTAGGATCACCTGGAGAGCTTGGTAAAACAGATTGCTGGGGCCCCAGCCCCAGAAGTTCTGATTCAGTAGGGCTGGGGTGGAGCTCAAGAATTTGTATTTCTAACAAGTTCTCAGGTGATGCCGGTTCTGGGACCAGATTTTGAGAACCATTGCATTTATGGCACTGAGCTGAATCTTTGATCTCCCCAGTGGGAGAGAAGGTCGATGGATGCTGCATCTTTGATCTCCTCAGTGGGAGAGAAGGTTGATGGATGCTGCTGACTACTGCAGGGCGAATAGCTCAAGGCCCCTGTAATGACTTCATGGAGAAGCTCTAGACAGGATGGGTAAAGAGCCAGTGTGCTATCGATGGTGCATTATGGATGGAACTTTTGGCATAAAAACTCGGAGTTCCCTGTGAAATACCCTATTTAAAAAAATGCTGTTGGGATTTTCCTTTTTTTTTTTTTTTTTGCAATCTCTCCTTCTGTGTGTTGGTGTGATAATAGGAGAGTGTTTCTCCCACTTGAATTCTTTGCCTGTCCTCCCTGGAAAGTCAATTGTGAACTAAGGTGGACATACAAAGAGTGAGACGGCCAGGGTGGTTGGTGAACGGCCAATGGCATGAGTTTTCCCCTTAATTCACAAGTCACTCCTCTGAGTCTTTCTTTCTTGCCTTCTGCTTTCCATTTGAATGAAAAAAATCTCAAGACTCAAAGTCAGTGTCGGGGTCAGAGCGCTTTGCCTGCTTTGGATGCATAAGCATGATTCTTATAGGCAAAGAAAAGCTATACAATATGCTCCCATACATCAGGAAACCACACTGGGATCTATGCCCCAATCGATCCACATTCACATCATCCACATTCATTTCCTTTAAGGAGAACTGAATGAGGAAAAAGGACATCGGCGTGGTTCAGGTACCTGCAGCCAGGTTCCAGGTGTGCGTCCTGTTTCCATTATCCACCAGCAGCGTGACTTTGACAAGCTGCTTCCATTTGTACCCTCACTGCTGTCCTTTGTAAAATCCTGGTAATGACTGTAACTGTCGTGTAGAGTTGGTGTGAGGACCCACGGGCTGGTACATACACAGGACAGCAGAGCTTGGGTGCTGCACACAGCAAGGGTTCAGCACATTCATCCTTCCCTCTGCCCTGCTCCTTTTAAAGGGGGAGCTCACCTGTCTTAGTAACCTAGTTAAAGACTTGGGGGTTCTAACCCCTAGACTAGTAAATTTTCCTCATTTCATTTTGGTCAGCAATGTCCTCCTAAGATCCTCAGCCTTGTAGTAAGACCACGGAGCATCCTCTCCACCTCCTCCAGTGCTTCCAGTGGGAGTGCTGGTTTTCTCTCACATCTCCAACCCCCAAAGCTTCAAGTCACTTCACTTGGAATAGGGACTATGGGAAGAGAGAATTAGGGAGGGATGTTAGAGGCTCATCCAATCCTAGGAGACCCTGGCCATCAAATATGATGGATGAATAAAATAGAGTTGCCCTTTGCCTACAGATGTTTTGTTGTCTTCTCTCTGTGGGAATGCAATCTAAACAAATGCAGAATACTTAGTTCCCTTTTCCTCTGAAAAAAAAAGAGCAACTTTCATTAGTTCATAGATTTGTGTGTTGTGATCTCTGACATATTGGCATGTCTCTTGTCTCCTGACAGTTGCAAATGTCACCGTGATAAGATCAGTATTTAGAACCCTGATGACATCCCTTCTGTACTGAGCTGCCAGGCGAGGGAGATCTCAGGAATGTCTAGTAGGTCTGATTCTCCTTATTAGAGTGGGTTGACGCAGGTGTTGTCAAGGTCTATGGAATGGAAGCTTGGGGGAGGGCTTTAGCCAACTGCATCTGGCAACAGAACTGATTTCTCAGAATTGTTTAAGAGAATAAGCAGCTGTCTTCTGATAAATAATTTGTGGGAGCCAGGAGTGTGGACCGAAGTGGTTTGTGATTAAAGTATCTGGGTTTCAACCTTGAACGCCCACATGAAGCGTAATGCCTTCAGTAATCACCCTAGCACATGATGAATGGAACACAGAGTGTCCTTATCTCTAAGAGAAATCCTTATTTCTCCTCTTGTTTGAGAGGGGCAGCAAGAGAGTGTGGAGATCAAATTCTTTTCTCTTTGTGATTGTCTTGAGCATGACATAAAGTTATTCTTATAGTTTGAAAAGCTGTGCTAAGACGACATCTTAAGTCGGCACCTCTCAGAGCCTGAGAAAGGTGACAGGGATGTGGCTTCTCACAGTACTGACACAAATGGGCTCATTTGAAGCAAGAATGCTCTCTGAGAGGAAAGGTTCTTAGAAGGATGTAATTTCACAGGACTTGCGATGCAGTCTGAGTGCATTCCCATGCCTCCAGGATATTCTCCCTTTTCCAGGTTAATACAGCTCCCAGAGTTAAGGAATTCTCTTCTGCTCTTCTAGAGATTGTTCATGTAATCGAATTCAACAAGAACCAAAGAAAAGTTACCCTCATAGGTCTTGGGGTTGAACTGGATCAGAGCAATGCTGGCAGAATTACAGTGCAGTATGGATACACCTACCGTGCAAGGGACTCAGAGACTTCCTCTACCATTATTTTATTGACATGTAATATTAAGATTGATCAATGGATTTATTTGCCTCCTGATTCATCCTTTATCAAGTTTTTCCCACTTCCGGTGCCTCTACCTCTTACCTGAATCCCGAAGCTCTCATGGTGGCATTCTTTTTTCCCTCCCCAGGGATGGTGGTTAAATCAGTGTTTCTGTGGAAGATGGGGGCTGGGGGCCTTCTATTCTGCCATCTTGCCTCCTTCTCTCCACCTGATGAATTTTATCCATCGATGATTACTGTCCAGATATTTGATGTCTGCAGAGGTTACAAAGTGGTGATTTTCCTAACGTACAATTTCTTCTGAACATATTAGTTGGGTTTCCTCAATGAGGATCTCTCACCACCTACTTAGTTTTCTGTTTTATGCAGAAAAGCAGCACAAATGCTTAACTCTTACCCTTTATTTACTGATTTTCAGAAAATTCAGTAGCTATCCTAGGAATCTCCAAATATGATGTCTGTGTGTGTCAGTAGGAACCCCTGGATTTCTACGTATTATGATATGTTTTGCCTTCTTCTGATCGTTGAGTTGATATTTTCTGGTTATGTGCATTATCACTGTCCTCCTCCCCACAAAACTCTGTGTTTTATGTCTTCTGCCACCACCATTTTCATAGCGCCCATACCTGGAGTACTGTGGGCTCTCCATACATATGTGTTTTGACAGCATTTTGGAGCAGGTATAAAACTTCTCTTTGCTAGATATCTAGTTGCAGAAGATATGAAAGGTAAATTATAGCATTAATTTCAGATCATTTTTTTCCTGAATAGATCAGGTGGAAGAAATGGGGTTATTGGCCGGGTGCAGTGGCTCATGCCTGTAACCCCTGTTTTGGAGGCCAAGGTGGGTGGATCACTTGAGGTCAGAAGTTCAGGACCAGCCTGGCCAACATGGCAAAGTCTCGTCTCTACTAAAAATACAAAAATTAGCTGGGCATAGCGGTGCATGCCTGTAATCCCAGCTACTTGGGAGGCTGAAGCAGGAGAATTGCATGAACCCAGGAGGTGGAGGTTGCAGTAAGCCGAGATCCTGCCACTGCACTCCAGCCTGGGTGATAGAGCAAGACTCTGTTTACAATAAATAAATAAAATAAAATAAAATAAAATAAAATAAAATAAAATAAAATAAAATAAAATAAAATAAAAATAGCCAGGCATGGTGGCACATGCCTGTAGTCCCAGTTACTCAGGAGGCTGAGGCAGGAGAATCACTTGCACCCGGGAGGTGGAGGTTGCAGTGAGCCCAGACTGTGCCACGACACTCCAGCCTGGGTGACAGAGTGAGACTCCATCTCGACAACAACCACACAACAAAGAAAAGGGGTTATTTCAATTTAAGAGAAGTTCTGAGTGACGAAAGTAATGGTTGGATAACATAGAAAAAGGCAGAAGGCTCATGGCACTGGAGACTCAATCAGGAATGAGGATCAGAAAGGGTTGTAGAAAACACACAGTGGTATTCAAGGATAACTTTTGAGAAGTATTTCTAGATGATGACATGGTCCAGGGCTTGGCACTGTGATCCAGCAGAGCAGGCGGGGCTGAAGGTCTTCAGACTTAATGTTGTCTGGGGATAGTGACGCTCCCCAGGAATAGCCGAGACACCCCAGATCACTCAAGGTTTGGGATACAGAACAGGATCTTCAGCAAAGGGAGGCAAGTGCCTGGGAGGTGGGGTGATAGGATGACCCTGGTTAGAGGATGCTCTGGCCGAAGGGGTGAGTGGAGACAGGGAGAGTAGAAGAGAGCAGTGATGATGGGGTCAGGGCAATGCCAACTCCACTCCCTTTCCTGGGGTCTCACTCCTCTTGGGGGCCAGGGTGTGGGAGGGCTAGAAGCTCCCATCTCCAGGGGTTGTGAGGAATCAATACCCACAGTGAAGTATCAGATTTCAGTGAAGGCAAAGGGGATGGAGAGGCTTTTCTGCAAAAATTAGAGGATAAAGTGAAGTTTGTTTAGAATCTAATGATGATTCCAGGAGGTATAATGGGGATGTGTCTTGATACTGAGAACTTGGGATGAGAAAGTTGGGATCAATAGAAGGATATGGTCAGTATTCACAGACAGAAGTGTAGGCATGAGGTCTGCTTAGATTTAAGGCGCTTCCTTACATCTCTGAAGTCCAGCATGAACGATTGTGTATGCCTGTCTGGGTCTAACTGAATGGAGACGCCAGGAAGTTCACTAGCAGAGAGCTTGTGAGTACTTCTCCCCAGATTACAATGGGACAGGAGGATCCTCACTGGGCACCGTGTCCGCATTTTTTCAGGAGGGCAGCAAGGGCTCTAGCCCATTGGGTGTGAGCACCTTGGCAAGTGCTGTCTGGCACAGGTTTGGAGCTGGACATGTACTCACTAAACAAGTGAACACACAGGTGTCAATTCCCAAGTGCTGGAAAGAGCTGTAGTTTCACGGGTGGGGCAGAGCCTGTGCCAGGATATTGCTGAGAAGCTGTGGAAGCTCCTCCCAGGTGGGCTGGAGGCCATCTCACCCACAGCACCCCACTTCACTTTTACGCAGAGCTCGTGCTCTTCATTTCTTCCTGAGTGCGTGGCCCGCACCTGCCATCGGGCTGCCTTCTGGGGATGGGGAAGGAAATGAGAGATAAGATCCATGCATTTATTAAGCTCACAGTATGAAAGGGGGGGATGTTAAATAATTATCCACAGTGTGCTTTAATTACAGTTGTAATGTTGGAATATTTTAGCATGGAAATGAGTATCATCAGTTTCACTAAGTACTCTTACATTTTTTTTCATCTGAGCAGTTTCTGTTACCTTTTTCTCCTTTGTAAAGTCCTCTAATTAAAGAAAACACATTCTTCTTGTCTAAACTTAGAACTGATACATTTTTTCAGCCCCACAATATGCATGTGATTTTTCATGGACCGAAGCTGTGACTTAAGTTATGTATTCATCACTTTTCCAGGTTTATTCAGTTCTTTATGTTTTTCCACAAAATCATCATTAATATCAGGACTAGAAATTCTCAAAGCAGGTCGCTTACTAATTTAAATGTAATTGGATTATACTCAGTGAAAATGGATGCTAATAAATTATTGCAAACTTATTAGTAAAATATTTTTATACATTTTGTAAATGGAACTGAAAGGAGAGGACAATGTGGCTAGAAGCTCCTAGACAGGCAAGGAATTACTGTTTTGTTTTGTTTTCTGTCTTTGATGCTTAGAATATACAATAGGTATTCTTTTTTTTTTTTTTCTTTTGAGACAGAGTCTGGCTCTGTTCCCCAGGCTGGAGCACAGCAGTGGAATCTCAGCTCAACACAGTAACCTCTGCCTCTGGGGCTCAAACCACCCTCCCACCTCAGCCTCTGCAGTAGCTGGGATGATAGGTGTGCACCACCACACCTGGCTAATTTTTGTATTTTTGGTAGAGATGCCATTTCACCATGTTGCCCAGGCTGGCCTTGAACTCCTGGGCTCGAGAGATCCTTCTGCCTTGGCCTTCACCTTGGTATTGGGATTACAGGCATGAGCCACTGAGCCTGGTCTAAAGTAGGTGGTGTTAAAATGCTTAGTAAGAAAAAAAAGAATTTATCTCTTTATTAGGACATGGGAAGCCAGGGTTCTAAAACAGTCACTAAAGACAATTGTGGTGAAATATGTGCAGATATTTATGTAAAAGTAAATTTGTCAATTGTAGTTTAGGTGGAAAAACAACCAAATAGATTACAAGCATATACTAGTCATCATTTCTGCTCATATTAATGTAACTTGGTATATCTATTCACATACAGATCGACTTTCTGAATGTACGATTAAATCCCTAGAAAAGGATGATTTTCTTATAGTTGGTTTGTGATTATCTACATCTGCTATTCAGTTGTAAAGTTTGTTGAAAGAAAGCCTTCTTATTCATCTTTGCCATTTTTCTATAGCATATATTGTAGGATCAGCAATGAGTAAATATTCATTGAATACATACATGAGTAAATTAATCAAATTGCTATATAAAGAAAACTTTATTCAGGGGAAATTAAAAATGCCCATGTGAAGTTAAGTTTCTTCCCTTCGTACTCTGAGGTATACAATATGTTTTTGGATATCATGAATCAGTAAGAATGTTTAGGAGGCCATGCCATTCTGGTCAAATCTGAACAAGGGCAGGATTACTCCTTTCTCTGAAGTTACTAGCATTAGTATTGTGTAGGTTTTGCATGTAGATCTCGTATATGCTTTGTGAAGTATTTACCTAAGTATTAGTTGGTGCAAAAACAATTTTGCTATTAGTTTATTGCATTTTTTTGAAGTGAGTATAAATGTCATTGTGCTTTTAACTTCGTTTTCTACACGTTCATTGTTAGCATATAGAAATGTGAGTAAATGTGTTATCTTGTATCCTCTGATCTTGCTAAACACACATATTAGTTTTAGAAGGTCTTGTTTTTTGTAGATTTCTTTTCTCCATATACAATCGTGTCATTTGCAAATTGTAATAGTTTTATTTCTTCCTTCCTTATGTGTATGCCTTTTATTTCCTTTTGTGGCTTGTTGGTCTGGTTAGAACTCTCACTACTATTTTGAACACGTGGAGAGAGCAGACGGCCTCTTTATTTTCTGATAGTGGGGAAAACATTCACCATTCGGTACAACGTCAGCTGTGGGGTTTTGTTGATGTAATTCTTCTGCGTTCCTAGTTTGCTGCAAGTTTTTATCATTAACGGATGTTGGATTTGTCAAATGCTTTTTCTGCAGCAATTATCAGGATCACATATTTTTTTCTTCTTTAGACTGTTGATATGGTAATTACATTGATTAATTTTGATGTTAAATTAGCCATGCACTTGTTCATTTTATACTCTTTTTATTCATTAATTTGCTAATAATTTGACAGTGATACTGCTGAAGTTCATGAGAGGTATTTGTCTGCAGTTTTGATCAGTGTATACTGTGTTTGGTTTTGGTATCGTTAATACTGGCCTCATAAAATGAGTATAAAAATGTTTCTTTCTCTTCTATTTTCGGGAAGAGATTTGTGAAATTGGTGTTAATTCTTAAAAGTGCAGTCAGATTTTTCAGTGAAACCATCTGAGCCTGGAGGTTTCCTTTTGGGAGCTCATTAATTACGAATTCAATTTCTTCAATGGTTATGGTGCTATTTAGATGATCTATTTAATCTTGGTTGAGTTTTGGTGGTTTGCGACATGGTAGACAGAATTACAGCATCTCAAGGATATCCACATTATAATCCCCAGAATGACTTAGGTTACACGGCAAAGAGGAATGAAGATGACACGTGAAATTCAGATGCTAATAACCCCCAGCTTAAAATAAGGAGATTGTCCGTGTTATCCAGATGGGCCCAATGTCATCAAAAGAGTCCTTAGAAGGGGAAGAGGAAGGCAGGAGAGAACCAATAAAGATGGCAGCTAGGGAACTCCCGAGTTCAATGTTGCTGGCTTTGGAGATAGAAGAAGGGGCCACAGCCTGAGAATGAGTACAGCCTTTAAAGCAGGGGTCCCCAACCCCGTTAGGAACTGGACCGCAGCAGGAGGTGAGTGAGTGGTGAGCGAGCGAAGCTTTATCTGTGTTTACTGCTACTCCCCATCACTCACATTACCACTTGAGCTCCGCCTCCTGTCAGATCAGCGGTGGCATTTGATTGTCACAGGAGTGCGACCCCTATTGTGAACTGCACATGCGAGGGATCTAGGCTGCAAACTCCTTATGAGAATCTAATGCCTGATGTTTGGCCACTGTCTCCCATCACCCCCAGATGGGACCGTCTAGTTGCAGGAAAACAAGCTCAGGCCTCCCACTGATTCTACATTATGGTGAGTATGTATAATTATTTCATTATATATTGCAATATAATAATAAAATAAAGTGTACAATAAATGTAATGCACTTGACTCATCCTGAAACCATTTTCTTCCTTATGCTGCCCTACCCTTGGTCTGTGGAAAAATTGTCTTCCACAAAACTGGTCCCTGGTGCCAAAAAGAGTGGGGACTGCTGCTCTAGAAGGCCAAAAAGGTAAGAAAATGGATCCTCTCCAGGATCCTTCAGAACAAACCAGCACAGCCTGCAACCTGTTTTTTTTGTTTTTTTGTTTTTTTTGTTTTTGAGACAGAGTCTCACTCTGTCACCCAGGTTGGAGTGCAGTAGCGTGATCTCGGCTCACTGCAACCTCCACCTCCCAGGTTCAAGTGATTCTCCTGCCTCAGCCTCCTGAGAAGCTGGGACTACAGACACACGCCACCACACCCAGCTAATTTTTTGTATTTTAGTAGAGACGGGGTTTCACCATGTTGGCCAGGATGGTCTCTGTCTCCTGACCTTGTGATACACCTGCCCCGGCCTCTCAAAGAGCTGGGATTTCAGGCGTGAACCACTGCACCCGGCCTCACAACCTGCTTTTACCCCCATGAGACCCATTTCATACTTCTGATTTTGAGAACTGTGAGATAATAAACTTCTGTTGTTTTATGCTACTAGGTTTCTGATAATTGTCATGGTAGCCATAAAAAAGAGTACCATGCATTTTGAGAAATTGGTTTATCTTCTCTAACTCATTAAATTTATTAGCATGAATTTGATCATAGCATTCCCTGAATATGCTTTTAATGGCTGTAGGACCAGTAGTAATACCTTGTTACCTTCTGATTGTTGATCAGTTATTTCTTCTTTTTACTTTTATCATTTTGCTACAGTATTATCATTTAAAAAAATTTTTCTGATGAACAAGGTTTTTGTTTCATAAGTTTTCTCTATTTTCCTTTGTTCAGTTTTATTGATTTCTGCTCTGTAACATTTGTATTATATATATCATTTATTTTATATGTATTAATTTCTTCCTTATGCTGTTTCATTTTATCGTAATCATTTTCCAGCTTCTTGATGTAGAATTGTTGTTAATTTGTGACCTGTCTCTTCTAACGTAACCATGTAGTGCTGTAAATATACCATCATCACAGCAGTATTGCACATATGTTGACATGTTGTATTTTCACCTTCTTCCAGTTATCTTTTTTTTTGTTAAATATCCTTCGAGACTTCCTCTTTGGACCATGAGTTATTTAGAAGTGTCATGTTTAATTTCCAAGTATTTAGAGAACTTCCTGTTGTTGTTCGGTTTGTGATTTCTAGCTGGATTCCGTTATGATTTGAGCACATGCCCTGTAAGATTTCAATTCTCTTAATTTTGTTTGGGTTTGTTTTTCTATGCCAGGATATGATCTATCTTTGCGAATGCTTCATGGGCGCATGAAAATAAATGTGTGTTCTCCTGATGTTGGCTGCAGTGTTTATGCCAATTAATTCAGTAGGTTGATCATGTTGTTTAGATCTTCTGTGTGCTTGCTGAATTTTTGCCTAGTAGTTTTATCAGTTACTGAGAAGGCGGTGAGAACGTCCTCAACTCTAACTGTGGATTTGCTGATCACTGTTCAACTCCATCCGGTTTACCCCTCATGCATTTTGAGGCTCTGTCTTTTGTTGTATTTCCATTCAGGGATTGTGCGTCTTCCTGGTATATTGATCCTTTTATCATTGTTGACTAGGGACACATTCTTTTAGTTTTCCTTTTTCTGAGAATATCTTTAATTTCCTTCATTCTTGAAATATAGTCTCACTGGATATAGCCTCCACAGTTGATAGTTCCTTTCTTTCAGCCATTAAAATGTGTGTCATTTCCTTCTGGCCTCTACTGCAACAGTTGAGAAACCCGCTGCCATTTGAACTGATGTTTTCCTATAATTTAATGTCTTTTCTTTCTGGCTATTTTCAAAATTTTTTCTTTGGCTCTATTTTTCAGGATTTTGACTATCACATCTGTCTTGGCATGTATTTCTTTAGGTTTATGAGGTTGAGCTTCACTCAGGGTTTTGAATCTGTAGGTTTATTTCTTTTGAAAAATTTGGAACTTTTACAACTGCAATTTCTGGGACTATTCTTTCAGCCCTACTCTCTCCTTTTTGTATAAGACAATGGTATATGCATGTTTGACCTCATGTGTGCCTGAGGTTCTGTTTCTGTCCTTTTTATTTTTTTAGTCTGTTTTTTTCTCTCTCTTGCCCAAATTTGGAAAATTCTCCTAATCTATCATCAAGTCCACCAGTTCCATCCTGTTTCATCTCCACTCACCACTGAGATCATCCAACAGATTTTACTTTCCTTAAACACTCACACCACACACCCCTGATGATTGCAGCTGTGTAGTTAATTTTGAAATTGGGTCCTTCAACTTTGTTCTTCATTTGCAAGATGGTTTTGGCTATTCTTGGTTCATGGTATTTCCTTAAATGCCAGATCCACTTGCCAATTTCTATGAAAAAGATACTGGGATGAGATAGAAATTGCACTGAATCTCAAGGTAAATTGGAACATACTGCCGTTTTAACATTATCAAGTCTTATAATGTATGAACACAGATTGTCTTTATTTATTTAGGTTTTGTTTAATTTCTTTCAATGATGTTTTGTAGTTTTTCAGTTGTACACGTCTTGTTCTTTTTTGGTTAAATTTATTCCTTGGTATATTATTCCTTTGGTGCTATTGTAAATTAAGTTGTTTTCTTAACTCACTTTTGGATTTTTTGAATTGCTACCATGTGGAATTAAAATGAAAATTTGTATATTGATCTTGTGTGCAGCAATCTTACTGAACTCATTTATGTGCTCTAGTGTGTGTTTGTGTTTTGTCATGAAAATGTTGCGTTTCTCATGGCTTATATTATCCATGGCTTTTGTCCTTTATTCTATTAATATGGTGTATTACATAGATTGGGTTTGGTATGTTGAAACAACCTTGCATTACTAGGATAAATCTCAGTTGGTCAAGATGTATGATTCTTTTTATATGCTGTTACATTTTGTTTGCTTGATTTTTTTTGAGCCGTTTTGCATTTATATCTTTAAAGGATGTTGTTCTATATTTTTATTCTTCTCTGATGTCTCTGGCTCTGTTGTCGGGGTAATTCCATTCTTATAGAATGAGTTAGGAAGATTTACCTTCTTTATCTGTAGAAGTGTTTGCGATAAGTTGATACTAATATGTCTTTTAAGTTTGGAAGGATTCATCTGTTAGATCATCTGGTTCTGGTTTTTCCTTTGTGTAAAGTTTTTTGATTATGGATTCTATGTCTGCTTATTATGCATTTATTCAGCTTGCTGATTTTTGAGCCACTTTTAGTAGCTTGCATCTTTCTAGGAATTTGTCCATTTAGGTTATATAATTTGTTGACTTTTTATTCTCTATTTATTTCTGCCCTGATCTTTATTATTTCCCCTTTTCTTCCTACAGGGGATGTAAATTGCTATGTTCTTCTATTTTTTTTAGAAGAATGGTTAGGTTATTGGTGCCAGTTCTTTCTTACTTTTCTTAGAAATGTTTATGGCCATGAATCTCCCTCTACACACTAGTTTAATTGCATCGTGTCAATTTTTCTATGTTGTATTTTCTTTTTTATTCTTCTCAAAGTATTTTCTAATTTCACTTGTGATTTCCTTGACTCATTATTTATTCTTGTAGTGTGCTAATTTCTACCTTTAAAGACTGCCCGTGTTTCCTTTTAATTTATTTTTAATGTAATTTCTTTGTTGTTGGAGAACATACTTTGAATAATTTCCATCCTCTTAAATCAATTGAGACACGTGTTGTGACTTAATATATGGCCTGTTCTGGAGAATCCTCCATGTGCACTTGAGAGGAATCCATACTCTGCTTTCGTTGGGTGAAGATTCTGTAGGAATTCATTGGTTTTGGCTGATTTACAGTATTTTTCAAGTCTTGTATTTTCTTGTTCATATTCTGTTTATTGATTTGAAAGTTGAGTAATTACTTATCCAACTATTATTATCATATTGTTTCTTTATTGCTTCAATTCTTTCCATTCTTCATGTATTTGAGACTTTCTTGTTGGATGCATACATGTTTATAATTGTTATTTATTCTGAATGTACTGATCCTTTATTATAAAATGTCTTTCACTTTTTCTAGTAAAATATTTTTTGTCTTAAAGCCTATTTTTTCACAAATTAGGATGCCCTTCTAGTTCTTTTTTGTGGGGTGTGGGGGTGTCTTTGCATGAGATATCTTCTTCAGTTCTTTTACTTTCAATACCTTTTTGTCTTTGAATAAAAACTATGTCTCTTACAGAAAACCTAGTTTTATTATGCTTTTAAAAAATTCATTTGGGCTGTTTTTTTAATTGGATTGTTTGATCGATTTACATTTAATGCTATTATTTATTGGGTTTTAATTTGCCATTTTGCTGTTTTCTGTATGTCTTACATATTGTGTTCAATTCTATTACTGTCTTCTTTTGCATGAAATAATTTATAGTATGTCATTTTAATTTCCTTGTTATATATATACATATGTGTCAAATATATACACATATACATACACGTGCATATGTGTGTGTGTATGTGTGTGTGTGTGTGTGTGTGTGTGTGTGTGTGTGTGTAGTTTTAGGGGTTGCCCTGAGTATTATAATGAGCATCTTTACTGTAACAATCTAGTTTGGAGTAACATAAAATTAACTCCAACTCACAGAAAAACATTGCTCCTTTATAGCTCTGCTTCCCCCCCTCCCTCTTGCTATTATTTTCACATTAATTACATCTTTATGCCTTATACACCTAGTAACACAGATTTGTAATTTTTGCCTTATGAAGTTGGTTTTTGAATGAAATAGGAGAAAAAAGTTATCAAGAAAAAATATTTTATTGTCTTTGATTTTTAGCTGTGTAATTATCTTTATGGGCACTCTTTGTTCCCTCATGTGGATTGGAGATGTGCTGTCTGTTCATCTCAGCCTAAAGGACTGTCTTTTGTGTTTCTTATAAAGCAGGTTCTTCATTGGTTTGGTCTTGAAATGTCTTAAACTCACGTTAATTTTTGAGGTCAGCTTTGCATCATATGGTATTCTTAGTTGGCCATCTTTCTTTTAGCACTTTGAAGATGCTTCCTACTGTCTTCTGGCCTTCATGGTTTCCGATGGGAAATCAGCTGCTTATCTTACTGACTTGACACCATAGGCGATTTAAAATTCCATAATAACACTGAAGATTGTGTAACATATCTCAAGGGTTAGCACTCTTTAAATAATTTATTTTTTCTTGCATAAGCATTTACATTTATGAATTTATCAAATACTGACCATCTTTAGAATTATACTTTAAATGCTTATTGATTTATCATTATAATACAATTTCTATAATCGCTTTATATATTGTCTACAATTGGCATGCCCATGATTATAAACAATCACACCCTGGATAATTACATATTTTCCCATCCCCTAGAAGTGTTATCGACATTCATCCTGTTACTATTACTTCTGAGACAATGCGCTATTTCCTCACTTTGTAAAGGAAGCAAGTTGATGTTACTTGTCTTGGCGGGAGTCGGGTGTGTCCCGTGGGTATTTTGGTAAACAGGATTCTGATTGCATCAAGACACTGACTCATTATCAACTCACAGAGTCAAACTGGGGATGAAGGAAATAGACAAAAGAGAGTGTGCAGTTTGTCTCCTATGAGTTGTTAAGAACAACAAACTCTTGTAATAAAAATTACACATTTTGGAAATTGTAGCATTATAAATATGCTTGTCTAATAAGCTTTAAGTAAGTCAGTAAATATACAACTATTACTGGTATTATTTCTTCCCCTGAGTACTCAGCCCCTCAGAAGTTAGCACAGTACACATGAAAGGGATAGCGTAACTGTCAGTGGAGACACAATGCGTTCCTGTTCCTCAGGCAAGGAGCACGGCAGCAGGCCAGGAATACGCAGAACCCATACAGGTCACTCTGTTATTGTGGTCATACGTGCACAATGGAGATTAAATTGTCAGCTTTCTGCAAGGGGCAAAAGCGCCTGCCTCTAAGTAGGACAAAGTCCCTAATGAAGTATTCAGTTGGTCTTTGTATACTTATAACCAATGGAAGGTAAGTTCTATGGAAAATCTATAAACACGAGAAGGACATTATATAGTAATTAATATTCAGGGACTTCACACACATGTTAAAAAAAGAGTGGGAGATGAGTGGATTGTGGTCAAGATAAGAATGAGATGAGTTATCATGAGGGGTTGAATCAGCATGAAGAGGAGCATTTTGTAGAGTTGTCTTTTTGTCTTTTAGACTTTGCTAAGAATTCTATTCCCGTAGGTGGGGCAGTGACAACAATTTATAAAATTATGAATTCTTCTATCTGGCCAGGCACACTGGCTCATGCCTGTAATCCTAACACTTTGGGAGGACGAGGTGGGAGGATCACTTGAGCTCGGGAGTTTAGGACCAATCTGGGTAACACAGACCTCATCTCTCTCTCTCTCTCTCTCTCTCTCTCTCTCTCTCTCTCTCTATATATATATATATATATATATATATATATATATATGTATGTATCATCTATCTAGAACTCACATCTACTGATGGATGTTCTTTTTTTCTCTGCATGTTGGCCTGAGGTGTGGTTATGGTAGCACATGGTTTCAGGGCATGTTAGTTTTACCAGGGCTGCTGTTATGCATTACTTTGAGCTGGGTGGCTTCACACATCTAAATTTAAATTGACTGTCTTACAGTTTCAGAACTAGAAGTCTGACTTCCAGGCATGGTCAGGGTCGTGCTCCCTTTGAGGGCTCCAGGGGAGGAGCTTCCTGCGTCTTGCCACTTCTGGTGGCTTCTGACTTTCTGTGGCTGTGTCTGCATCGCTCCAGTCTCTGTCTCGGAGTTCACACGGCCTTCTCCTCTTCTCCATGTGTGTCTCTTATAAGGACAATTGCAACCAAACTTTAGGTAATCCAAGATAATCTCATTTTGAGATATTTAATTTAATTATATCAGCAAAGACTTTTTTCCCAAGTAAAGTTACATTCGTAGGTTTTGGGAGTTAGGATGTGAACATATCTTTTTAACTTTATTGCATACTATAAGTGATATTTCTTGGCTATAAAATAAATGATAGACAAAAGGCCTAATGAAGACTCTTACAAGGCAAGCAAGGCCAACATTATGTGCCACTCAATAGTAGATAATGATAAGGCCAGGGGACTTTCCCTGTCTCCATGACAACCAGAGCTGGAGACTTCCCAGAGACCCCGCAGGACAGGTCCCAGAGCAACCTGGCCCAAGAATTGTTAGGTCTCTGTGAAAACAAGGCTTTAAACCCTGGTTGCAGCTGGGTGCGGTGGCTCGCGCCTGTAATCTCAGCACTTTGGGAGGCTGAGACAGGTGAATTGCTTGAGGTCAGGAGTTTGAGACCAGCCTGGTTAATACAGCAAAATGCTGTCTCTACTAAAAATACAAAAATTAACTGGGTATGGTGGTGGGTGCCTGTAATCTCAGCCACTTAAGAGGCTGAGGCACGAGAATCCCTTGAACCTGGGAGGTGGAGGTTGCAGTGAGCTGAGATTGCACCACTGCAATCCAGGCTGGGCGACAGAGTGAGACTTTGTCTCAAACAGACAAACAACCCCCCCAAAAAAACCTGGTTGCCCTGGAAACAAGATCACTGCAGCACAGATACAACTTCCATAAACCATAAAGCAAAGCTTATCCTTACAAAACAATCTTAAACTCCCTTTATGAAAGAAACACCTGGTAACTGGTACAGATGGAAAACAGGTGAGATAAAGATATGAATCCCTCAAGCTCTGAGAATGGTCTTGGAGCCAAGAGCCTCCTGCTCAGTGGTTGTCTGACCCCTGACTGTGCCTGGCTCACGCCACAGCCTGTTCTCACTCTCCCTCTTGTAAGAACATGCCAAATAAACTGGCTGAGTATCAGACAGTGTTTAAGACACCTCTTTGAGGAGGATCAGACTAAAGGGGAGAAGTTGCTCCTGGGGAATCTGCTTGGTTAACTAAGCAGAGCAAGACCCCCAGATGCAAAACTCAGTACACTTCCCATCCTTCAACCCACTGAATAGGCCAACCTCTTGACTACTGATCAAGGCAGAAGATGCATTTAGGCCAGTGTTTTATGAGATCTCAAAAAGGAACTCCAAAGCCAGGGGCTGGGGAGAAAAGCAGCCTCCAGGATGGCAGGATGGTCACTGTTTCAAGAACTGCCTCCTTACATCACCAGTGGAATCTTTGGAAAGACAAAATTCCAGATCAGAACCATCATGAACTGGCAAAGGAGAGCAATAGAAGAAAAGTTGCAACTCATAGATAATCGAGTTTTAATTACTCATATCCAAGCAAAGTCTTATCTCATAAAATGTTCTAGTTTATTAGATTTTGATATGCACTGAAAAAAAAAATTCCAAGAAGCAATTGCATTTGGAGACCAATTGCCTTAGGATGTCTGCAACTAAAGTTAACCCAAATGAACAGTGAGCTGTAGTATCAGAAACAGAGAGACAGGTTTGTCATGTAGGGTGCATTGAGTCTTTGTGGAGTTCTATAATACTCAGACATATCATAAATCACCTAAACAATATTCCTGGCCAGAAGAGTCAATACCTCTTTTAATCTGTACCTGTACTAACTAGATAGTGCATTTCTATGCATGTCTAAAATAGAGACAGAAACAAATTAAAAAAAAAATTGCTGGAGACAACTGTGCCATCCATGGGGAATAGCATGGGGAAAGTGTCTTAAAAGAAAGACACTTTTCCTCTTTTACAGGCATTTCATGTTTAAATATTCTATGAAATAAGCCAATTCAATTTTGGGAATGGTTTGGCCTCATTCAATTATTTGGTGAAAATTTAAAACTCTGCAAGGATTAACCCATAAATCTGGCTATTCACATTGCCAGGCCAAAGATAATGTTCACATAATAATCCTGTGACCCTAGGACAATTCTGAATGCTGGTCCGGTAGAAATGATTTTTAAAATATCCAGGGGCTTTTGTGAGTTATCTAACTTAGTTATACAGGGTGGCATGAAATCTGGTGCATTATAATTCATAATTTATGTGAGAAATAGATTAACTTTGCTCAGCATTTATTGGATCTTTCAATATAATAAAATATTGTGGTTCTTCTATAATCTGTCATTTTGCTGAGTCACCAGCGCCTTGTTCCAAGAAAATTGCTGGAAGTGGGAGAGGCAAATGGTAATTAAACCATTATTGCAGTTGGCTTTTGCATAGTGTAACAGAAACTAAACTTAATGTGCCCCAAACAAAATTTATTTCTCTCGTTCCCACCTCCCAACCTGCTTCCCTCACTATGGCCTGATTTAGACAGGAGACAACAAAATGGAAGTCAGACAGCCAAGCCAGAACCTAAAATGCAAGCTCAAAAATTTAATAAGTTTTAATTTTTAGAGCAGTTTTAGGTTTACAGGAAAAAAATAAAATGCAAGCTCAAAAATTTTGCCTTTTTTCCCTTTAGCCTCACATTTAAAAATGTTCTAATAAGTTTTAATTCTTAGAGACATTTTAGGTTTACAGGAAAATGGTACACACAGTACAGAGAGTTCCCGTGTGCTGTCTCTCCTTCCTCCCACAATCTCTCCTATTATCGTCTTACATTGGTGTGTACATTGATTACCACCGATGAACCATTATTGATGCATTATTATTAACTAAAGTCCATAGTGTACATTAGGGCTCTGTGTCGTGCAGTTCTATGAGCTTTGACAAGCATACAATGTCATACATACACCACTACAATAAGAACACGAGATGAGATCTCAAAAACTAAGTGCATACAACATCAACTACAGGCACTATGCTGCACTGCAGATCCCTGGAGCTTATCATCACACATACCTGAAACATTTCACCCCATGAACAAACCCTGTTCCCCTCGTCCCCCAGCCTTGGCACCCACCACTCTACCCTCTGCTTCCTGAGTCTGTCTTTGGTAGCTCCTGCAAGTTCAACAGGACAGTATTTGGATGGACCTGGAGGACATTGTGCCAAGTGAAATATGGCAGGCACAGAAGGAAAGAGTCATTCATTCTTTGTGATTATATCTTTACAAGAAGTCCTGGGATAAAGCAGGCATGGAAGAGCTGTTTTTCTGAGTGAATACATAATATTAATAAGAGTAAACATTTCATACAGTGAGAGCAGCCAGCTGGTGGCACAGGCTCTGGTGGGCACTGGGGGTGGGCAGCAGTTTCCCCTCCAGGACAGAGGATGCATTCCCCACGGTCCTCAGCCGTCAGGTGCCTCCCATGTCCCTGCTGTGGAGAGCTGCCTGGCCCCCAAGGTCATGGCCTTCCTGGGGCAGCCTCCACTCCCGACAGCATGTGAAAAGCCCAGCCCCTCAGCCTAATTCAGAACAACTCAACACCATCCCAGCTCCCCGTGTCGGTGGGAATTGTCCCTCTTGAGGCTGTGTCTCAGCCCGGCTTTTACCTTCTCTCTAAAATTGATCCCAAGAGAGCTCCCTTCATGTAAATAAGCCCTGACATGCTGATCTTCACCTTGAAGTCAGCTTTGAATGGAGTCTAATCTGTGACACAGGCTTCCACTAATTTGCAGGAGAATCAGGAGAAAACCAGATTTTTCTGCAAAAAAATAAAAAGCACAATGATTTCAACTGATAGGATGACTTGGTTGCCCTGTAGGGAGTGGGATGGGGACAAGGGAAATCAGACGAATAAAGCGAGGGTCTCTCAGGTGTGTTCAGTAGAAGAAGGAGATAGCAAAGCTACACCCAGGCTTCACAAAACCCTGTGCCATAAGCACTAACATCACCACTTCATAAACTGGGCCCAGTCAGACTAGAAAAGCTTCTACAGTCATTTTGCCTGTGAGCTGCAGAGTCACAAAGAGGCCTTGTTCCAAGACATTATCTCCAGTTAATCAGTAGTAAAGGTGTTGTTTATGTGATCTCAGCCGTGTGATCCTCAGAACTTCAAGTTAGGGCAAAGGAGGTCAAGACAGAGTGATTGTATTCTCTTATTTTTGTGTTTTTGGAGACGGGGTCTCACTCTGTCACCCAGACTGGAGTTCAGGGTGTGATCACAGCACACTGCAGCCTCTTACTCCTGGACTCGAGATCCTTCTACCTCAGCCTCTAGAGTAGCTGGGACTATAGGCACACAACACCATGACTATTAAAAAAAATGTGTAGAGATGTGGTCTTGCTATGTTGCCCAGGCTGGCCTTTAACTCCTGAACTCAAGCAATCTGCCCACCTTGGCCTCCCAAAGTGTCAGGGTGGACTGCAAATCACCAGGAGCTCCACCCTCAGCAGGACAGGAGAGCTTCTTGGGCAGGACTAAGTGGCCTCTTTAGAGTACACCCACTTCTCCACAGAGAGAGCACCAACGCAGACCCTAAGGAAGCTGCAGGTGCAGCTGATGGCAATCAGGGCATCGCTACCTGCAGAAAAGCTTTTAGGCTGGCTTCCAAGAGGGCCGCTGGAGTGACGGTCATTCTCTTCTTAAATTCACCCTTGTCTAGGTTCTGAGTTTGTTAATACGCGAGAGAGCGTATCCATTTCTCAGTGGTAGACACAACTTAACCAAGAGTGCGATACTCATGTGTAAAGCCGAATTTGCAATAAGCCCACACCATCCACCAGTCTTTCACTGCCTTCAGTCTGAATGGAAAGCCACTCTGCTCATGAGAAGTCATTTCAACATGCTAAAGTGAAGACTCACTGTCCCAGAGGCTGGGTGGAAAGCCATTCTGCTCATGATGAGAAGTCGTTTCAACATATTAAAGTGAAGTCTTTCTCTAACATAAAAAGTTGCTTGCACAAATGCGTTATTGAGCATTGCCACAGAGGTTGTGGGAAAGTCAGAGACGTCATCTAGAGCTTTTCACTGGTACAAACCCCAGCTGGACTTGCTCTTCCCCACACCTTACATCTTTGTGGTCGACAGCTCCACAAAACTTCTAAATCTCTCTGACTCTGTTTCCCTTTTCTGGGACCTCTCAGCATCTCCCCCTCTTTTTCAGAATATCGTCGTTCTGTCGTAGCTCTTGCAAATAGCAATCCCCTCCTCCAATTAATATTTCATTGTGTATAAAACACACTATTTCCTTAAATTGGGGTTCAGCCACTATAGATATCACCTGTTACAATGCTTTCGGCCTTGCAGGCTCTAGATTCTAGAATATTAACACTCACGGGATAAATTCTTGGGGTTCTTAGCCACAGTAAGAATGGCTTCATCAAACGGATTGGAATACTAAAAAAAAAATCCTAGCTTAGGCTTCCTCAGCTCTGGAAAATATTATACTTTAACGTCCGTGGCCCCGTGAGCCTCTGGCCGCCCCCTCCAGGACTCAGTGCTGGCAGCCTCTTTCTGCATGAATGCAGCATTTCCTAGTGTGCAGTGGATCAACTTGGGGTGAATTGTGGCAGTCTTGGGAGACATCTTGTGTTTTAAGATTATTTGTCCATCTTTTCTCTCAGGTGTTGATTTCATAATTTAACCTTTACAAGGTGATGGCATTTTCCTCATCATCAAGTTCTGGTGAGGCTTCACATGGTAACCACCTAACTGCAATGCCTTTGAGCCAATAACAATCAAGGCCAACAATAGCAAGCTGGTTTAAGAAAAAAATCAGTGCAATCCCTGATTATAGGCTGTCTGGGCAGAGGCAGATTTATAAAACGTGGAAAGCGTGATCTTACTCAGAATTGACAGTACCAGCCAGCCTTCCTTTTGCCATGATTCCTGTGTTTTATTTAGAAGGGGCTGGCGCACAGACCCATTCTGAGACCCTGATGACAGCTGAGGACTCTCTCCTGGGAAAAAAGCACAAGCTCCCTCTGCTGCCTCCACATGGACACACACACACAAACATATACACTCACACACATACACACAGAGATACACACATACCTCCAGTGCACACTCATGCATCCACAGGCACTCATACACACTCACACACACACACACACAGAGACACAAACATACATATAGAGATACACACATACCAACATCACACATCCACATCCACAGGCACTCTAACACACACACACAGACACATATATACAAATACACACAGAGACACATATATACATACAATACACACTCACACGTATCCACAGACACTGTCACACACAGATACACACACATACCCAGAGACACACACAAACATGCACATACACACAGAGATACACACATACCAACAACACACACACACATCCCCACGCATTCTAACACACATACACTCACACAGACACACACATATATACATATACACGCAGAGACACATATATACATACAACACACACACATATCCACAGACACACACACACACAGACACACTGATATACACAGATACACACATACAACATACACATGTATCCACAGGCACTCACACACATACACTCTCACACACTCATACACACACACCCCTATACACAGAGATACACACATACCTACAACACACACTCACATGTATCTGCAGGCACTCTAACACATAAATACACAGACACACACATATTTACATATACACACAGACACATACATACATATAACACACACAGGTATCCACAGGCACACATGGGCACACGCACATATACATGGAGACACACACTTGTACAATGCATGTTCACACACATTCACAGGCACTCACACACACACACACACACACATTACTGCAGGTACCTTCACGGGCTCACGAACCCCTTTGGTCTGTCCAGGAATCACAGCGTTCAGAACCCCTGCTGGGAATGAGGGCAGGTAACCTGAAAAGTGATGCCCAGGGCACCTGCTTAGTGACCTAGGGTCGCCCATCCCACAAGCACTGAGTGCTCACCGCCTAGGAGGCAGCATGAGAGGTATAAGCAGGACTGTCCAGGTCACTGACTGTGGGATTTACTCCTGTGAGTGTGTGTGTGTGTGTGTGTGTGTGTGTGTATAAAAAATATATATAATATAAAAATATAATATATATATAAAATATATATATAAAATATATATAAATATATAATTTATATACATTTAAAGTCAAGGTCATAACTGGCAAGTGCAGGAGTTATGAAACTTTTGAAACTCTTTAGTTTCAAGAGCTTATGATGTATAAATAGTACACGACAGAAACAATGTCACATTCAGTCTCAATTATAGATGTTTCATTTTTTAGTATATTTTTAGAATTTGAGGATTAGGAAACAGATGGGCAGATTTTAAAGCTTTTTGGAGGAGATGATTTAGTTATCAGAACATAACTAGTAAATTAGTAATGGGAACATTCTGTGTGACATGAGCTAAACCTATTTTTTTGAATTTTAACTGCAGTTCTAAGGGGGCCCACCCCTTCCATTTCTTATGAACGTCTGGATGGTTGCTGGCTCTGGTGCTGCGCAGCTGCAATGGGGGGCGGGTGGAAGCAGAGGTAAAATCCCTTACACAGGCCCGGCACGGTGGCTCACGCCTGTAATAGCAGACCTTTGGGAAGCTGAGGCAGGTGGATCACGAGGTCAGGAGTTCAAGACCAGCATGGCCAAGATGGTGAAATCCCGTCTCTACTAAAAATGCAAAAATTAGTTGGGAGTGGTGAGCAGGTGCCTGCAATTCCAGCTACTCAGGAGGCGGAGGCAGGAGAATCACTTGAACCCGGGAGGCGGAGTTGCAGTGAGCTGAGATCATGCCACTGCACTCCAGCCTGGGCGACAGAGTAAGACTCTGTCTCAAAACAAAGCAAAACAAAAAATACACCTCACATATGCAGCTTCCCCCTCCCAATATCTGGTCAGGCTTGATGCTTTATCCATGGACAATTCAGACTCAGTGCGCATTATGTATTATTTGAAATCGATGTAATGACATCTGTGCTTATTGGCTGAAGTACACGAATCTTTCATGAGTAAAAATAGCTCTTCCCTATTCCACTCTCGCAATGGGAAAAAGGTGCCCCTCCTACCCTCAGGTAGTTGGCCGTTGGCCTCTCACCTGCACCCAGACCTCTCAGGCCCTCACGGCCCAGCCTGCAGCAAATGTTGGCAAAGACTGTAAATGTGTTTTCTCCAGCGAGATTTTGTTATATAATCTCTTCATTACTTTCGCGCATGAACTATAAACCACTTGTAATCAACTATGTGCTGCGAACAGTCAGTGATATTGTTTCCTTTCAGTCATTAAGAAACATGTGAGATATTATCATGCTGTATATAGAGCCCTGGAGAATTTGAATTAATTCTCTTGCATTTTTCTTCCCACCATGAGACTTAGAGCATCATCTCTTAAGTGGTTGCTTTCTGTTTTCAGATGTGTATCTGAACAATTATTTTTTTCAATTTCTCTAGAGACCAAAACAAGGTTTTGAAGATCCTACAGAGGGGATGATGTTAGTACCTGCAACCCTTGCTGCAATTCTGCAAAGAATTGGGCACTAGGAATTCTTTTCCACAGTCTTACCACATTCACACAATTCTCATTTTGCACAAGTTTTCATAATGCAAGTAAAATTAAAAGGTCCATTAGAGCATAGGGTGTGCATTGCAGAGATGGCGATGGTTTGCAATGCGGCCTCGTAACATGTGATGAGGTGTTGGAGCTAAGAAGTTGCTGCTCCTTAAAACAGGAGTCAGAGTCATTCTGTTTGAGTGCTCACTGTGAACTGAGGAACGGATTATTTGTGAAGGTGGACTTTATGCATCAGAATGTGAGCTGTCTTGGTGCATGTTCCCTGTACACTTGAGAGGATAGGAAGGACGTGTATTCTGCTGTTGCTGGATGGCATATTCTATATGGCATATTCTGGATGGCAGAGTCTATATGGATATTCTCGATGGCATATTCTGCTGTTGCAGGATGGCATATTCTATAAATGTCAATTACATCAAGTTGATTGACTGATAGTTTGGGTCATCTATATCTTTACTGATTTTGTTCCATATAATGCTGGAAGTCTAGCCAGAGCAATTAGGCAAGAGAAAGACATAAAGGGTATCCAAATTGGAGAGGAAGAAGTCAAATTAGCCTTGTTTACAGACCACGTGATCTTATATTTAGAAGAACTTAAAGATTCCACCCAAATAAAGCCTGTTAGAACTGATAAGCATATGACACAAAACCAGAATCAATAAATTTCTAGGCCACCAAACGAACTTTTCAACCCGTGTTGCAGCTCCGATGCAGAAAGGGCACAGAGGTAGACACTCCCTGCATGACAACAAGAGAAGGTGGGAAACTGAGATCAATGACTTTCCTTACACCCATCAAACAGCCGAGCTTGCAAAACAAACTGCCACCCCAAATCTGAAGAAACAGGAGGATCCAACTAAATGTGGCACCAGAGGTTTGCTTCCCTGGAGTGGAAGTCCCTGAATGGTGCGTGGTAGGACCTCATGCTGGGCTGTGGCTTTGACGAAGGTCTCAGGCTGGAGAATGGATTAGCGGAGAGCAAATGGCTCCTCCGGGCTGCGCCATGGGTGGCCTGGGGCTCACATTCAGGGGCTCACCTTGCAGAAACCCCACCAGGTTCTCACATCAAGGACCCAGGAAAAAGCCCCTCATGACTGTGAGAGAGGGAGGGGAGAGATACCCTTCTATGTATCACAGACCTACCCTCCAAGGGAGACTCACCCATCTAGAGGACACGCAGAAACAGCACCCTCCTGGAGAAAGGGCCCCACTCAGCCTGCCCTGGCCTTGCTGGAGGTGGGGCTTTTCGGGAAAAGAACGAGGAGGCTGAAGACAGGAAAGCCAGCGGGTGGGGAGGCTGGGACCCTGGGGGAGGGGTGGGAACATTGTGAAGGCCACACCCCAAGCCCTGGGGCCCTGTATTGGGTCTTTGTTGCATTGCTATAAAGAAATACCTGAGACTGGGTGATTTATAAAGGAGAGAAATTCGACTGGCTCATGGTTCTGCAGGCCGTACAGGAAGCCTGGTGCTGGCAGATCTGCTTCTAGGGAGTTCTCAGGAAGCTTCTGGTCATGGTGGAAGGCAATGCGGAGCCAGCGAGTCACATGATGAGACCCCGAGCAAGAAAGAGAGGCCGGGAGGTGCCACACTCTACAACAACCAGGTAAGACGGCACCAAGCCATGAGGGATCCATCCTCGTGACCCAAACGCCTCCCTCCAGGCCCCACCTCCAGCACTGGGGATCACAATTTCACATGAGATTTTGGTGGGACATATATCCAAACCATATCAGGACCTAAGAGATGGAGACTTCATCAGAAAAGGATACACCCCTTCTGCCCGCCCCAGCCCCCACCTTACGGTGACACCAGCACGTTCAGTCTAACAGCAGCAGAGTCCAGCTGAAGGCGCTGCCGGTGGCACCTCTCAAAACAAGGAAAGGGTAACCTGTTACCTTGAGGGCTGGCATTGTTCCAGAGGTGGGGGTCCTGCCTCCCAGGCCACCCTGCCGAGCAGAGGTTGCAGCTGGCCCTGGGGACACGCACATGCGTGAAGAATAAGCCTGCATGTGGCATGCCGCCGACATGGGGGCATCTTTAATATTTTGTCTAATAATGTATAAAAACTCCTTTACTACTGACACTCCTGCAGAAAAGGAGAAACTTATTACTGTGACTTAGAAACATGTTGGGTAAAACGTTATCCACCGAATCATTTTTATGAGTTGATCTTGAGAGCACTGAGTGTCTTAGAAAGAGAACTCTGGCAGAGAAGAACTACTATACTGGAGAGCGATGAAAAAAATCTGTTTCAAAATGTTCTTACACTTGGTTTCTGCATTGGTTCATACACTGTTTCTTTTAGGTCAGAAACTTCCGTGCGTCATCTTGAAATAAAGGTTTAGATTCCACGGCATTTTCATATTTTAATAAATATCAGTGACGTACAAGAACTGAGCATGGATAATTAAAACACATTTCACTTTTACTTTTTACTGAAATATTATATATTGCCAAAAACATAAATATTGTAAGTTTATAGCTCAATGATTCAATGATTTCTTTTTTTAACAGAACGTGCCTGTGTAATCAGAACCCAGAAAAGGGAAAAGAGCATTCTTCACCACACAGAAGTCCTGGTGACAGTCTTTCTAGTTATCGGCCCACTGCAAGGGTAACCCTATCCAAACTGCGTTGATTAGGTTTTCATATTTCATAGAAATGGATTCATACACTACTTGCTCTTTTGTGTCTGGATTTTTCATCATGCAACATTATTTCTGTGAGTTTAATCTGTGTTGTTATATGTACCCGTAGTTTTCTTTCTTCTTTTCTAATGCTGTGTACTTTTTTTTTTTTTTTTTTGATATGGAGCCTCGCTCTGTTCCCCAGGCTGGAGTGCAATTGCTCAGTCTCGGCTCACTGCAACCTCCGCCTCCCAGTTTCTAGCAATTCTCTGACTCAGCCTCCTGAGTAGCTGGAATTACAGGCGCCCGCCACACGCCCGGCTAATTTTTGTAGTTTTAGTAGAGATGGGATTTCACCTTCTTGGCCAGGCTGGTCTTGAACTCCTGACCTCGTGATCCACCCGCCCCGGCCCTCCAAAGTGCTGGGATTACAGGCATGAGGCTGTGTAGTATTTTACTTTGTGCTAATTATAATTTACTTATTCTACTGGTGATGGACATTTAGGTAGTTCCAGTTCTATTTTTTGAGTTACTACAAAAGAGTGCTATTGTGAACATTATTGTATGTGACTTTTGGTGAACATATGTAGGCATCTTCACTGGTTATGTGCCTAAGCATCTAATGTTGGCCACAGGGCATTCAGATATTCAACTTTAGTATATGCAGGCAAACAATTCTACAAAGAACTTGCATCAGTTTAAACTCTCCCAGCAGTGCATGAGAATTCCAGTTTCTCCATATGCCTGCCGACACTTGAAGTTCTTTGACTTTTTTATTTTGGCCATTCTTATGAGTGTATAGTGGTGTCACTTTATGGATTTAATTTACATTTTCTTTTTAAAAATTCTGGTTGACAAATAATAATCATATATATTTATGGGATACGCTATGTGTTTTGTTATATGTATCCACTGTAGAAAGAGTAAAGCAAGCCAATTAACATACCTATCACCTCACTTATCATTTTTTGTGATGAGTGTGTTTAGAAGCTACCCTTTAGCCATCTTGTAAAATGCAATACATTTTTATTAACTATGGTCAGCACGCTGTGCAATAGATTACAAAAACATATTCCTCTTTCCTCTTTGTCTAAGAGAAACTTGGTGCCCTTTGGCTAACCATTCCCCTTCTCCTGCCCTTGAAGATGGATAAAGCTGTGCACCTTTTAATATTTCATTGACCATTTGTTGTCATCTTTTTTGAAGTCAGTTCAGTTTTTAAAAATTCATTTTTCTCATATTTATCTATTTTTCCTCATTCAGTTAAGGGGTATCTCATGTATTTACGATACAAATCCTTTTCTGGAAATGTGTATTGCAAACATATTCTCCTACACTTGGTTACTTTTTCAGTCACTTTTTCATTTGTTGTTTTGCTGGCAGTGTTGTCTAAATTCTCGCCACTATCACTCTTTTGAAATTACTACAGCTTTATAGTAAGTCTTGATATCCCTTTTATAAAATTGAGCAAGATTTATTCTGAGATATACTCACAAGAGTGGGGGTGTTTGACATAAGGCATATTCATATATACTTTCTCCAATACATCATATGGTTCTTCAGAATATCTATAGGAATTGTTGCATTATCAACATTCTACTCCTAGAATGAGACTTTTATCTTATTAGTACTGTTTCTTCTAGGCAATGGGTAATCTGGGACTGCAAATATTTTAAAAAAAATTAAAGACAAACACATAAAGATTGTGTACCATTCGTATGGATTGATGAGTTTTTCATACCATCTGTCTCATCTTTATTCTCTGGGACACTGACAATTTTATCCTGTTTCCCAGAACAGGAGAAGCATCGCACCTGTAGTCATTCCTAGGAGTGGGGCTTAAGATGATGCTTTTCCGTTTTAAAACAAGTAGCAGCAATACCCCCTAGGAGGCCAACTATGCTTTCATTCATCTATTTGTTAACGTAGCAAGTATTTATTAAACATCTGCTGTTGCCAATACATCAGTGAACAAAATGAGTAACATCTCTGCCCTCCATGGAGCTCACTTGTAGTAGTTGGAGACAAGCAATAACAATGAATATTAATTAATTACACATTTTGAAGCAGGAGCTAACAAATTTGATGAAAGATAGGATACAGAAGATGAGGAAAAGAGGATTCAACGATGAGGCTATGGTGACTGGTCTGATGATGCAGCTGCCATTGACTGATATGGGGAAAATGAGAGGAAAAGCAAATTTGGATTTCAAGTGTTTATGTAGAGATGCCTGCTAGACAGCAGATAAAACACTTTGAGTAGATACACGGATGTGTGAGACCGGAGTCCAGGAGGGTGTTGTGGGGAGGAGACGCACCTTTGTGAGCACCATGCTGTAGACCTATTCAGAGCCGTGGACCTCATGCTATCAACAGAGGAGTGAGGGTATCGAGAGAAGACGATAAATTCAGAACACATGCTCTGGGGCACTGCAAACTTTACAATATGGAGAGATAAAGAAAAACCAGCAAAAATAATTGAGAATCAGGAACGAGTGAGGTAAGAGAAAATCAAGGAGACTGTTGCATCCCGGAAACCAAATAGAAAAGTGTTTCCAGGAGGATGTGATTGGCTCAGAAAAAGCCACTGAGATAACAATAAGCAGGACGTATCATTGGGTTGAGAGGATGACTTGTAAACTCCATGAAGGCAGTGCAATTCCGAAGACAAGGGAAGAGAACTGGAGAAAGTGGGTTAGAAAACTCTCAGGGGTGACACTTTTCTTGAGGAAAAGCATAGAAAAAATGATGACATCTGCAGGGGTTATAGAATCAAAAGGATTTTTGAGAAGGTGGAAAAAGTTAAACGACATTTGTAAGCTGATGCACACGACCCAGGATAAAGGGAAAACAGGTGAGGCCCATGGGAAGGCAGAGTTTCTGGAAGAAAGTCCTTGTGTTCTAGCGCCCACATGAGGGAGTTGAATTTAAATGGGTGCATGACTGCGTCCTAAAGAATGAAAAGAGAGAAAGCGAGAATAAGGTAACAGCTGCAGATGAGTCAATTGGACAGTGGGAGATTGAAGATGTTTTCGAGTGTATGAACCAATCTTTTTTTTTTTTTTTTTTTTTTGTGATAGAGTCTCCCTCTTGTTGCACAGGCTGGAGTGCAGTGGTGCAATCTTGGCTCCCTGCAACTGCGCCTCCCAAGTTCAAGCGATTCTCTTGCCTCAGCCTCCTGAGTAGCTGGGATTACAGACGCCTGCCACCAAGCCCAGCTAATTTTTGTACTTTTAGTAGAGACTGGGTTTTGTCAATTTTCTTAATAAAATACCAGCTACAGGAACCAGCTGAGAGTGACAATGAGGAAAGAGGTGTTGGAAGTAGATAGTCTTCAAATGCGGGCGATTTTGCTCCCCTTGGGACATTGGGCAGTGTCTGGAGACATTTGTGGTTGTACAACTTGGGGAAGAAAAAATGATACTGGCCTTGGGTGAGCAGAGGCCAGAGATGCGTTTCAATATCCCACAACGCACAGGGCAGCCCGCACAGCAGGGCCCCTGGGACAAAGTGCCAACAACGCCGAGGTGGGGAGGCCACACTACGAAAGAGTGATGGAGTGTCGTGTGTTGCCATACAATGCTGAGGGCACATCTGAAATCGGTGATCAGAGATTGAAGTGAGTTCACTTAGCCAGGCGACATGCTTTTCTCCTGATTTGTTTAGCAATGCGAAAGTCGTGTAGAGCAATAGAGTTGGGGCCCGGACAGCGGGAAGGAGGTAAAAAGGCCATGGGTGGAGTTGAGCATCTGAGCGAGGGAATGACGGCCATGGCAAGTCAGCTGGGGATGGAGGGAAGTGAGGATGGCGGAGGGAGGGGGCAGCGCAAAGGTTTTAGGATAAACTGTGGGGCTCAGGGGACCAAATCACTAAGGAAGCCGGGGCACTGGACACACCGAGGTGTGGAGTATTTACTGGGATGTAGTTTTTAGCAACTCCATCGTCATGGGAACCAGTGGTGGAGTTAGCCTAGGGGAAAGGCTGTCAAAAGAGAATAAATAAAAAATGCCAGGATTTTGGAAGGATCATGTACATTGACGTGAAAATCACAGATTATGGCAGAAATGGTGTGGGGAGTGGCAGTGACAGGAGCTCATTCTAGGATTGGCAGAGACCTGGCCTGGGAGCAGCAGACAATTACCATGAGAAAGCGGGGGAGGTGGGTATGACGGTTAACCTTGAGGGTCTTCAGAACAGAGAAAAGCTGTAACATCTAGAAGTGGAAAAAGGGGCTATGAGGACCTCTACTCCTCCTACCGGCTCGAGAGCACCAGGGTAGGGGGAGAGGGACAGTGAGGACCCTTACTGCATCCACCCCTGGCGAAGGCAATGAAGCAGCTGTCTTGGGGAAGACCCTGCTTCACTTATAGCAAGAAAGTGCAGGGCGTTTAGAGAGAAATGTCATGAGGTAGGATATTGCTGTGGATGATGTGGTCTGCCGAGGACACAACGGACAGGCCTAGGAACCAGGAACGTTGGGCAGAGGCATGAGAAAGGGAGGTGCTTGGATGGTTTGGGGAGGCGAGTCTGGGGAATGAGGAATCGGGACTCCCGAGCTTCTTGGAGAGTTCTATCAACAGGACTACACAGTAAAATACAATTATTCCAGAGGGACTCAAGGCAAGTGGTGCTGGTGAAGCACTGAGGGAGGTGGGGAACTAGAGGAGGGGTCTTTCCTGGAGTATTCGGAGGTCTGGGGTTACTCACTTCCTTATTCCTGCCGTTGGTGTGGAAGCAGGTGTATGATGGTCCTGTCCCAAGCATCTAGCACTGAGCTGTGTAGACCTGGGGTTTCTCCCTTAGTTAATGGGCCATTTTGGTTGAGGTTTGTGAATCTCTGCAAAGCAGAGCTGCATGAACATTTGGTGTTCTAACTCTAACACCAGAAAACAAGGGAGAAAGTGAATATCTCTATTAGAGGCATTGTAAACACGGGCAAGAAATGCCACATTTGAGTTGAGTCTGCTGACATTTATTTCAGATGTAAGTATTCCCAGCAGGCTCAAAACAGGCCGATGAATCTTTCACCTGCTTCATTAACCTGAGAGGGGCATCAGAATGATCTAACAAAACAACTGCACAATGAGAAATATTTTCTTCATAGTGATTGAAAATGGAGGATGTCCCTTAGTCCAGGTGGGTTCAGCTGGGACAGTAGTTGGCTGTGCACCAGGAGCACGTTCCACACTCTTGGCTGTCTGTTTCTCACAACAAGAAGTCTAAGCCTAGGAGTCATTGATTTGTGGCTTTCCAATTAGACTGCCTAAGTTCAGAATGTTTAACCACAGGTGCATCAGACTTTTTTTTTTTTTCTTAAATACAGTGTCTTGTTCTGTCACTCAGGCTGGAGTATAGTAGTGAAATCTCAGCTCACTGCAGCCTTGACCTCCTGGGCTGAAGCAATCCTTGTGCCTCAGCCTCCTGAGTAGTTGGGACCACAGGTGTGAGCCATGACATTTGGCTTTCAAAAAATTTCTTTATAGAGATGAGGGTCTCACGATGTTGCCCAAGCTGGTCTGGAACTTCTGGGTTTAAGCAATCCTTTCACCTCAGCCTCCCAAAGTGCTGGGATTATAGGCCTGAGTCACTGCACCAGCCAGACATAAATTTCTTATCCGGATTTGATGGCCTTAGCAGCTCTAAATAAAAATAAAATTGTAAATATTGGTTTGTTGTTCTTCCTAGGGAGCCAATATCTTCATGTAATGCTCTGAGTGCTGTGAGATGCTCCCTGAGTACACAACAGCCATTTCTACCACCTCTTCTCATGTCCAGTCATGCAAGTCTCCAAAGACAAGGTCACTAGTTGCCTGTGGCTGCTGTGACAAACACCACAACCTGGGGAGTTTAAAACCCCAGAAATCCATGCTGTCGCGGTTCTGGAACCAGAGATCTAAAGTGCAGGGTCAGCAGGGCTGTGTTCGCTCTGAAGGGTCTTGGGAAGGACTTCGTCTCATAGCTGCCGGTGGCTCCCGGCAATCTATGCTTTTCCTTGCTTGCAGCCACATCCCCCAACCTCTGCCAGCCTTCACATGTGTTTTCCACTTTTTAAATTTTTTATAAGGACACCAGTCGGATTGGATTTAGGGCCCATCATAGTCCAGTGTGAACTCACTTAGCTGCAAAGACCCTGTTTCTAAATAAGGTCACATTCCGAGGTTCCAGTGGTACCTGGATTTTTGTGGGACACTATGTGATCCAGCACAGACAGTTTCAATTGATGCCATTATTTAAGTCATTCAAGATCCCAAAGAGAAGCTCAGTTTCTTTCTCTCCATTTTGAAGTCTTGGAATTTCCTTCCATTTTATTTTAATGTCCACTCATGTATTTTTCCTGCCCTCCTCAGCAACCTGGAGCTGTGCGGACTGAGACTGAGATGCATCGCTGAAACTCTCTTTAGGTGTTCCCTACCATTTCTTCTTGGAAAAGAAGGTTTTACCTCCTGGGATTTTTGAGAACCTCTAACTTCTCCATTGGGGACCATCTCCAGGTACCACCAAAAAAGAGCACAACAGCAGCCTTGCGGATAAGTCCTGGTCTGGAGTCAGCCACCGCTGCACACACCACTCAGAGCTGCATCATCGGGTTACCCCTGGAAAGGCTGCCCACACACCCACATCCAGGGGTGTCTCGTCACTGCTGACGACTAGCACGGTGAATGTTCTGCTTCGTGGAGAGACTATCAGAGCTGGAATATCCATAGGCTTATAATCTTCATGAATACTTCCTCTCTCAATTGCCGTGAAATAATATGGCTCCTCAGTCCATGAAGCTGGCATCAATAACTGAAATAGGCTCGGAAAAGTCCGGGCAAGAGGCAAGGAAGACACTAAGCCTTGAATGTTTACTTGCATGCTACCTTTACCCTCACCTGCAAGGTCAGGGGCATCCAGAGGCCTGGTTTTCTTCTGGCTTCCCTTGTGGTCATTTTGTCCCACCAGAGCTGAAACCCTTCCCTGCTTTCCCCAGAGCCAGGCAGTAAGGGCACACCTGCATTGGCTCCATGTTACTCAGGGGGATCCAGCGTTATTTCCCCGCAGCTCAGGTGGCAAGGGTAAAATCGCTTCTAAATATTTGTTCTCGCTTGTGATTTTATATTTGTCATATGCTCAACAGAGCCTGGATGGATCCAGTTCTAATTTCTTTTACTTTTTTTTTTTTTGAGACAGAGTCTTGCTCTGTTGCCCAAGCTGGAGTGCAGTGGCACCATCTCGGCTCACTGCAACCTCTGCCTCCCAGGTTCAAGCGAGTCTTCTGCCTCAGCCTCCAGAGTAGCTGGGACTACAGGCGCCTGCCACCACGCCTGGCTAATTTTTGTATTTTTAGTAGAGATGGGGTTTCACTACGTTGGCCAGGCTGGTCTCAAACTCCTGACCTCATGATCCATCTGCCTCGGCCTCCCAAAGTGCTGGGATTACAGGCGTGAGCCACCGCGCCTGGCCTCTTTTACGTTTTTAAAGGTTAAAAATATAATATGCATTCTGAAAAGTTTATACATCATAAAGTGTAGAGCTCGATGAAATGTATGAACTGAAGACAACCATGCAACCAACATCCAGATCAAGACCCTGGAATCCCCTCAAGCCCCTTCCAGTCACAGCCACCCCCGTGTGTGGCCATATCTTAATTTCCAAGAGCTTTCTGCCCATTTCTGTACTTTATGTAGTTAGAGTCATGCAACATGCGCTTTGTCTATGTCTGGCCTCTTGAGCATAGCATCACCTTCATGAGATGCACCTGCATAATCGTTTACACTGTGGGCTGCTCGTTCTCATTGCTGCAGAGTTTTATTCCATTGTGTCAGTATGCAACACTGGTTTTTTAATGATCTTAAAGCAGCTTCACCTAACAATGTGTGGCATTATGTGGAAACCTCACATACTGTTCTCATGTGTGATTTTCCATAAACACAGATTCATCTAGTTAGTTCTTCTCACTAGTCACATTCTCACATAGTGCTAAAAGTTAGCAGGAGTTGCTGACATTTCATGGAGCACAATAAAAAATCGGCTCTGCTTCCTTATGTCTATTTGGGAGTGTGCATATCACATGTTTGCAATGGCGAATTCCTGTTTTGCAAAGCATTGTTATTGCAGCCTCAACCAGTCTTAAGAGGTGTCAGCAAAAGAATAGACATTGCAAGCTTCCTTGATAATCTCTAAAGTGAACAAAGTCATTCTCTAAAGATCTTTGAAAAAAAAATTTAGTCATTTAATTTTATGACTAGAGGACCACCTAACATATAATCCAAAAATACATAAATTAAATTCCCATAGACAAAACCACAAAGATTAACAAAAATGTGCTAGCTTTGAGTTCTCCATTCAAACTCTGCCTTAACCTTTTATAGCCTAGGAAGTTCCTGAAGATAAAGCTATTTGGATTCATTTACCTGGGATTTTCTTATAGGGGCAGCAAATTTCACGGAAGGGCAGATAGTAAATATTTTCGGCTTTCTGGATGCTGAGAAACCAGGTCCTCTAAACTTTGAGCAAATCTTCTCCATCAAAGATGAATAGCTTTGTTCTATTTTGTTTATATTTTACATAGCTTGGGGACGGTACCAAAGAGGCAGAAGATGGAATTGTTCTGTGGTTCCACTTCACTGAGCCTGCTGGAGGATGATGGTTAGAAGGATTCCCTCCCTCTGTGGCTTCTGGGGTGTTTTAACCCAAACTGACATTCATTACAGCAGCATCAGGAACCGTCTGCCGAACCCTGGGGTGGCGGGTGGGGTGGGGAGGCAGTGGCTGTTGCTGATAGGGATCAAGAGTGAGGCTGAACACCTGTTTCTCCATTCTGCTCTCCCTCTAGGAACCTGAAAGCTCAGCATGAGATGAAGTGGCTGGAGGCACGTGAGTCCTGCACTGATAGAGGCCGGTTCTGTCAAGCCTCACCTGGATGATGTGTGTGACTCTTCCCATAGAAAGGAGCAGGCTCTCTCATGAAGCCTCCATTCTAGCATTTTGTGATCATCTATGACCTTAGAGGGGTCCTCTATAACCCTGAGTCCCAAACAGGTGAATACAGAGTGGGCTCACACTTATTTCTCCATTATTCCTGTGTTCTTTCAGGAGGCTGACCATCAAACCTACTTAGAAGTCAGACCTTGAATGTAAGTACATGTTGTTCATTATCTATATCTTTTGCATGACAGAATGTCAGTTATAGGATAAATAACAGAGGGTAGGCTGTGTACCAAGTCATGGTGACAACAATACAAAGCAAGGCTGGGCGCGGTGGCTCATGCCTGTAATCCCAGCACTTTGGGAGGCTGAGGAGGGTGGTTCACGAGGTCAGGAGTTCGAGACCAGCCTGGCCAACATGGCGGAACCCCATGTCTACTAAAAATAGAAAAATTAGCCAGGCGTGGGTCACATGACTGTAGTCCCAGCTACTCAGGAGGCTGAGGCAGGGGAATTGCTTGAACTTGGGAGGCTAAGATTGCAGTGAGCCGAGATTGCACCACTGCACTCCAGCCTGGGTGACAAAGCGAGATTCCATCTAAAATTAATAATAATAATAATAATAATAATAATAATAATAATAATGCAAAGCAAGTGCTGAGTGTCAAGTGATGTAATTTTTGAGACAGTCATGATCCTGATTTCTCAGTGTCCTTTTTGTTTCCAGGATTACAATATGAACCACTGATTTCACCATTACTAATAAATATAATTATATATTCATGTTCATAAATTCTAGACCATTAGAGAGATTCTAGAACATTAGGTACATGGTATTCACTTGGAAATATTTCTAGAAAGAAGTTTAATAATAGTAATTACTTGAATTTGTAACTTTTAATCTTCAAAAAATAAGAAATGTAATGCTGAAAGAAAGAGTCCCTGTGGAAAGTAAGCCAAGAGATTCTAGTGCTGCTTTGAATTGTGTTTGCAGAAAATTGTCCAGATGATACATTTCTGTCTTATAATAATTTGTAATGACTCATAATTTGTGCGATTTATTTGACTTTTCTTTTTACCAGGCTAGGTTTTTGATAATGGCCATTATTCAGCTCATAAAATGTGCTCTGTGACTGACTTCTTTGTTGGATGCTGAGTAATATTTTACATAACACCTGAATTTCTTTTTTAGTATGATTGACTTTAGCAATGAATATATTGTAATGCTTTGGATAAATCATAAGTTTCTCAATTTCGTGTTATTACTCTATATTTTTATTTTTTATATTTAATTCAATTCTTAATTTTATAGTTTATCACTTTTAGTGATTCAATATTTTGGTGAATTTTTAAGTATCCTCTCATATTGTTCAGAGGCTGAATATGATCTCAGAAGGAGGCAGAACCAGCAGGAATGGGGGGCGTCGTCCACTCGGAGTCATTCCGCGGGGCTCCCTGCCTCGTTCTTTCTCTTTGTCCTTGTTACGTAAAATGTCTTTCACTCTCAACCTGATTTTTATTCTATAAGTATAAGCTTGGTTTCCGTCATTAAATGCATGACATGTGGTGTTGGTTTACAATGTTTGATGCTGTACTCTGTCTGCGGCTCCATGTGATCTTTTTGAATGACCATAGACATGCCTAATGCTGCCTTCATACTCTATACAGACATTCAGTGAACCTCTATTAAATCAATAAATGTCGAGTGATGTTACCATACCCTTCCTGGGTACCACTTCCAGTCAAGGGTGCTTGCCCATATTATTAGGTTGGACAAAACTGTGCAACAGTAATTGTGGTTTTTGCCATTATTTATTTATCCTTAATATATTTATGCAAATTCCCTTAATTATTTTATAACTTTGAAAGTATTAAAACAACATGATTAAAATGCCCCACAAAATTTGTATCATTGTTAAATTTCTGCTATGATTCTGTTTGCCTAATGTATATGGCTGCATATGCATTTATTATTACATATTTACTATTAGTTGTACCATTTATCATTTGGTAGAAATTTAGCTTATTGACATCTTTATTCAATTCTTTTTTTTTTATTATACTTTAAGTTTTAGGGTACATGTGCACATTGTGCAGGTTAGTTACAGATGTATACATGTGCCATGCTGGTGCGCTGCACCCACTAACTCGTCATCTAGCATTAGGTATATCTCCCAATGCTATCCCTCCCCCCTCCTCCCACCCCACAACAGTCCCCAGAGTGTGATGTTCCCCTTCCTGTGTCCATGTGTTCTCATTGTTCAATTCCCACCTATGAGTGAGAATTTTCGGTGTTTGGTTTTTTGTTCTTGCGATAGTTTACTGAGAATGATGATTTCCAATTTCATCCATGTCCCTACAAAGGACGTGAACTCATCATTTTTTATGGCTGCATAGTATTCCATGGTGTATATGTGCCACATTTTCTTAATCCAGTCTATCATTGTTGGACATTTGGGTTGGTTCCAAGTCTTTGCTATTGTGAATAATGCCGCAATAAACATACGTGTGCATGTGCCTTTATAGCAGCATGATTTATAGTCCTTTGGGTATATACCCAGTATTGGGATGGCTGGGTCAAATGGTATTTCTAGTTCTAGATCCCTGAGGAATCGCCACACTGACTTCCACAATGGTTGAACTAGTTTACAGTCCCACCAACAGTGTAAAAGTGTTCCTATTTCTCCACATCCTCTCCAGCACCTGTTGTTTCCTGACTTTTTAATGATCGCCATTCTAACTGGTGTGAGATGGTATCTCATTGTGGTTTTGATTTGCATTTCTCTGATGGCCAGTGATGGTGAGCATTTTTTCATGTGTTTTTTGGCTGCATAAATGTCTTCTTTTGAGAAGTGTCTGTTCATGTCCTTCGCCCACCTTTTGATGGGGTTGTTTGTTTTTTTCTTGTAAGTTTGTTTGAGTTCATTGTAGATTCTGGATATTAGCCCTTTGTCAGATGAGTAGGTTGCGAAAATTTTCTCCCATTTTGTAGGTTGCCTGTTCACTCTGATGGTAGTTTCTTTTGCTGTGCAGAAGCTCTTTAATTTACTGAGATCCCATTTGTCAATTTTGGCTTTTGTTGCCATTGCTTTTGGTGTTTTAGACATGAAGTCCTTGCCCATGCCTATGTCCTGAATGGTAATGCCTAGGTATTCTTCTAGGGTTTTTATGGTTTTAGGTCTAACGTTTAAGTCTTTAATCCATCTTGAATTGATTTTTGTATAAGGTGTAAGGAAGGGATCCAGTTTCAGCTTTCTACATATGGCTAGCCAGTTTTCCCAGCACCATTTATTAAATAGGGAATCCTTTTCCCATTTCTTGTTTTTCTCAGGTTTGTCAAAGATCAGATAGTTGTAGATATGCGGCGTTATTTCTGAGGGCTCTGTTCTGTTCCATTGATTTATATCTCTGTTTTGGTACCAGTACCATGCTGTTTTGGTTACTGTAGCCTTGTAGTATAGTTTGAAGTCAGGTAGTGTGATGCCTCCAGCTTTGTTCTTTTGGCTTAGGATTGACTTGGCGATGCGGGCTCTTTTTTGGTTCCATATGAACTTTAAAGTAGTTTTTTCCAATTCTGTGAAGAAAGGCATTGGTAGCTTGATGGGGATGGCATTGAATCTGCAAATTACCTTGGGCAGTATGGTCATTTTCACGATATTGATTCTTCCTACCCATGAGCATGGAATGTTCTTCCATTTGTTTGTATCCTCTTTTATTTCCTTGAGCAGTGGTTTGTAGTTCTCCTTGAAGAGGTCCTTCACATCCCTTGTAAGTTGGATTCCTGGGTATTTTATTCTCTTTGAAGCAATTGTGAATGGGAGTTCACTCATGATTTGGCTCTCTGTTTGTCTGTTGTTGGTGTATAAGAATGCTTGTGATTTTTGTGCATTGATTTTGTATCCTGAGACTTTGCTGAAGTTGCTTATCAGCTTAAGGAGCTTTTGGGCTGAGACAATGGGGTTTTCTAGATATACAGTCATGTCATCTGCAAACAGAGACAATTTGACTACCTCTTTTCCTAATTGAATACCCTTTATTTCCTTCTCCTGCCTAATTGCCCTGGCCAGAACTTCCAACACTATGTTGAATAGGAGTGATGAGAGAGGGCATCCCTGTCTTGTGCCAGTTTTCAAAGGGAATGCTTCCAGTTTTTGCCCATTCAGTATGATATTGGCTGTGGGTTTGTCATAGATAGCTCTTATTATTTTGAAATACGTCCCATCAATACCTAATTTATTGAGAGTTTTTAGCATGAAGGGTTGTTGAATTTTGTCAAAGGCCTTTTCTGCATCTATTGAGATAATCATGTGGTTTTTGTCTTTGGCTCTGTTTATATGCTGGATTACATTTATTGATTTGTGTATATTGAACCAGCCTTGCATCCCAGGGATGAAGCCCACTTGATCATGGTGGATAAGCTTTTTGATGTGCTGCTGGATTCGGTTTGCCAGTATTTTATTGAGGATTTTTGCATCAATGTTCATCAAGGGTATTGGTCTAAAATTCTCTTTTTTGGTTGTGTCTCTGCCTGGCTTTGGTATCAGGATGATGCTGGCCTCATAAAATGAGTTAGGGAGGATTCCCTCTTTTTCTATTGATTGGAATAGTTTCAGAAGGAATGGTACCAGTTCCTCCTTGTACCTCTGGTAGAATTCTGCATGAATCCATCTGGTCCTGGACTCTTTTTGGTTGGTAAGCTATTGATTATTGCCACAATTTCAGATCCTGTTATTGGTCTATTCAGAGATTCAACTTCTTCCTGGTTTAGTCTTGGGAGAGTGTATATGTCGAGGAATTTATCCATTTCTTCTAGATTTTCTAGTTTATTTGCGTAGAGGTGTTTGTAGTATTCTCTGATGGTAGTTTGTATTTCTGTGGGATCGGTGGTGATATCCCCTTTATCATTTTTTATTGTGTCTATTTGATTCTTCTCTCTTTTTTTCTTTATTAGTCTTGCTAGTGGTCTATCAATTTTGTTGATCCTTTCAAAAAACCAGCTCCTGGGTTCATTAATTTTTTGAAGGGTTTTTTGTGTCTCTATTTCCTTCAGTTCTGCTCTGATTTTAGTTATTTCTTGCCTTCTGCTAGCTGTTGAATGTGTTTGCTCTTGCTTTTGTAGTTCTTTTAATTGTGATGTTAGGGTGTCAATTTTGGATCTTTCCTGCTTTCTCTTGTGGGCATTTAGTGCTATAAATTTCCCTCTACACACTGCTTTGAATGCGTCCCAGAGATTCTGGTATGTTGTGTCTTTGTTCTCATTGGTTTCAAAGAACATCTTTATTTCTGCCTTCATTTCGTTATGTACGCAGTAGTCATTCAGGAGCAGGTTGTTCAGTTTCCATGTAGTTGAGAGGTTTTGAGTGAGATTCTTAATCCTGAGTTCTAGTTTGATTGCACTATGGTCTGAGATATAGTTTGTTATAATTTCTGTTCTTTTACATTTGCTGAGGAGAGCTTTACTTCCAAGTATGTGGTCAATTTTGGAATAGGTGTGGTGTGGTGCTGAAAAAAATGTATATTCTGTTGATTTGGGGTGGAGAGTTCTGTAGATGTCTATTAGGTCCGCTTGGTGCAGAGCTGAGTTCAATTCCTGGGTATCCTTGTTGACTTTCTGTCTCATTGATCTGTCTAATGTTGACAGTGGGGTGTTAAAGTCTCCCATTATTAATGTGTGGGTGTCTAAGTCTCTTTGTAGGTCACTCAGGACTTGCTTTATGAATCTGGGTGCTCCTGTATTGGGTGCATATATATTTAGGATAGTTAGCTCTTCTTGTTGAATTGATCCCTTTACCATTATGTAATGGCCTTCTTTGTCTCTTTTGATCTTTGTTGGTTTAAAGTCTGTTTTATCAGAGACTAAGATTGCAGCCCCTGCCTTTTTTTGTTTTCCATTTGCTTGATAGATCTTCCTCCATCCTTTTATTTTGAGCCTATGTATGTCTCTGCATGTGAGATGGGTTTCCTGAATACAGCACACTGATGGGTCTTGACTCTTTATCCAGTTTGCCAGTCTGTGTCTTTTAATTGGAGCATTTAGTCCATTTACATTTAAAGTTAATATTGTTATGTGTGAATTTGATCCTGTCATTATGATGTTAGCTGGTTATTTTGCTCGTTAGTTGATGCAGTTTCTTCCTAGTCCCGATGGTCTTTACATTTTGGCATGATTTTGCAGTGGCTGGTACCGGTTGTTCCTTTCCATGTTTAGCGCTTCCTTCAGGAGCTCTTTTAGGGCAGGTCTGGTGGTGACAAAATCTCTCAGCATTTGCTTGTCTGTAAAGGATTTTATTTCTCCTTCGCTTATGAAGCTTAGTTTGGCTGGATATGAAATTCTGGGTTGAAAATTCTTTTCTTTAAGAATGTTGAATATTGGCCCCCACTCTCTTCTGGCTTGTAGAGTTTCTGCCGAGAGATCCGCTGTTAGTCTGATGGGCTTCCCTTTGAGGGTAACCCGACCTTTCTCTCTGGCTGCCCTTAACATTTTTTCCTTCATTTCAACTTTGGTGATTCTGACAATTACGTGTCTTGGAGTTGCTCTTCTCGAGGAGTATCTCTGTGGCGTTCTCTGTATTTCCTGAATCTGAAAGTTGGCCTACCTTGCTAGACTGGGGAAGTTCTCCTGGGTAATATCCTGCAGAGTGTTTTCCAACTTGGTTCCATTCTCCCCGTCACTTTCAGGTACACCAATCAGACGTAGATTAGGTCTTTTCACATAGTCCCATATTTCTTGGAGGCTTTGCTCATTTCTTTTTATTCTTTTTTCTCTAAACTTCCCTTCTCGCTTCATTTCATTCATTTCATCTTCCATCGCTGATTTTCTTCCAGTTGATCGCATCGGCTCCTGAGGCTTCTGCATTCTTCACGTAGTTGTCGAGCCTTGGTTTTCAGCTCCATCAGCTCCTTTAAGCACTTCTCTGTATTGGTTATCCTAGTTATACATTCTTCTAAATTTTTTTCAAAGTTTTCAACTTCTTTGCCTTTGGTTTGAATGTCCTCCCGTAGCTCGGAGTAATTTGATCGTCTGAAGCCTTCTTCTCTCAGCTCGTCAAAGTCATTCTCCTTCCAACTTTGTTCCGTTGCTGGTGAGGAACTGCGTTCCTTTGGAGGAGGAGAGGCGCTCTGCTTTTTAGAGTTTCCAGTTTTTCTGCTCTGTTTTTTCCCCATCTTTGTGGTTTTATCTCCTTTTGGTCTTTAATGATGGTGATGTACAGATGGGTTTTTGGTGGGGATGTCCTTTCTGTTTGTTAGTTTTCCTTCTAACAGAGAGGACCCTCAGCTGCAGGTCTGTTGGAATACCGTGCCCTGTGAGGTGTCAGTGTGCCCCTGCTGGGGGGTGCCTCCCAGTTAGGCTGCTCGGGGGTCAGGGGTCAGGGACCCACTTGAGGAGGCAGTCTGCCCGTTCTCAGATCTCCAGCGGCGTGCTGGGAGAACCACTGCTCTCTTCAAAGCTGTCAGACAGGGACATTTAAGTCTGCAGAGGTTACTGATGTCTTTTTGTTTGTCTGTGCCCTGCCCCCAGAGGTGGAGCCTACCGAGGCAGGCAGGCCTCCTTGAGCTGTGGTGGGCTCCACCCAGTTCGAGCTTCCCGGCCGCTTTGTTTACCTAATCAAGCCCGGGCAATGGCGGGCGCCCCTCCCCCAGCCTCGCTGCCGCCTTGCAGTTTGATCTCAGACTGCTGTGCTAGCAATCCGCGAGACTCCGTGGGGTAGGACCCTCCGAGCCAGGTGCGGCATATAATCTCGTGGTGCGCCGTTTTTTAAGCCCGTGGGGAAAGCGCAGTGTTCTGGTGGGAGTGACCCGATTTTCCAGGTGCCGTCCGTCACCCCTTTCTTTGACTAGGAAAGGGAACTCCCTGACCCTTGCTCTTCCCGAGTGAGGCAATGCCTCGCCCTGCTTCGGCTCGCGCAGGGTGCGCGCACCCACTGACCTGCGCCCACTGTCTGGCACTCCCTAGTGAGATGAACCCGGTACCTCAGATGGAAATGCAGAAATCAACCATCTTCTGTGTCGCTCACGCTGGGAGCTGTAGACCGGAGCTGTTCCTATTTGGCCATCTTGGCTCCTTCCTCATCCTTATTCAATTCTTGAACGGTAAGTTGTTTTTTAAAAAATGTTAAGTTAAAAAGAAGAAAAGCCATATATAAGTTAGGTATAGGCATTGATGCATCTTTCTTTTACACATACACAAATGAACACACATATAAACACACACACATAAAACTTGGTTTTGTGTATATTATCCTTTTAAACATCATGAACTTAACCAATTTTTCTTAGAAAATTCTTTTCAGGCTGGGCTCAGTGGCTCACAGCTGTAATCCCAGCATTTTGGGAGGCTGAGGCAGGTGGACCACTTGAGCCCAGGAGTTCGACACCAGCCTGGCCAACATGGTGAAACCCCGTATCTACCAAAAATACAAAAATTAGCCAGTCTTATAAGCCAGTCTCAAAATAAATAAATAGGTAAAAATTAAAAAATATTTTTCATAATATATTTTATTTGCGAAAGTTTTCTAAAGAATATTTTACCTAATAAAACTTTTAATTTATAAGGCCCTTTTTCCACAGCAATTATTATTTGAAGTTGTATAGAGATAAATGACAGCTATGTGGTATGTAAAACACACACACACACAAATCTGTGTGTTTGAGTTTTATTATTCTGTGTTCTGCTGTCTACATAGGGTTAACATTGATCACTTTTTTTTTTCTATCAGCATAACTTTTTCTACCCATTTCTTTGCCCCTTCAAATCTGCTGTTTCCACTGGCTGTGAACTGAGGGAGTTATGCAGGAGAGCCAATTCTATGTCATAGAGCAGAACATTTTTTCTATTGAATTATGTTTCATTTATCTAACAAACATTTATGGATTATTATCTCTGCCAGACAGTGACATACACACATACGCTATTCACGTTTCCTGCATTCAGTGAACTATAATGTAATGTATTATATTATTATAGGTTATATACACACACAAACAAGTTTCAGTTATATAAAATAGACAGTTTCAAATGCTGTAGAGAACTATACATAGCAATACATTTGTGTGTGCTTATAAATTATCTATTTCTGAGGATCCACTTTCATTATTGGGTTGTGTTTCTTTTACATTTATTTTTAAATGTATACACAATACCATTTTCACTGTTCAGTTCTATGAGTTTTGACAAATGCATAGTCATGCAAATGCCATCACAATCAAAATACAGAATCGTTTGATCACTGTTGAAAAAAATCCCCCTGGTGGCCCTTTGAAGTCAAACGCTTAATCCCTGGAAATCCCTGACTTGCTTGCCTTCATTCTGTTTTTTAATCTCCAAGAAAGTCATAAAAATGGAGTCACATAACATGTAGCTAAACATGTAGCCTTTATAGAATGTGGCTTCTTTCATAGGGTAGTGCATTTGAGATTCATTCATGTTATGTGTCTACCAACGACCCTTCCCCCTTTGTGATTGATGAGTGGTATTCTCTACTTTATCTGGGTACCGGTTGATTCATCCTTTTCCCAGTCGAGAGACTTTGAAGATGTTCCCAGAGTTTGTGAATGGTGAGAAAGCTGCTATAAACATTCACCGTTAGGGGTGTGTGTGTGTGTGTGTGTGTGTGTGTGAACACAGATTTTCCAATGTTCAAATCTGCTTCTGAATGAATATCTAGAAATAGAATTGCTGTGTGCATGGTGAATATATGTTTAACTTTGTGAGGAACTGCCCAGTGTGTTCTGGATGGACTCTGCCCTTTCACAGCCCTCCCAGTGATGCATGAGAGTTCTGTTTGCTGTGCATCCTTCGTAGTATCTGATACTGTCTGGATTTTTAAAAAATTTTAGCCATTCCCATAAACATGTTATCTTTTTCATTATAGCTTTAATTTACATTTTCTTAGTGACTAATGATTTTCAGACTATTTTGTATGTTTATTGTCATTTACATGTTTGTTTAATGAAATATCTACATCCTCGGAAAACTCACTTATTAGTTAAAAAAATAAATGTCGGCCGGGTGCGGCGGCTCACGCCTGTAATCTCAGCACTTTGGAGGCTGAGGTGGGCGGATCACGAAGTCAGGAGATCGAGACCATCCTGGCTAACACGGTGAAACCCCATCTTTACTAAAAATACAAAAACGTTAGCTGGGTGTGGTGGCACATGCCTGTAGTCCCAGCTACTCAGGAGGCTGAGGCAGGAGAATTGCTTGAACCAGGGAGGCGGGCTTGCAGTGAGCTGAGATTGTGCCACTGCACTCCAGCCCTGGGCGACAGAGCGAGACTCCATCTCAAAAATAAATAAATAAAATAAATAAATAAATAAATATCATGGGATTTTTAATATAGACAATCATGTCATCTGTGAATATAGACAGTTTTCTTTCTTTAAGATTTTTGCTTTTATTCCTTTGCCTTGCCTTATGGCACTTGTTAGGACATCTAGTGCAATGTTGAATACAAGTGTTACGTGTGAATGTCTTTCTCCTTTTCTTCATTTTAGACCGTCCATTACGTATGAGATTAGAATTTTTTTGTAGATGCCTTTTGTTAGGTTAAGGAAGTTACCTTTATTCCTCCTAGTTTGCTTAAGTTTTACAAATTATTATTATGAATGAATAATAAATTTTACCAAATACTTTTTCTTCATGTGTTGAGATGATTATGTAGCCTTGTCTACTGCAATCTTTTTAAATGGCAAGTTACACTTACTGATGTTCAAATGTTGAACCAGATACACATTTTTGGAAGAAATCTCACTTGGTGCGATGTACTCACCTTCTTATACATTGTTGTGTTTAATATTTGGTTGAACATGTTTATATTCATGAGGGCTATTAGTTATAGGTTTCTTTTTATACAATTTTTTCCTGGTTTGGGGTTAGGGCACTTCTGGCATCATAAAAGAAGTTCAAGAGTATTCTTTTTTTCTTTTTAAGAGATTGTGTAAAATTTATATTATTTCTTTCTGAAATATTTGGTAGAATTTGCCAGTGAAACTATCTGGCCTTGAGTTTTCCTTGTCTAAAGGTTTTGCATTATAAATTCAATTTCTTAACAGGTCTAGGATTATTCAGATTATTTACTTCTTTTTCAGTGAGTTTTGGCATGATGTGTCTTACTTTTCAGAAAACTTTTATTTTAGATTCAGGGGTACACGTGCGGGTTTGTTATACAGGTAAACTTGTGTCACGCAGGTTTGTTCTTCATTTTTATGACTGCATAGTATTCCGTGGTGTATATGTACCATATTTTCTTCATCCATTCTACTATTGATGGGAATTTAGGTTGATTCCATGTCTTTGCTATTACTGCAGTGAACATACAAGTACTTGTGTTTCTTTTTGAGATGGAGTCTCACTTTGTTGCCCAGGCTGGAGTGCAGTGGCATGATCTCGGCTCACTGCAAGCCCTGCCTCCTGGGTTCACACTATTCTCCTGCCTCAGCCTCCCGAGTAGCTGGGACTACAGGTGTGTGCCACCACACCTGGCTAATTTTTGTATTTTTTAGTAGAGATGGGGTTTCACCATGTTAGCCAGGATGGTTTTAATCTCCTGGCCCCATGATCCACCTGCCTCAGCCTCCCAAAGTGCTGGGATTATAGGCGTGAGCCACCGTGACCGGCTGTGCTTGTTTTCATGACAGAACAAATTGTATTCCTTTGGGTACATACCCAGTAATGGGATTGCTGGATTGAATAGTAGTTCTGTTTTTAGCTATTTGAGGAATTCCTACAGTGCTTTCCACAATGGTTGAACTAATTTACAATTAATTTATAACTAATTTACAATGAATGTACTAACTGTGAATTAGTTCAACCCACCAATAGCATATAAATGTTCTCTTTTTCTGCAACCTTGCCAGCATCTATTATTTTTGACTGTTTAGTAATAGCCATTCTTAATGGTGTGAGATGGTATCTCATTGTGTTTTGATTTGCATTTCTCTAACGATCAGTGATGTTGAGCTTTTTTTCATATGCTTGTTGGCTGCCTGTAGGTCTTCTTTTGTAAAGCGTCTGTTCATGTCCTTTGCCCACTTTTTAAATGGGTCGTTAGTTTTTTTTCTTGTAAATTTGTTTAAGTTCCTTATAGATGCTGAATATTAAAGCTTTGTAAGATACATAGTTTGTAAATATCTTCTCCCATTCTGTAGGTTTTCTTTTCACTCTGTTGATATTTTCTTATGCTGCAAAGAAGCTCTTAAGTTTAATTAGATCCCATCTGTGAATTTTTGTTTTTATTGCAATTTCTTTTGGCGTCTTCATCATGAAATCTTTGCCAGTTCCTGTGTCCAGATTGGTATTGCCTAGGTTGTTTCCCAGGATTTTTATAGTTTTTGTTTTATGTTTGAGTATTTAATCCATCTTGAATTGATTTTTATATGGTATAAGGAAGGGGTCCAGTTTCAATCTTCTGCATATGGCCATTGATTGTTTTTGTCAGCTTTGTTGAAGATCAGATGATTGTGGGTGTATAGCCTTATTTCTGGGCCCTCTATTCTGTTCCATTGGTCTATGTGTCTGTTTTTGTACTAGTATTATGGTATTCTGGTTACTGTGGCCCTGTAGTGTAATTTGAAGTCGGGTATCATGACACCTCCTGCTTTGTGCTTTTTTTGGTAGAATTAGCCCTGGACTACCCTGGCTATTTGGGCTCTTTTTTGATTCCATATGAATTTTAAAATAGTTTTTATCTAATACAAAATTAGCCGGGCATGGTTGTGCATGCCTGTAATCCCAGCTACTTGGGAGACTGAGACAGGAGAATCGCTTGAACCTGGGAGGTGGAGGTTGCAGTGAGCTGAGATCGTGCCACTGTACTCCAGCAACAAGAGCGAAACTCTGTCTCCAAATATATAGATATATATTTTCTAGTTCTGTGAGGAATGTCATTGGTAGTTTGATAGGAATACCATTGAATCGGTAAATTGCTTTGGGCAGTATGGCCATTTTAATGATATTGATTCTTCCTATCCATGAGCATGAAATATTTTTCTATTTGTTTGTGTCATCTTGGATTTATTTGAGCAGTGTTTTGTAATTCTCGTTGTAGAGACCTTTCACCTCCCTGGTTTGCTGTATTCCTAGGAATTTTATTATTTTCATGATTATGTGTCTTTCAATGTATTGTTCTATTTTATCTAAGTTGTAAAATTTATGGGCACATAATTGTTCATAGTATTTTTTTGCAATCCATTTTATGTCTGTAGCATTTGTAGAGACATTCTTTATTCATTTTTGATATTGCTAATTGGCATCTCCCTTCTTTTTTGGTAATTTTAACTAGTGATTTATCATTTTTCTGATCTTAAAATGTTTTAATGCTATAGAATAGTTGTACATATTTTAGGGGTATATGTGATATTTTGATATACTCATATAATGTATAATAATAAAATCAAGGTACTTGGGATATCCATCACCTTAAACATTTATCTTATCATCATGCTGGGAACATTTGTATGATTTTCTACCGGCTATCTTAAAATATAAAATAGATTATTGTTTACTATAGTCACTCTACTGATTTATTGAACACAAAAGCTAATTTCTTTTAACTATTTTCTTGTACCCACTAATCAACCTCTCTTTGTCTCCCTCCACCACCCTTCCTGGCCTCTGGTAACCACCGTTCTATTCTTTATGTTCCTGAGTTTCACTTTCTTAGCTTCCACATATGAGACAGAAAGTGCAATATTTGTCTTTCTGTGATTGGCTTATTTCACCTAACATAATGGCCTCCAGCTCCATCTATGTTGCTGCAAATAACAAGCTTTCATTCTTTTTATGGCAGAATAGTATTCTATTGTGTATATCTGTCACATTTTCTGTATCCATTTATCCATACATAGGAACTTAGGCTGATTCCACATCTTGGCTATTGTGAATAGTGCTTTAACAAACATGGGAGGGCAGATATCTCTTCAATATATGGATTTTCTTTCTTTTGGATATATTCCAAGTAATGGAACTGCTGGATCATATAGTAGTTTTATTTTTAGGATTTTGAGGAGTCTCCATACTGTTTTCCCTAATGGCTGTCCTAATTTACATTCCCAGCAATACTGTATGAGGGTTCCCCTTTCTCCAAATCCTCACCAACCTCCATTACTCCTTGTCTTTGTAACAAAAACCATTTTAACTGAGTTGAGATAATACTGCCATTGCTCAGCTCCTTCTTGAACATCAATAATTCTTAGATTTGGCCTTTTCAGTTAATTTTTTATATCTTGTAAGTGTTCTTCATTCCTTTATATTCTTTTCTCTTTTATTCTCTCTGTGTATTTTGCAATAGCCTGTCTTTGAACTAACTGATACTTTCCTCTGCTTGATCTGTTCTAATGTTGAGAGCCTGTAATGAAATTTTCAGTTTAACAAATATATTTCTCAGTTTTGGAATTTGTGCTTGATTTTTAAAAATTATTTCAATCTCTGTTGAAGTCAGGTAGCTTGATGCCTCCAGCTTTGTTCTTTTTGCTTAGGATTGTCTTGGCTATAAGGGCTCTTGTTTGGTTCCATACAGAATGTAAGGTAGTTTATTCTAATTCTGTGAAGAAAGTCAATGGTAGCTTGATGGGGATAGCATTGAATCTATGAATTACTTTGGGCAGTATGGCCATTTTCACAATATTGATTCTTCCTATCCATGAGCATTGAATGTTTTTCTATTTGTTTGTGTCCTCTCTTATTTCCTTGAGCAGTGGTTTGTAGTTCTCCTCAAAGAGGTCCTTCACATCACTTGTAAGTTGTATTCCTAGATATTTTATTCTTTTTGTAGCAATTGTGAATGGGAGTTCACTCATGATTTGGCTCTCTTTTTGTCTATTATTGTTGTTTAGGAATGCTTGTGATTTTTGCCCATTGATTTTTTTATCCTGAGATTTTGCTGAAGTTGCTGATTAGCTTAAGAAGATTTGGGGCTGAGATGATGGGGTTTTCTAAATATACAATCATGTCATCTGCAAACAGAGACAATTTGACTTCCTCTCTTCCTATTTGAATACCTTTTGTTTCTTTCTCTTGCCTGATTGCCCTGGCCAGAACTTCCAATATTATGTTGAACAGGAGTGGTGAGAGAGGGCATCCTTGTCTTTTGCCTGTTTTCGAAGGGAATGCTTTGAGCTTTTGCCCATTCACCATGATATTGGCTGTGGGTTTATCATAAATAGCTTTTATTATTTTGAGATATGTTCCATCAAAACCTAGTTTATTGAGAGTTTTTAGCATGAAGGGGTGTTGAATTTTATCAAAGGCCTTTTCTGCATCTATTGAGATAATCATGTGGTTTTTGTCATTGGTTCTGTTTATGTGATGGATTATGTTTACTGATTTGCATATGTTGAACCAGCCTTGCGTTCCAGGGATGAAGCTGACTTGATTGTGGTGGATAAGCTTTTTGATGTGCTGCTGCATTCGGTTTGCCAGTATTTTGTTGAGGATTTTCGCATCGATGTTCATCAGGGATATTGGCCTGAAATTTTCTCTTTTTGTTGTACCTCTGCCAGGTTTTGGTATCAGATAATGCTGGCTTCATAAAATGAGTTAGGGAGGAGTCCCTCTTTTTCTATTGATTGGAATAGTTTCAGAAGAAATGGTACCAGCTCCTCTTTGTACCTCGGGTAGAATTCAGCTGTGAATCATCTGTTCCTGGGCTTTTTTTGGTTGGTAGGCTATTAATTACTGCCTCAATTTCAGAGCTTGTTATTGGTCTATTCAGGTATTCAACTTCTTCCTGGTTTAGTCTTGGGAGGGTGTATGTGTCCAGGAATTTATCCATTTCTTCTAGATTTTCTAGTTCATTTGCCTAGAGGTGTTTATAGTATTCTCTGACGGTAGTTGCATTTCTGTGGGATCAGGGGTGATATCCCCTTTATCATTTTTTATTGTGTCTATTTGATTCTTCTCTCTTTTCTTCTTTATTAGCCTTGCTAGCGGTCTATCCATTTTGTTGATCTTTTCAAAAAACCAGCTCCTGGATTCATTGATTTTTTTAGTGTGTCTATCTCCTTCAGTTCTGCTCTGATCTTAGCTCTTTCTTGCCTTCTGCCAGCTTTTGAATGTGTTTGCTTTTGAATGTGTTTGCTCTTGCCTCTCTAGTTCTACAGAATGAGACAACATTTTTGCAATCTATGCATCTGACAAGGGGCTATGCATCTGACAAAGGGCTAATACCCAGAATCTACAAGGAACTTCAACAAATTTACAAGAAAAAACCAATCCCATCAAAAAGCAGACGAAGGATATGAACAGACACTTCTCAAAAGAAGACATTTATGCAGCCAACAAACATGAAAAAAAGCTCATCATCACTGGTCATTAGAGAAATGCAAACCAAAACCACAGTGAGATACCATCTCATGCCAGTTAGAATGGTGATCACTAAAAAGTCAGGAAACAACAGATGTTGGAGAGGATGTGAAGAAATAGTAATTCTTTTACACTGTTGGTGGGAGTGTAAATTAGTTCAACCATTGTGGAAGACAGTGTGGTGATTCCTAAAGGATCTAGAACCAGAAATACCATTTGACCCAGCAATCCCATTACTGGGTATATTCCCAAAGTTTTATAAATCATTCTATAAAGACACAAGCACACGTATGTTTACTGGAGCACTATTTGCAATAGCAAAGACTTAGAACCAACCCAAATGCCCATCAATGATAGACTGGATAAAGAAAATGTGGCACATATACACCATGGAATACCATGCAGCCATAAAAAAGAATGAGTTCATGTCCTTTGCAGGGACTTGGATGAAGCTGGAAACCGTCATTCTCAGCAAACTAACACAGGAACAGAAAACCAAACACTGTATGTTCTCACTCATAAGTGGGATTTGAACAATAAGAACACATGGACACAGGGAGGGGAACATCACACACCGGGGCCTTTCGAGGGGTTGGGGGGCTAGGGGAGGGATAGCATTAGGAGAAATACCTAATGTAGGTGACGGGTTGGTGGGTACAGCAAACCGCAATGGCACCTGTGTACCTATACAACAAACCTGCACATTCTGCACATCTATCGCAGAACTTAAAGTATAAAAAAAGTGAAAAAAATTTCAATCTCTTTATTATATTTACCTAATACATTTCTGAGTTGCTTTTCCATGTTATTTCGAAGATCACTGAGTTTTCTTAAAACTGCTATTTTGAATTCTTGATCAGAGAGCTCATCTACTCCCGTCTAGTTAGGGTCAGTCACTGGCAACTTGATCTGTCTGTTTGGGGAGGTCCTGGTTTCCTGTTTGCTATTGTTTCCTGTGGATGTACATCTGTCTTTGCGTTGAAAACTTAGCTATTTATTTGTTTTCTCTGCCTGGCTTGTTTTGATTTTTATTGGGTATGTTTGTTCAGAGATTTCTTTGCAATGTATCTATCTTTTCTGCTAGGTCACTGCCTCTTCTTGGTCTTTTTAAAGAACCAGCTTTTGGTTTCATCAATTTTTTTCCCATTGTTTTTCTGTTTCAAATTTTATTGATTTCGGTTCTTATCTTTATTATTTAACTCTTCTGCTTACTGTGGGTCTGTTTTTTTTCCTTTAAAAAAAAGAAAATCTACTTAAACTTTGAGAAATGTATTTACTTTCCCACATCAACAATTATGGATTATCAAGTCATAATTATAAATGGCTAAGTCTTATACTTCCTCCGGAAAATATAGCACTATTCAGTGCTACGGATCCTATAGAGAATTTCAATCCTTGGTCATAGTGTTAATAGCTCTTGGCTTCACAGCCCCATGAGCCCGCATTGAAATGTCCTTTATTTTTTCTAGTTTCTTAAAGTGGAAACTCTGTGATTGAGTTTAGATCTTTTAATTTTCTAATTAAATATTTAATGCTCAAGTTTCCCTGTAAGCGCTATTTTAGCAAGGATTTTCATATGTTATTTCAGCATTTCATTCAGTTTAAAAAATATTTTTCAAAAATTTCTGTCAATCTGTTCTTTGGTCCCTTGGTTATTTAGAAGTGTGCTTTTGATTTCCAGGTACTCGGGGATTTAAAAATGTGTTTTCTGGGTTTTTTTTAACTTTTAGTTCTAATAGTTTTTCCTTCGTGTATGTTGGAGCTCTGTTAGGTGTATGCTCATTTAAGATTCTTACGTTTTCTTGATTACTTTATCCTTTTTTTGGTATAAAATAACTTTTATTTACATAATTTATATGTATACATATATATAACATAACTGATTTCTTTAGAACAAGAAAATTTATAAATGACATGATTTTTTTTTTGTCAAAGACTTCTTCAAGCAAGAGAGTACACATGCCACTTCTGTTTCAAATAACATGATGGTAAACAATGGATATTAATATTTTTGTCGTGCCTCAACCATTTACCAACAATTAGGCGTCAAACCCGCATGCTGATCACTTGCTAATGCGTAAGTGTTCAGGAGAAAAAATCAAGAACAGATAAAAACCTGTAATCATATCTCCTTTAAGATTTATGAAATAAATTCTTTGCAACATCTTCTTTACATGAATCAGGCCTAACATAGTTCTTGCCACCATGTAAGGTGAATACACTGATTAACTTTCTCTTTTCCAAAATTAGGTTTAAGGATATAATGGTAGGATAATTTAGCCGGCTGACTTGATTCTCTAGTACAATGAGTCCCTGTATTCTTTATATAGCAAGAAATTCTATCTTCCATAAAACTAGTTTATTATAGATTAAAAAGAGACAGTTGTTAAAGTTAAAAATTATTATTACACAAGGATAAATAATACTTTAATCATGGCAATCTGACTCCCAAACTAACATTAAGAGAAAGAAATCTCTTCAGAATATGAGTTTTAAAAACTTACAAAAACAGGGTATTAAAATAGCAATGTGATTTACTGCCATGATTTCTCTGACATATTAATCACGAAATAAATGCCTACTTGTAGACAGTTTCCACTCAGAATCATATAGCCTCCTCTCTGACAAAATGATAAGCCGTGAATTTCACTAAAAGACAATGAGAAAGAAGTGCTCTAACAGCAGTAGTTTCAATAAATTAGCATTACTATTATACCTGCTGAGACATAATTCTCTTCTATTAAGGAATTTAAAAACTGGCCACCATTTTTTCCATATACAAACGTAATTATCTAGACTCTAAAATATCTTCCTAATTGAAATACTGATCATTACATAATACAATGAACACAGTTCTAACTTTTAGGCACAACTCGTAACTTCAGTGACAAATAACTCTTACATACAGACATCAGCACCTTAGGGTAAGAAAATTTGGGGTCTAATATAGCAGTCAAACTAAAAGGCCAATCCAGCCACAGTCCTTCATTCAAATACTGTCTATGGCTTCTTTCACACTGAAATTGCAGAGCTGAGTAGCTGCCAGATAGACCATCTGGCCTGCAAACCCAAAATAGTTTGCAGAAAGTTTCCAACTGCTGAGCTAATATATTACCAATCTAAGAGGCTTTTCAAACAAAATCAGAGTAAATTTGCTTTTTGAGAAGTCTAATGGGAACCACTACAGATCTGCTTGGGTAGATCATAGAATTACATGTGTCAGTCATCAAATCTGGAAATTAAAACCTTAAATTCATATTGATGATAATCACTAACTTTATTTTTTTTTTTATTATTATACTTTAAGTTCTAGGGTACATGTGCACAACGGGCAGGTTTGTTACATATGTATACATGTGCCGTGTTGGTGTGCTGCACCCATTAACTGGTCATTTACATTAGGTATTTCTCCTAATGCTATCCCTACCCCCTCCCCCTCACCCCACGTCAGGCCTCGCTGTGTGATGTTCCCCACCGTGTGTCCAAGTGTTCTCACTGTTCAATTCCCACCTATGAGTGAGAACATGTGGTAAGTCTTATTTTCTATTTTTAACATCACGATTGTGTTCCATGCTTAAAGATCTAAGTGTTTCTTGAGAATTTAATGGTAAAAACACTATGAAGAAATTGGCTTTTAAAAACTAATATATGTCTGTGTGTGTATAAAGGAGATTGCATTTTCTATGAAAATTTGTCTCATAAAGTTGAGTTTCCCCTACCCTCATGAAAATCCTGAGAATATCCCAGAAATAAGAAAAACAGAAAAATTCACAGTACAAAGTCAATACACTAATCTGAGGGAAAAAAGATATTCCAAACACATACTAGCCAAACATTTTTAGTTATATCATTTTAAATATATTTAAAATTAAAGAGAAAAAGGAGACAAACATAAAATTGTTAATGCCTTCTTCATCTATAATCTGAGGGGTGAAAATAGCTAAAACTGAATATCCTTTCAAATAAAAAATGTAAAAATAAATAAGCTCTTTGTTGTGTCATCTTTATAAATAATTATGTTTAAATACTAGTTTTTCAATTAGGACTAATGTTACATCACCATAAACTGAAAAAATATGTATTTTTCAGTCAGACAAACAGCTGATAATAGAAAAGTTCTTTAACATTTACCCTACGAAAGCGGAGTTTGACAATTTGTTTTCATGTACAGTCATGTGTCCCTTAATTATATGTTCTAAGAAATGCCTTGTTAGGTGATCTTGTGTGGAACGACGCAGAGTGTACTTACAAACACGGTGATGTACAGACTGCTACACACCCTACAGTCCGAGGCTATGCGGTATAGCCTATTGCCCCTTGGCTACAAACCTCTATAGCATGTTACTATGCTTAATACTGTAGGCAGTTGTAACACAATAGGAAGTATCCGTGTATCTAAACATGTCTAAACATAAAAGAGCAACGCACTGTGTTATGATGGATATAATGTCACTAGATGATAGGAATTTTTTATCTCCATTTTAATTGTATGGGACCGCTGTCATATATGTGGTCCGTCATTGACTTAAACATCATTATGCGAAAAATGACTGTACTTAGAAGCAACTGAAATGGCCTTCATCCTTCATCATCTTCCTCTAAACGTAAAAATAAAAAAATCTTCACAAAGGAAGTTTCTAAACATTAAATATGATACAATCAACCCCCAAATCTGTGTGCACTGCAGTTCATAGAGAGACATACATCCACAACATTCCCAAATGTCCATGTGTGCTTAGCGCAGGAAGAGTCAAAATGTGAACAAGAGCTGTTATTTCTGTCTGAGAAAGCAGTCTTAATTGCTTGCTATTTGCAAAATGCTAAATCAATCAGAATGAAAGGAACCTCAGAAATGTTTTCCACTGATTACAAAAGCTTCAAATCAAGCTCATTAAATATTCAAAATCAACCTAAAGAAAAATAGACAGCGATGTTTTGCTCTAAATACTGTTTTGTTGATGTAATTGACTCTGGAAATCCTAGATTTAATTTAAAAAAGAAAAAGACAAAAGATTGTTTTATTCTGTTTCATCCACTTTAATGAAGACATCATTGAAGAAATATTCAGAGACTGTGGTTGGCTTCCATTTAGGGGCCCGCTTTTGGCCACTTTTATGTCCTTTCAGCAAGGGCTGATCACAAAAAAATTGGTTGCTGAGTTGCTAATATTCTCAGATTGAGTATTAATAACACTTGGAGATGCAAGCGGATCAGAGGACTCTTGCTTCTTTTCTGGCTTTCATTGGATGGATTGAATCTTTTCAGATTCTGTCTTAATGCAGGGATAAGAGGCTTTAGGCGATTCTTACTATGGACCTGAGTAGGTCTGTCAGACTCCAAACTATTCTTTGAACATATGAAAGATAAAAATCCCAGGGATCTTCTGCCAGGTCTGGATAGTGGGCTTTTGAAGATGGTGTTCTGCTGTCCATTTGCTCAGACTTAGGAGCAGCAACAGTTCTTTCTTCCTTATCAGACACAATCATTTCATTCTGAGGTAACCGAGGCACATTCTTGTCCATGCATGTATCGGGAGATCTAGATCCTGTACTCTGAAAAGTTGGTTCGACTTGCACTTTTTGAGGTTCTGGAGTTGTCAATGTGCTTCCTGAGGTAGGAAAAATATCTTGTCCCTTGTGAGACTCCCCTGTTTCCTCAAAAACATTTGTTAATTCCTTTGAGCGCACCTCAGAGGTCTATGCTTGACAATCATCTCTTAAAGTGAGTGAACAGTTTTTGGCAGGAGGAACGTGGTCATTTTCACCAAGCCTGCAAAGAAATCTCTTCCTAGATACAAGATCCAAATTATCAGAAAGCTTTTTAGAAGAGCTATCTCTTACAGAAATGGATAAACCCATGTCATCTTGACCAACTGAAGTTGCTGGTAAACACTCATGCCACCCCTTTCTTCAGTATTCATTGATTTGACCAATATGGAAGCTGGCAGTAAAGGGTTTGGCATTAACTGTGCAGTGGCTTCGGTTATTTCTTCTACTCTCCATTAGTTTAATGGAGAAAGTAAAGGAGATTGGTTGGGATTTCCACCAGAGTTAAAATAAATGCTTTTTCATCTTCTCCATCTCGAGGTACAGTAGCAACTAGAGTCACTGTTAGGTCTTGAGGACTGATTATATTTTCTTGTTGGACTTCTGGAATACTTCTTGGTGTTTACCCTGGCACAGGAAGTGTAAGCACGTTGTCTCCTTTAGAGGCCTTCATCTGGGGCACTGCAACAAGATTTTCACCAGACCCCTCTCCAAACCAAGTGTGCGGGGCCCTGTCTCAGAGGAAGAAATTGGAGCAACTGACAACATGTGAGCCTCTTGAGAGCTCTCTTCTTGATTCTTATTTCTCTCAGTTAGGTTTACTTCTTGAGAAATACTGGTCCCTTTGATACCATGTATGCGTGCCAATTTGCTCTGTTCTTTATTCTCTGCTGTTGTAACTGGTCAGAGGTTTTTATCTTCCAATTCTGTTGCTTTGGAAGCATTTGTCTCTGTTTCCCTTTGAGTTTCCAGTTCTTCCCCTTTGGTTACACAGAAACTGGAAACTTCCTGTTAATCATCAAACCTGTTGGTCCCTAAAATCTTCTCAAGATTTGGTTTAGGCTTGGCAAATCTACTTCTTATTCTCAAATTACTGGTCACTTTAGAAGTTGTATTCCTGGTTAGTGTAGCATTCTCCTTTACTTTCTCCATTAAACTAATTTCTTCTCTGGAACTTTGTTCCTCCAATACAATCTTGTTTTCTTCAAATGATGAGGGAGATGTCATAATGACAGGTGAAGAGAGCTCCTGACATTCATGAACAATTTTGTGTTTTATATTATCTAGGCTAAAAGGAATATTGGCTTTTATTCTTTGAATGAACATGAGGAAGTATACATACTCCTACATCACCCTGTTCAGTACTGATTTCTGACTTTAATACTAGATCTCCCATTGTAAGTAAAGTTATTGCAGCTTCGGTGCTTCCATCGTTGGTACCTGGTCCATCTTGGATATGTTCACCTGTGTGTGTGTGTGTGTGTGTGTGTGTGTTTTATCCCTGGTAACTTTTTTGTTCTAAACTTGGTTTGTTTTTATATTAATAGTGACACTCTAGTTTTCTTTTGCATTGTGGATACTTGTCCTTCCATTTACTTTTAATATACCTATACCGTTATACTTAAGGTAATTTTTCTTAAGAGAGAATACAGTTGGATCTTGTTTTTTTTTTAAGTAAACCCAGCAATTTCTGTCTTTTAGTGTGTTTAGATCACTTAATTTAATTATTGAAATGAATGTGTTTAGACCTACCATTTTATTATTTTATTTTTATTCTTTTTTATTTTTCTGACCTCCTTTCCTTGCTTTCTTTTTTATTATTTGAACCTTTACATGTATATGTATTTTCCTGTTGGTTCTTTTTTTCTGGGGATCTCTGACTAATTCATTTTTTTTTCTTTTTTCAACATCAGTTTTGCTTTCAAAGCCTTTGCTCTGTTGTTTAGCAATATTTTCCGAGTTTTAGCCACTGTCCTTGGCACACAGTGCTGTTGACTGGTCCTACCTGCAGGGTAAAGCAAGGAGAGAAAATAAATAGAAAAAAAAGGATTTTTATCCTCCTCAATCTGTATACAACTGGAGCTTCCTTTTATGGTTCTTCTCTTTAATGGATAGATTTTCTATTATGGTTTATATGTAGTGCAGCTCTGTAACTGAGGCAGCCCTCATGGCAGTCCTGGAGAGAGAGAGACAGAGAGGGAGAGAGAGAAAGAGAGACAGAGGGAGAGAGAGAGAGAGGAAAAATAATTTCTCCCATTCTCTGGAGGCCCATTGTCCCAGTTCTTTGTTGCTAAGGGCACTCTTTTTTTTTTTTTTTATCATTATTATACTTTAAGTTCTAGGGTACATGTCCACAATGTGCAGGTTTGTTACATATGTATCCATGGGCCATGTTGGTGTGCTGCACCCATTAACTCGTCATTTACATTAGGTACATCTCCTAATGCTATCCCTCCCCACTCCCCCCACCTCATGACAGGCTCTGGTGTGTGATGTTCCCCTTCCTGTGAAGGACACTCTTTTCTTAAGATTTTGTTGTCCATTTGTATTGTTCAGTGGCCTGCCTTAGCTACCCTAGGCTTGGGTCAAAGCTGGAGATAAAAACACAAAGCAAACAAAACAAAACAGAAAAAAAACAAGAAATGAACTGTGGTCTGCTTGCTGTTATTTTTGATATATCAGTATTTGTATTTTGTTTGTGGTTTTTGGTTGCACTTTGTGGTATCCATAGTTTGCAGTGAGTTACCCCATTTTGGGTGGAGTTAGAAACTTGAATCCTTTATTTTTTAAAAATTATTTAGCAATTTGGGATTATTTCACAACTCTAAAGCAATGAATCATTGAAATTATTTCTGAATCTTTAGTGACACCTTACTTCTAAGGAAAATCCATGAAATGTGTTAAGTGTAGAATGAGGAAATTTTGTTTTCAGTTTTTATGACATCACCAATGTAATAATTTTCCAAAACAAAGAAACACCGTATTTCTTACATTTGAAAATTGTTTTCTCTGACTACAATAAAATGATAGATAAATCAGTGTGAATACAAGTAATTAATGCCTTTAGAGAGATGAACAAGGAACAACTACTTGGCTGGAAAGCTCTTGTTGAGTGGATGGCTGCTATTAGCACAGAGGCTGAAGATGCTTAGTTTACATGTATTCTTTTCCTTCTGTTCTAATAAATGCCACAAAACAATATTAAGTAGCATAATCTACTAGTGCAGTATGGAACATACATCTTGTGGAAATACATTGCCCAAAGGAGGCATTATATGGTCCATAAAATAAAATAAAACGAAACAATAAAAGAGAAACAACTAATGATTTCACATCTGAACTACAGTGTTTTCTGTCTTTAAGGCTAATATAGAGTTTTATGATGATAATTTTCAGACCATTATATATATTTTCATGTATATTTATAATAAATAGTAGTGCTAAAAGCCCTTTTACATACAGTGGGTTAAATTAGGTTTAATGTATATTCCAGAAACAAGGTAATAAAATGAGTTCATTCCAGACCCCCTATAAAATCAGTGATATAGCATCTTACCTCATGATCAAACCTGGCAACAGAGAGCCTAGCCCTAAAACACACAAGGAGATTCTTTTAACAAACAACAGTGCTTGCCTTTTAAAAATACATAATTTCAACTTTTATTTTAGATACAGGGGGTTGTGTAGGTTTGTTACATGGGTATATGACGTGATGCTGAGGTTTGGGGTACAAATGATCCTGTCACCCAGGCAGTGAGTACAGTACCCAAGAGGTAGTTTTTAAACCCATCCCCCACTCCTTTCCTCTCTTCTCTAGAAGTCTGCAGTGTCTGCTGTTCTCAGCTTTATGTCCCTGTGTGCTCAATGTTTATCTCCCACTTATAAGTGAGAACATGTGGTATTTGGTTTTCTGTCCTGCATTCATTATTTTAGGGTTATGGCTTCCACCTACATCCATGTTGCTGCAAAGAACATGATTTCATTCTTTTCATGGCTGTGTAGTATTCCATGATGTATAAGTACCATATTTTCTTTACTCAGTCCACTATTGATGATGGGCACCTAGGCTGATTCTGTATCTTTGCTATTGTAAATAATTCTGTGATGAACATGGAGAATCTTGTCTTTTTGGTAAAATGATTTATTTTCTTTTGGATATATACCCAGTAATGGAATTTCTGGCTTGAATAGTAGCTCTGTTTTAGTTATTTGATAAATCTCCAAACTGCTTTCCACAGTGGCTGAACTAACTTACAGTGTGTAAGCATTTCCTTTTCTCTGCAGCCTTGCAAGCATCCGTTACTATTTGACCTTTTAATAATAGCCATTCTGTCTGGTGTGAGATGATATCTCATGGTGGTTTTGATTTGCATTTCTCTGGGCATTAGTTACGATGAACATTTTTTCATATGTTTGTTGGCTGCTTGTATTTCTTCTTTTGAGAAGTGTCTGCTTATGACCTTTTCTTATTTTAGACTCACATGTTGTTAACCTGCCCCATGTAACAAGCAAACTGTGAAAAGCTTTCAGGTGCTCAATACATAAGTGTATGAAGGTACCAAAAGCAACATCATAAACATAATGATTTAACTCACTGAAAACAAAAATTCATGTATTCAGTGTCAGTTTTAATTTTGATAAAAAATTTGTTTAAAGAATAACAAAATGTTACTATTTTTCAAATGATGATAATTGTCACTTTTAGATTAAATGATGTATAATAGTATATCATATATTAATGGAAGATATGATTTGACATGAAATCAAGCTTAGTCCATGAAAATCAAGGTTTGTTTTTTTTTTTAAATAGTAAACCATGTTCAAATAGAATTTATTTTGTAAATGTAAGAATGTCTAGGCCGGGCGCAGTGGCTCACGCCTGTAATCCCAGCACTTTGGGAGGCCGAGACGTGCTGATCACGAGGTCAGGAGATCAAGAACATCCTGGCTAACATGGTAAAACCCTGTCTCTACTAAAAAATAAAAATAAAAAAAAATTAGCTGGGCATGGTGGCAGGCGCCTGTAGTCCCAGCTACTCGGGAGACTGAGGCAGGAGAATGGTGTGAACCCGGGAGGTGGAGCTTGCAGTGAGCTGAGATTGAGCCACTGCACTCCAGCCTGGGCAACGCAGCGAGACTCCGTCTCAAAAGAAAAAGATAAAATAAAAATAATAAAATAAAAAATTAAAAGAATGTCTTAAAGTTAGGATATATCTTATATTATTCATTATTATTGTCTTTGGAGAAAAAAATATCATCACATAAACCCTGACCAGGTATTTAAAAAATATCCGGCATTAAAAAAAATCTATCCTCGATAAATAAACCCATGATAGAAAGATCAATTTTTTTTAAAAAAAAGGAGAATGTAAACATATCTCAAAGCCTAATTTGTTAGTTTATAAATATGGTAATAACCAAAGCTTGCACAGTTCTTGAAGAGTATGGGCTAGGTACCAGGTAGATATCAGAATAGAAAGATGAATAAGATCTCATGTCTGCTTTTGAGAAGCTTGACCTGCAGATTCTTACAGTCCAAGTTTTGCTGTGGTTTGTGAATGGAGTAGCAGGATCACAGAAGAAGGAATCATCTCTGCTGACTTTTAGAGAGGATGTTCTGTAATGAAGATATTAGTTTTCTAATTATCATGGTACTTAATATCACTTTTTTGCAAAGATAAATTACTAAAGACTGGTAAACTAGGTCAATTGCAGTGGCTCATGCCTGTAATCCCAGATGTGAGCCACTGCAATTGGGAGGCCGAGGCAGGAGGATTGCTTGAGTCAGGAGTTTGAGTCTAGCCTGGGCAATATAGTGAGACCTTGTCTCTATAAAAAATGCAAAACAAAAAAAAATAGTAGCCAGATGTGTAATGCATGCCTGTGGTCTCAGCTACTTGGGAGGCTGAGGTGGGAGGTTCGCTTGAGCCAAGGAGGTTGAGGATGCAGTGAGCTGAGATTGCACCACTGCACTCCAGCCTGGGCAACAGAGCAAGACCCTCTCTCAAAAACCAAAGCAAACCAAATCAAATTAAAACAAATAAAAACACTTGAAACTTAGCAGAGCCAACAAATGCACAGCATCTTGTATAGATTTTTAGCTTCCAGCACTAATAAGGCCATCCTGGAAGGGTGATCCTCCATGTTTTCTACATAATGGTTTCAATGTGCTCACTGGTTTGAGTACTGAGTAGGTTCTCATTTGCGTGACCTCTCCTGATTTTGAATTGTAATAATAAAATAATTGTGTCATATTTTCCACTGTGAAGTTCCCCATGTGGTTGAACATAAAAAGCATTATTGGAGATTTCCACTTGTAACCAGGGAAACTCAATTAGGTTTTACCTTTAATTTTTTATGTTGTTGTGGTTGGTATAATGAAAAGGTCGTCCAAGCCTTTGAAACAGAAGTGCTCGTCTTGGCTCTTTCTGTCTTTGTGGAATCCTTGCCCTGTCTGTGTCTAAGGAACGCTGCCATTTTGTGGATCAGAGCACGTAAAAAGCCAAATAAATAAGAAAAACTGTTTGAATGTCATGTTTCTCCCCAAGCAGTAACATTAATGTGTTTATATAATAAGCACATTTACCAAATTTGCTTATTGAGGCACCTCCTGCAGGTGTGACCCTGTGACAGTGTTGGATGCCCCAGGATCCCTCACAGGTCTTCTGATGGATGCATGAACTGGCAGGGCGAGGGAACCCAGTCCCAAGGGGACGTCCATGAACCTGGCAGGGCGAGGGAACCCAGTCCCAAGGGGACGTCCTTGACCAAGGGCAAACAGAGCCTGCAGATTAGCACTCCCCTCCCAGGCGCTCAGATGGGGCAGTGACTTGCATGCTCATGGCCCTGCACGGTGCCCTGGTCCATGAAACCCTGGTTCTTGCAGAAGAGACCAGCTCCATCACACACTCTTGCACTCTTGTTCTTCCTCTGCTGTTTTGCTCTTCCTCCTCCCTCAGGTCTGCAGTCCCCTGAATCCATGCTGTTCATTCTATCCAGGCTCCAGCACCCCTCCCTGCCTCCGTGGACCAGTTGCTGCCACAGCCCACACGTGGACTGACCACAAAGCCACAGGTCTCCAGTTAGAGAGGGGTCCTCAGAGAACATTCTCCTGATGTCCTCTGAGCAGTGCCTCTCTGTTTCACGGGCTCCTAACACCCCACGTGTCTCCTTTGTAGAACTCATCACAGTTCTGGAAATGCGCTCATGCTTCCTGCTCTATCCACGGCACAAGCACTCTGTCTTTCCCATCACGCAGTAGACAATCAATAATTACTGCCCAATACATGGACAGATGGGCTTTCAATTTGATTCCCTCCCTTCAATCATGCCCACTGTAGAATCATCCTCCATATTGCAGCGAGTCATCCATTCAAAACCCAGCCCTGCTCACAGGGCTCCCTTGCTGTCCCTCCTCAGGGCATCTTTACTAGCTGCAAAGGCCTCTCCCGGAGAAGCCTCACACCCGTCAGGGTCTCCTCCCCACCGTGCCCCCAGGAACCTCTGCATGCACTAGGCATCTTCATCCATCTACCTTGGCTCTTCCATCTCAGACTCTGGATGACCCTTGGTAGCTTTTACTTTCCTGGTTACCCTCAATCACTCGGCAGTAAATGCCTCTTTGCACCTTTAACGTGAAGATGCGCGTCCCACTCAGTGACTCCCTAACATCTTTAAAAATAATTCCATAGGTTATTGGGGAACAGGTGGTGTTTACTTACAGGAGTAAGTTCTTTAGTGGTGATTTGTGAGATTTTGGTGCACCCATTTCCCACAGTATACACTGAACCCAATTAGTAGTCTTTTATCTCTCACTCCCTTCCCACTCTTTCCCCGTAAGTCCCCAAGGCCCACTGTGTCACTCTTTTGGCTGTCTTATCACTGACCGCATTAGCTGGCAGTTATCAGTTTTTGTGTTAGTTTCCATAATAGACTCTGAGCTCTCCAAGGTGGATTCTTTGTTCCTTTTCCACACCTGCCTCCATCATCTAGCATGACACAGCAGGAGCTCTCCAGAGGCATCTTCTGGGTCAGGGTCTAATTTAGGTGAAGAGTGAACTGGACGGAATTAGAGTGTGGCCTCTAGAACAATAGTGCCAGGTCCTAGGCTATCAGCAAAGCTGGTGCTTGGCTGATTCCAGTGAGCTGGGGGAATTTTTCCAGCAACAGAAGGACCGTTTTTCCCAGATGGTAATTCTATTGCTCATCAGGGTTAAACACGTGCGATTCTGATTCTACATGTGCAGAAGGAGGTGCTGTGCACCTCTGGTGATACGTGGAAATCTAGCACACACTCAGTGGTGATTGCTGAGATTGGGTTCAGGGGCCATCCTGGAGCACCTGAATGCTTGGTGCATCTGCCATCTAAAAATGACAGGATTTCCCACCATGACATTGTGACATGTGTCTGCCTCTCTCACACTTTGGCATGGGACTGGACATGACTTATTATTTTCAATGAGACAAAATCGGTTGGAAAACAGGAATGAGGTGTTCTGTGTCTAGGTGGCTCTCGGGGAACTATTGCCATGGATGGAGCCTCTGGCACAGGACGTCCACCCTGCTGGATAAGCCTTATATTTGGTGGACACTGGCACAAGCAGGCAGTAAGGAGTCCAAAAGACAGTGACCAGACATAGCACAGGCTAAACAAAGGATGGTGGCCAGGAATCCAATGGCAGTGCTCACAGTTGCAAATGAGGAGTGGGGCTGCCCTGTGCCCTGGGTACCCTGCACAGTATAGCCATCGCGGGCATGGAGGGCTGTGGTCAGGAGCTTCGCCAGGGGAGGGCACGCTGGGCTCCGCGTGGAAAGGTGCAGGGGCGCAGGGAGCCCCTGTTTCTGGCTGAGGTTTCTGCTGGCTGCTGGAGCCGAGATTAAACACAGTGACAGTCACTTTCCACAACTCTGCGAAGGCAAAACCCCGTCTCTACTAAAAGTACAAAAATTAGCCAGTGGTGGTGGCAGGCACCTGTAATCCCAGCTACTTGGGAAGCTGAGGTGGGAGAATCGCTTGAACCTGGGAGGCAGAGTTTGCAGTGAGTCAAGATCACACCACTGCACTCCAGCCTGGGTGACAGAGCGAGACTCAGTCTCAAAAATAAAAATAAAAATAAAAATAAAAAAAAGATTTCGATGGTTCTATTTTTTTTATGGGAAGGAGATTCTGAAGATAAATAAGAGGTGACCCTGTTTCTGATAGGAAGTCGCCGGGGAAATGGTTGCCTGTGGGTTCTTGTTGCTGAACATGCTGGGCAGGTAGCATAGGGGAGAGGCTGTGACTGGGGACGTGATAAGAACAGACCCAAGAAGCAAAGTGAAAACCCAGCCGCAGGGTCAGCGCAGTACCCTCAGGTCAGTAACGTTACATCAGGGACTCCGTTGTTAAAACTCTACATGCGTTCACAAAACCCAAACTGCTGCATGAGAGGGGAAAGAGAGAAGCAATAGTGTAGTTTTTTTCTAAAAGGTTTGAGTCTGGATTATCCCATTAAAGATGACCTTGTTCTCTTTAACATTGCGCTATTTCCCTCCTAACTGAGGATTCACTACCCTCTTCCCAAGTTCTACAAACCTAAAAGGAATCATCACCCAGTTCCCCATAAACACTTAGACAGCCTCATTCTCCTGCTTCTCTTCCAACGCTTCCTTCTGCAGTACCTGTTCTTCCGGCTGGCCTTTCCTACTCGGAGGTCTTCATGTGGCTTCAGTATTTCTGTTATCTTATATCATGTGATCTTATGAAAATGTTTCTTTTTAATTTTTAAAATTTTTTTTATTTCAGTAGGTTTTGGGGAACAGGTTGTATGTGGTTACATGAGGAAGTTCTTTAGAGGTGATTTCAGAGATTTTGGTGCACCCACCCCCAAGCAGTGTACACTGTACCCGGTATGTAGTTTTCTATTCCTTGCTACCCTTTCCCGGGTCCCCAGTGTCCATTGTATCATTCTTACGTCTTTACAACCTCATCTCTTAGCCCCCACTTATGAGTGAGAACTTATGATATTTGGTTTTCCATTCCTGAGTTACTTCACTTAGAATAATGGTCTCCAATCTTTTTTAAAATTTTTTTTCCCTTCACATTGAAAGAAGACTGCTGAGACCCTCTATTGCTCCTTCAGAGTTCTGAAAACACTTCACTGAGTTTTCAGATTCCCAGTAGAACTAGTTCAGTTTACCATACTGTTCTCTGGGTTTCATATTTTAGTCTTCTATCCTCAATATACCACTCAGGAGCTCATGGGAAGGTCATGGCTAAGACTGGGAAGAAAGTGCCAAGATTGGGCCGGGTGTGGTGGCTCATGCCTGTAATCACAGCACTTTGGGAGGCCGAGGTGGGCAGATCATGAGGTCAGGAGATCGAGACCATCCTGGCTAACATGGTGAAACCCTATCTCTATTAAAAATACAAAAAATTAGCTGGGTGTGGTGGCGGGCGCCTGTAGTCCTATCTTCTCAGGAGGCTGAGGCAGGAGAATCCCTTGAACCTGGGAGGAGGAGGTTGCAGTGAGCCAAGATCGTGCCACTGCACTCCAGCCTGGGTGACAGAGCAAGACTCTGTCTCAAAAAATAAATAAATAAATAAATAAATAAATATATAAAAATAAAAAGGGCAGGACATGAACGATGACTCCATATAAGAGTTTGCAGGTCTTACCGTGTGTTTCTAACAATCTCCTCTTTCTTCTGCTCAAGCCTGAGCCACAGTATTTCAAGATTGTGACCTCTAAAACTCCAGTTTGAAAAACCAAATCAAACCAAGCCAAAACAGAAACCTGACCCTATTACCCGTTTTAGTTTTTCTCTATGGATAAAATAATACTGAACACAACATATTAATAAACACTAAAATTCTTGGTGTGATTTTTTTAAACCAGATATTGTGTGAGTGTTCCCTATAGATTATTTCAAATAATCCTGAAATGAACGCTTTGAGGTGCGAGTTATAACTAAATGGCAGCTGTATGTTTTACAGTACACCCAGAAAAATTATGGTACACTGGAAAGACCAAACAAGTCCATCCCTGACTCCACCGTGCCTTGAGTGTCCGACCCTGACTTAGTTACTCTGCCGTGAGGTTTGTTTCCCCAGGTGTAATGGAGACAGTAATTCCTACATCAGGATGAGTGTTAAAAGAATGACAAGCTAACGTGTGTAGGGCCTGGTGACCCCTTCTTGATTATAAAGTTTGTATTGACAGGACAATATATATTCGAAAGTAATGTTAAGGAAACTATTGAAATGATTAATACTCTGAGGCTTTTTTTGTCTGTAATGAGTAAGGAATTCAATATGTTAGGAAGGCAACGAGAAGGAAAAAATATCTACTTTCACTGTGAATGTGTTGGGAATCAGGACATGTAATTTTTTTTTTTTTTTTTTTTTTGAGATGGAGTCTCGCTCTGTCACCAGGCTGGAGTGCAGTGGCGCCATCTCGGCTCGCTGCAACTGCCACCTCCCAGGTTCAAGAAATTCTCCTGCCTCAGCCTCCCGAGTAGCTGGGATTACAGATGCGTACCACCATGGCCAGCTAAGTTTTGTATTTTTAGTAGAGACGGGGTTTCACCATGTTGGCCAGGATTGTCTCAATCTCTTGACCTCGTGATCCGCCCGCCTCAGCGTCCCAAACTGCTGGGATTATAGGTGTGAGCCATCATGCCCAGTCGTAATTTGTTGTTTTAGTTTGATATGTATGCATATATACACATAGTTGTGAGTGTGTGTATATATATATATATATATATATATATATAAATTATATTAACAGTAAACTACGTAAAGAAAGCTTATTCTGTAATAGAAAATCAGCTGTCATTTAGAACTGAGTTTTAGTCTAAAAAGATTCCTGCTGGGTTGGCTTAAAATTTAACAGAGAATCTCTAAGAAGCCATAAAATGTATCTGAACATTTAGGTTTTTAAAGATTTAATATTGTAAAATAAATTTTAAAATGAGAACTACAGTAGTAAGAACCTTCATACAACTAAAAACCCATGAGAATTACTTGAAAAACACAACTTGCTTTTAAACAAGTCAGGTCCAGGCAGCTGAGGGAGGTGGTGCCAGCTCAGGAGTGATGAGCAGACACGGGACCATGCCTGCACAAGCCCTTGATTAAGGTGACTGGGCCTCGGTAATGACCGTTTCTACCACGTGGGCCTGTTGTGGAGGATAAAGTGGAGGTGTTGGCTGAGACCCTGAGTGAGAAAGTGCTGATGCCACAGAGCCAGGAGAGAAAGGGGAGCCACCTCCTGCAGGATATGCAGAACCAAGTGGCTCAGACCTGGCAGCCGCTTCTCAGCACTGCCCTCAGCAAGCAAGATGCCCAGAGCTGGAGAGGGGATGAAGAAAGCAGGCTTTTTGGATCATTGTTTTTAAAGTACTGAGTATACATAAATACTTAGAGACTGTGAGTGAGGATGGATGAATACAACCGCATGGGACCACACACGGTTTAAGGCACTTCCTGTTGACGTCCTCTGGCGTTTTCTCCCCATTCCTACATAACCAAAACCCTCAATTATCTTTCTTTGCTTTTTCTTTGTGTCATACATGCATATTCTTTTCAACTCAAGACGAGACAAAGCTAGTTATGAGCCTAACTGGAGTTTGATTCTTTTTCTGTATAGGTTGCATTCAGTGAGTACCCTGCAATGCTTGTTTGTTTTACCCTTTCTGTACCTGTCCTCCCCATCTTTTCCTATGACACAGTTTTGCTGCTGTGAACTTTTCCGTACCTCCCTCCTGGAGCCCATCGGCAAGAATTCTGTGTTTGGCACCTAAAAGTAGAATTTCTGAGCCACAGGCTGTTAACATCTGCAACCTTGCTACATTAACCCAATTAATGACATTAACCCAATTAATGATATTAACCCAATTAATGACATTAACCCAATTAATGTTCATCCTGATTTTACACGTTTACATTCCTGCCAGGGATGAACTCTGGGTGTCCATATTTTAATGTTGCTTTCATGCCTGCTAACCCAACATCCGTTCTGCAGCCCATGGATCAAGGAGTAATTTCGACTTTTGAGTATTACTATTTAAGAAATACAGGAAATGTGGTATATATAATCGTAGAGTACTACTCAGCCACACAAAGAATAAAATTCTGTCATTTTCTGCATCATGGATGAAACTGGAGGACACTATGTTAAATGAAATAAGCTAGAAAAGAAGGTTAAAACACTGCATGTGCTCACTCCTATGTGGAAGCTAAAAATGTTTATCTCATAGAAGTAAAAAGTAGAACAGAGGGAACTAGAGGCTGGGAAGGGCAGGAAGAATGGAGGGACAGGGAGAAATTTGCTGAAGGATGCAAGATTACAGCTTGAGAGGAAGAATAAGTTCTGGGGTCTGATACTACTTTAGGATGACTACAGTCATCAGTAACATGTTACACAGTTTCAAAGAGCTAGAGGGGGATATTAAACTTTTCCAACATGAAGAACTGATACATGTCTCAGATGATGGATATGCAATGACCCCGATCTGATACCATATATTATATGTATCAAAACATCACTTATGTGCTCCATTAATATGTAAAATTTTTATTTGTTAAAAAATACGCAAATACATAAAAAACTTTAAAAAGGAATGCACACGCACAAAAAGAAAGACATTTCATTAGACTGCCATAAATAGTGATTCATCTGATGGGTCTGGGCAAGGTAAGTTGGAAACCAGGAAAGGATTCATCATTTTAGACGCCAGTAGGAACATTTGTGAGTCACGGGAGGGGATCAAAATATCAACATTCATAGGAGTTTTTAAAAGTTTATTTGAGTTCTCCTGGATGACTTTGCAGGGTTCAAGCCTTCAGTGGAGGAAGTGACTGCAGGTGTGGAAATCACGAGAGAACTTGAAGGAGAAGTGGGGCCTGAAGATGGGGCTGAATTGCTGCAATCTCATGATAAATTTGAAAGGATGAGAAATCGCTTCTTGCAGATGAGCTAAGAAATGGTTTATTAAGTGGAATCTACTCCTGGTGAAGATGCCGTGAACATTGTTGAAATGACATCAAAAGATTTAAAATATTAGGTAAACTTAATTGATAAAGTGGCGGAGAACTTTGAGAGATGAACTCCAATTTTGAAAGGAGTTCTACTGTGGGTAAAATGCTGTCAAACAGCATTGCATGCCACGAGGAAATCTTTCACAAAAGGAACAGTCAATTAATGCAGCAAACTTCATTGTTGCCTTATTTTAATAAATGGCCACCCCAACCTTCAGCAGCTACCACCCTGATCAGTCAGCAGCCATCAACGCTGAAGCATCTCCACCACAAAAAGATTATGGCTTGCTGAATGCCCAGATGAATGCCAGCATTTTTAGCAATACAGTATTTAATGAGGGTATGTACCTTGTTTTTTAGACACAGTGGTGTTGCACGCTTTACAGGATACAGTATAACAAAAACACAACTTTAAAATGCATTGGGAAACAAAAACATTGTGTGACTGGCTTTATTGTGATGTTTGTAGAGTCTGGAACTGAACCCACAACATCTCCCAGGTCAGCCTGCATGCCGTTCCTCATGTTCAAATCTACTTGTGTATCTTCCAGATTTTTATCGACTTCTATTTATTTGTTTTTGCTTCACCTTTCCTGTTAAGAGGACTCCAAGGCATTTTCTTATCTGCTTAGTTGCTATTCTCGCTAGTAGTATCTTTTCTTCCCTTGCACCTTCTAGCTGGTTGCTATAGCTCTGGTTGTTGATGTTTTAACCATTACAGAGGGACTACTGATTTCTGCACTTCAGTTTGTCCTGCGACCTTACTGACTTTTTATCCTTTGTAGTAGTTTTTCAGTGGATTCTGTTGGATTATATATGTCTAAATATAATCTGCAAAAAAGTTAAAATAAATAAATATATTTTACTCCTTTTTATTAGTTTTTGGACATCCAATTTCTTTTGTGTCTAGTTGCTTTAGCAAACATTTGCAGTGGATACTAGTAGTGAAAGCGGCGATTCTTGTCTTTTTCCTTAGTTGAGTAAAAATATTTTCTTTGATTCCCAGTAAGTGGAATCCAATACCTTCTTTGATATTTAATTTTTTTAAATCAAGGATAGACGTGTTTTGTCAAAAGAGCTTTCAATATCCATAGAGATGGTCATATAACTTTTTGTTCTTAGACCTGCTAATATGGATTATAGAACAGATTTCCTGATGTCCCTTTGCATCTCTGGAATACACTCTCTCTGGTCATGACATGTTTTTCTGTAGTGTACCATTGGATTCTGTTTGCTAACCTTACAGAAGGTCCCTTGGGCACCTATATGGTCAGAGACACATGGGGGTGCAGCCATGCCTCATCTGTCTCTGAGGACCCAACTAGACTCAGGCCCCTGAAGAGTCTCTGATTTTTAGAAGGTGCATTGTTACATTGCTTTCTGACATCTGCCAGATCTCCCCCTTCAGGCATCCCCTACCTCCCCTACCCTGCAGACCTTGTGCCCGTCTAAGCTGATGCTGTCTTCATTGGGTCCTTCTCGGGTGGCTCTCTCCTGGCTGTGCTTGCTCTTGACAATGTCAGAAATCCCTGCACCCCTTTTCTCACCTGTTAGAACGTCCTGGGCTCCCATGAGGGCTTATGAAAACGTTCTTGGTCTTTGTTGTTTTTGGCAGCCCTTACAGGCAATTGAGAGTTCACAGATTTATTTCGTGATAATTGGGTTGGTGGGGAATTTTTTCCTGTCTTTCTTCTTGTAGCTTGCATGGTTAGAGGAGAAGTGAGTGGATTCAGAATGATGCTTTCTGCATGTTTCTAGTGGAAACCTGTGATTGAGAAAGCACGTTCGGGGGGCGAGCTCTGTGCCCCGTGCCCCTGTTCAGGGGCTGTTTCTAGTGGAAACTGTGACTGAGAAAGCGCTTTTGGGGGGCGAGCTCTGGGCTGAGTGCCCCTGTTCAAGGGCTGGAGGAGGCTCCTGCTTCCTCCCTCAAGGATGCTCTTCAAGTGTGGGGAGCTCCCAGGGGAGAGCCCAGGGGCTTCCTCTTTCCCCACAGGTCAGAGAGGGCTTTGGGGGAGACAAGTGGAGCTTGGTAGGGGTCCCTTTGGGCAGTGGGGCACAGGTTGACTGGGCTTGCCTCCTTTTAGGTGAGATAGATCCACACACACACACACTTCTGCCTCACATGCACAGCTGTCTTCTGGATTAAAATTCTTCTATCACTTGCCACTTACTCTTTTGCATTAGCCCCCAAGTTACCGAATCCAATCTACTCAGCTCCCTGACACTTTTCTGGACTCCTGTCTCCTAGGTCGTGCCATCCTATAAAATCCGTTCATTCTATTACTCTGATTTTGTAAAAGAAGCAACTCTGCACATCCGTGACTCAAATATCTACTTTCTATAATTTGAAAGGGGTTGGGATTTTTCCCTGGCTATGTAAGTATGTAAGTTGTGTTTTTCTTTCAGATGGCTGAGAATTGAGTTCAATTCATTCCCATAGTTTATCATTCCCACAGATTTTATGGTCCAGCGTAGACAGCATGCATGCCAGAGATATGATGGAGTGTGGTCTAAATGTAAAAGGCCATGCTCAAGCAGTTCCCTGCCAGAGCCTTAACTCACCCCTCCAGCTCTTTATTCTAGCTGTCCTTGTGATGAAAACCATTTTCAAGTGAATCTGTCATTACCCACATGTCACTCAATAGGGCTCAGTGCATTGTCTTCATCGCAGGCCTCACTGGAGTGGAGGGAACCGTTCCACCTTCTCCTCACTATTCAGTGCAGCCATTGTCTGTCCAGTCTTCATGTTAGGGTAATAACGACTCCAACTGCGTCATGAATAGAACTTAAGGAAAATAGGGATGGACAAGAGAAGACGGTATTTCTTTTTCTTTTCTTTTCCTTTTTTTTTTTTTTTTGGCAGCACGAAGAGGTAATTATATGTAATTTGAAGTAAAATTTCCATTCACTGTTACTTTCCCAACCTAACATGGTCCTCCCAGCAATATGACAAGAAGGGCCACAAAGTACTCGTTTGGGAAACTGCATTGTTTCTCGCAAGATCAACATACTTCTATTCATTTTTCCAGAAAATTTACTGATTTCTTGTTTTGTAGACACAGGGTTACTCACTTCTTTAATGCAGTTATTCACATCATCCTAGTTTTATTTCAGTTTACATTCAATATGATAAGGGAACCTCCGTATTACAAGTCACTCACATCCCCTGTTGTAGAAAGAATGAGCACGTTCATGTCTCCTGAGCGTTGAAGCCGCCCCAGACATCAATTTTGATTAGTCAGAGAAAGTGTACAGAAATCCTGAATATATGATCATAAACAGCAATTGTTTCTAGGAATTTACATGTTGACCTTTCAGATAATACATCTTTTATTCATGTGACATTTTGAAACTTTTTGGAAATATGGATGAACATTGTTTACATCATAAGGTACACATCTGTATTAAAACACGTAATTCATATGTGTAATAATTCGGGAAGAAAGTTGCATTTAAACCTTCACAGCAACAACAACAGCAAAATGCTATTCCGTAACCTTGAACTATACTTTGCTGTGACAGCTGGAAAACGGGAATTGTGCAACCATTTGCTGGTATGAGGTTTGTTCACCTTATGATTTGATATTTCTGCAAAGGCCCTGTGAGGTTCTCTAGCACAAGACTCTAGTTGAGTGGGGAATGTTGTGTCCGGCGTTGTTGGAAGCTCATCCATTCTCTGACTGAACACCTCCAGCCTTGGTGCCATTGTTTCTCCAGTGATTTTGGGTGTCTGAAGTGAGTTATCAGAAAGAATCCTCAGGAACGTTCCATGGGAACACAATTCTCTGAGTTCTTGCTTGTTGATATTCCTTTCTTCTTGAAAGACAATTCAGCTGTACATGAAACTGTCTCACATTTTCTTTTCTCGAGGGTTTTTTTTTTTTTTTGGCAGAGTGTTGCCCAGGCTGGAGTGCAATGGCGCAATCTCGGCTCACTGCAACCTCTGTCTCCCAGGTTCAAGAGATTCTCCTTGCTCAGCCTCCTGAGTAACTGGGATTACAGGCATGTGCCACCACGCCCAGCTAAATTTTGTATTTTTAGTAGAGACGGGGTTTAACCATGTTGGGCAGGCTGGTCTCAAACTCCTGAACTCATGTGATCCACCCACCTTGGCCTCCCAAAGTGCTGGGATTACAGGCGTGAGCCACCTTGCCTGGCCTTGAGTATCTTAAATATGTAACTCCACTGTCTTTGACATAAAGCATCACTTTTGAAAGTCTAATGTCAACACGATGATTTTCTTTCCTATATAAGTCACTTCATATTGTTGGTGTTAGTAATAGTATTGTTTTTGTGAAACTTTTGTAGGCATATTGTGGAATAAAGAGCATGCATTAATTTGTTGGTTAATGATCTTGACAAAAATGTATCAGTCTTTTCCAGATAGTTACCCCCGCTTCTGACATTTGATATGATAATTATTTAGATACAGTGTGGTCATGAATTTATAAAATATATTTAAATAACTACTATCTGATTGAAAAAATATTTTGTGGAAGCATTTTACTAAGAATTTCTTTTTTGGAAGTGTTTCGTTTATATAATTTAAAATATACCTTCTCTATGGGATACTAATTCAAATAGCACTTAGGAATACATTTTTAAAATGAAACAAAATAAAACAATTTTTTATCAATGCATTGCAAGAATGCAATTTTAAATTACTAAACCTCACATTTTTACATGAAAAAATATGCTGTGAAGGAGGTTGTCTTTCCTCAAATTAAAGAAATATTTTATTAGAAAAGACATTTTCTTTAAGAAGTCAGTGCGTAATTCTTTTTGATAAATACACATATCAAAGTGAAGATAATCTATAGAGTCATTTTCATGATATCTAATGGTTTCCTGGATAAAATACTAGATGTCACAATTATATATTTGATTCATGGTATTACCAACCAAAATGTAGACATTACAATGTCTACCTAGTAAGTAAAATGTGTATTTTTCTTCCTTTATAATTAATGTGCTGAGGTGCAGAATGACCTCACCATAGTATTGGAAATGATGACTTATTTTCACAACCGAGGGCGATATAACAGAGGAACTCGGTCCCTGACAAGAGCCAGAAGCCCTGGATTTGAATCAAAGTTTTTTTCAAATAGCAGGACAAGTTATTTATTCTCTCTGTGCTTCACTTTTCTCATCTGCAAAATGGGGATAATAATGGTACGTAGGTCATAGGATCATTATATTAATATATGACAGTATTTGGAATGGTGGCTAGTGTGAAGTAAGCCCTGTATAAATATTTTCTTTGCTAATTGTGATGGCAATAGTGGTGATGATGTTGGTGATGATGATGATAATGGTGATGATGGCAATAGTGATGATGACAGTGATGATAAGAGTCATGGTAATGGTGATGATGGTGATGGTGATGATGATGGTGATGATAAGAATCATGGTAATGGTGGTGATGATGATAATGATGATGATGATAGTGATGATGATGGTAATGATGATGACGGTAATGATGATGGTGGCGAATATGTCTCCTTTCAGGATTTTATCTATTTCTAGGTAGTGCCTACTCAAATTGCTACTGTAGGTTTCACAGTACCTCATGCCAACAAATTAAAAAGTTTATTTATTTATTTATCTTTGGTTAGAAAGGTTTTTGGTGTATATTAACTGAATTTGTCTAATTAAAGTTCAAATGTATTTTCTTAAAGTAAAATAAGGATATTAGAATGTAAAGATCCCCTATTTTCCTCAATTAAAATTGAAAATAAATATTAAGCCTTATTTTAATAAATTAGATTTCTTTGTTCACTAACTTTATCATGACTTCAACAAACTGTCGATGAAATGCTTGGACCTTTTGATTTGTCCTACACTATGTTTTTTAAAATAACCAGTTAGTCATTTCATTTTAGGATAAAAATTCATCATATAAGGTGCTTTCTCATACAAAATTATTTTTTCTTTTTTGAGACTGAGTTTCACTCTTGTTCCCCAGGCTGGAGAGCAATGGCATAATTTTGGCTGACTGCAACCTCCACTTCCCGGGTTCAAGCAATTCTCCTGCCTCAGCCTCCCGAATAGCTGGGATTACAGGCACTTGCCACCATGCCCAGCTAATTTTTGTATTTTTAGTAGAGAAGGGGTTTCACTATATTGGCCAGGCTGGTCTTGAACTCCTGACCTCAAGTGATCCGCCCACCTCGACCTCCCAAAGTGCTAGGATTACAGGCATGAGCCACCATGCCAAGCCCCAAATTATTTTTTTTTATAATCTTCCTTACCAAAAATACATCTTTATATATCTAACCTTTTTACCTCCCTCTCTCCTACTTACTCTTTTTATACCTTGTTTTATAAATAACTTTTAAATAATCTCCAAATTACATAAAATTATCATTTATTTTTCCAATAAGAATACAACGTACAGAATTTTATTTTCATTAGAATTCTTATTCTTAGTAAACTTAAATTTTAGTGAAAACCTAGGAAGCAAGAAATCCTGAACTGCTTTTCAGATGTTAGCATTTCATAGATGAAGTAATTCTGCAATTTTTAGAAACGTGTTTTTTCATATCATAATCCCTTCTTAACTGGGAATAACCCATACATCTAATGAGCTTTTATTAATTATTTAATTCAAAATAATTTAAAGATATTAAATTACACAAAATGTTTACCTACAAGCATTTATCCTATTTATATATAATTAGTTCTTTCATTTTTTAACAGTTTATATGACTTCTTGAAAACTTAGATATTAGACAAAGCTGGTCATTATTTCAAGTTAATTCTTTTATTAACCATTTTTATAGCCAGTGAATATCACGTGTTCATCTAAGGGAGAAATTTAAAGTTAAATACATGGGTGTTTTTACCACTAACCTAGAAGATTTAGCTGTTTTTATTGAATCGACAACACTAAATTAGTCTTATGTGTCAAAAAAAATTACATAAAGATTATGTTTGAATAGGATTATATTATTACAAACTTCGTGCCAAACCCTGACATCTTAAAATATCCAACAGAGGTAAATATAAAATAATTAGTAGACCCAGGCAAAAATGTTAACAATTTTGAAGACATTCAAAATGTTTTTGATTTTTTTTTTTTTTTGAGATGGAGTTTCGCTCTTGTTGCCCAGGGTGGAGTGCAATGGCACGATCTCAGCTCACCACAACCTCCGCCTCCCAGGTTCAAGTGATTCTCCTGCCTCTCAAGTAGCTGGGATTACAGGCATGCACCACCACGCCCAGCTAATTTTGTATTTTTAGTAGAGACAGGGTTTCTCCATGTTGGTCAGGCTGGTCTCGAACTCCTGTCCTCAGGTGATCTGCCCACCTCGGCCTCCCAAAGTGTTGAGATTACAGGCATGAGCCACTGCACCTGGCCTTGATTTTATCAATAATTTCAAAACAATTTTTATTTGTCAAAGAGTACTAAATTTGTGTGAACTTGAAGAGCATGTGGACTTAATTTATGAGTACTCATTACTTATAAACCATTTGGTAGTATGCTAGACATAACAGACATAACATACAGCATAATACACATGCGCGCACACACACACACACACACACAGACACACAAATATCCAATAGCTTTTACCTTGGAATTTTAGCCATGAGACAGCAATACTAACTCACCGTTTTATAAAAGATAGTGACATATATGTATATGTACATAACTACCTCAAACTTCATTGAGAGAGAGAATAAACTGCCTTATTACTTATATTTACAAGATAATATATGCCTATATTCTTTATAATGTTGTCATCTTTAAGAACAATATTTAAATTTGATTTTTAGTCTGTTTTTAGGATCTAAGCAAACTAGGGTTGATCTGAGTTTTATAGTAAATAGAAAATAGTAACGTCTACAATCCCTTAGGAGGTTTACGTAAGGTTAAAGTATTTATACTGATAATAGTTAAATTTAAAACTAACTGATCTCTGCATAAAGCTTGCCGTGGACAGGGTTATGATGAAGACACAGTGTGGGTTTAACATGTTGCTTGGTTTTCTTTTTTTATTCCACGTTCAGATGCTCTCACATCAACACTGCAATGTCCCCTGTGAGGAGGCCTGGAGCCAAGCTCACTCCTTCCGGGCTTCTTTGTCTGCTAATGTGGAAATGGGCCTAATGATTCAAGAATGCACATCTGTAGACAAATGAGGAACTTTTTTGGAAATGCCTTAAACTCATAGAGACATATTACCAGTAGAATGCTAACCAGCACAGCAGCCCAGCAGGGTAGGCAAGATTGCTGGTACACTTAAGTCAAATGATATGCTAATATAAAATGACTGATATATATTTTATTCTAATCTGACTTTATGTAATTAAGTTTACTTCTGGTATGTATACATCAATGCACGGCTGAATTTTCAGAATATTATTACTTTTACATGTAAGTTCTGCTATGGTTACAGCAGAAATTTGATGTTTCCTTTCTATATTTTATTACTTTTCACACGTATACGTTTTTTTTAGACACAAGCTTCTGACATGCCATTGCAGATATTATGCAAGGAATATATAAACTAGAACAGCAGCTGGGAACACGGCCCGGAAAAGATTCCTGCTCTGAAGAATGTTGCTTTCCCTTCAGATTGCTAGCACCCCAGGAAACCACTTGTCTTGATGTATATTCAAAATAATTGCAAATGTGTAAACCCTTTAATCAATGTATAAGGAATAGAAAAGTGTGCTTGTCTAAAACATGTTTGTCAGCTGTAGCCGGCTTCATCTCCTGACTGACATCTGAAAAATGAACTTTAAGTTTAATGGAGGTTCTAAATGTCTCTGAATATGAAGTCTTTATAACAGAAATATTCAGATGATCACATTTTCCTTTTTTTTTTTGTATGGACATTGTGGTGGCACATATCTCAGATCTTTTAAATTCTCAGCTTTTCTCAGCTGGCTGATCTATAAAATGCAGAAGTTGATGTTAAATTCTTGAATAGCTACCATGTTTAACATTCTATCTTTGGCCCTGTATTTAAGGCCCCGTATTGCAGGCATAGCCAAGAACAGAAGGGTGTGGGAGCTTTTCTGCAATAAGCTTGTAGTGTGTTCGGGAGGTGAGGCATAAACTTTGGAAACATTAAGGAGTCCCATAAAAGCATATGCAGTGATGACAAAGACTTTGTCTATGAAATTCAAACTGTGATCTCAAACAGAGACTGAAAATGTCCTGCACTTGTCTCTTGACGATCCAAGGAACATCCTTTCCTAGTGTCACCTGGCAGAGAACCCAGGGGTCTTGCTGGATGATGAAGAATCAGGCTGGTGCAGGCACATCAGAGACCAGAAGATTCCCAGGCCTGGAGTGGAAACTCTCTAGATGTCTGATCAAAAGGACAGTACCACCTGTAATCCCAGCACTTTGGGAGGCCGAGGTGGGCGGATCACTTGAGGTCAGGAATTCAATATGGTGAAACCCTGTCTCTACTAAAAATACAAAAAATAGCCAGGTGTGTAATGTCTACAATCCCTTAGGAGGTTCACGTAAGGTTAAAGTATTTATGTTGATAATAGTTAAATTTAAAAATAATTGGTCTTGTGTAGCGCTTGCTGTGGACCAGGTTATGATGAAGAAAAAGTGTAGTTTTAACCACCCATGTTTCTTGCTTTTTGTTTTTTATTCCACCTTCAGATGCTCTCATATCAACACTGCCAGGTTCCCTGTGAGAAGGCCTAGAGCCAGGCTCACTCCTTCTAGGCTTCTTTCTCTGCTAATATGTCTTCAACTCGAATCCATCACTACATGGGTTCTTCCTGCCATGTCGCCTTCCTTTTCTGTGACCTTCTCCCCAACAGTGAGAAACTTGGCACCAGCAGCCACCATCCATTCACGTCACTGTTCAATTTCAGTACATGCATAGCAGACTCAGAATTGTTACCCTGTACCCTGATGGGGAACAGCCTGTCAACTAGGGCACAGTACATATGTGCAGCACATTTTGATTTTAGTCTTGCAGACTCTGCTCATTCCCAAAGTTCCTTAGGTCAGCACCTTTCCCCTTTCTCCTTCAGTGAGGTTTCAAACATTTTCATACAATTGATAAAATTTGATACAATTAGACTCTTCCACCAACACCAAGCTGTCACGATTACTTTATACCTATCTGATTCTCATATTTAATGTGTATTCTTGTAAACAACATATAGTTGAGTCTTATTTTCTATTCATTCCTTCCCTAAATGTTCTTCTTCATGCAGATGCAAGTTTCTGACTAATAATATTTTCCTGTCCAAAGAACTACTGTCATTTTTTGGTGTGCAGGACTACTGGAGATGATTTCTGTTTTTGTGTATTTGAGGTCAGAGAAAGTCTTTTTTGTGCTTCATTTTAAAGGATAACTTTACTCCATATAGAATTTTAAGTTGGTATTTCTTTTACTTTCAACTGTTTAAATATTTCACTCTATTTTCCACCTGAATAATTTAGTGTTGATGAGAAGTCCACAGAAATTCTTATCCTGCTTCCTCTGTAGTTAAGATTTCCCCTCCTCTGTTTTAACAAGGTTTTCTTATCATCTTTAGTTTACTGTGGTTTGAATATGATAGGTCTGTGTGTGGATTCTTTTTTGTTTTTAATATGTGTATTGCTCCACATTCTCTAACACTGTGAGTCTATGGTTTGGTATGTGTTATTAATTTTGGAAAGACTTTGGCTATTATTAATTCAAGTATATCTTTGCTTGGTTCTTTCTCACCCTTCTAGTATTCCAATTTGTTGTATGCTGTACTTTAGAGTCCTTGGGCATTCTGTTCTGTATGTTTCATTATTTTCTTCTACATGTTTCAGTTTACGAAGTGTCTGTTGACCTATGTGCAGTCTCAATGATTTATTTATTCATTTATTTATTTATTTTTGACAAGAGTCTCATCTCTGTCACCCAGGCTGGAGTGCAGGGGCACAATCTTGGCTCACTGCAACCTCTACCTCCCAGGTTCAAGCGATTCTCCTGTCTCAGCCTCCCGAGTAGCTGGGATTACAGGCATGTGTCACCACACCCAGCTAATTTTTGTATTTTTAGTAGAGATGGAGTTTCACCATGTTGGTCAGTCTTGTTCCAAACTCCTGATCTCAGGTATCTGCCCACCTCGGCCTCCGAAAGTGCTAGGATTACAGACGTGAGCCACCACCCTCAGCCTCATTGATGTATAACTCTGCTGTGTTGAGTCTACTTGTGAGCCTATCAAAGGTTTTCTTCATTTCTCTCACTATGTTTGACTGATCATGCTTTATCTTGATTCTGAGAGTTTTAATCTCTCTGCTCACAGTATCTGTTCCCAGCTCTTTTCTGCTTTTTCCATTAACATTAACATGTTAAGAGCCCTAATGGAAAAAGCAGAAAAGATAATTGTATGATAATTCCAATGTGTGTATCATATCTGTGTCTGTTCCTGATAATTACTCATCTCTAGCCTTTTGGCACATCTTGTAATTTTTTTTGAAAGCCAGACATTGTATCACATCACAGGAACTGAAGGACATACACTTTTAGTGAGAGGATTTATGCTCGTCTGGCTAGAGCTGGGCTGTTTCTAACGTGAGCTACAGCTGTAGTTCCTGGAGACTTTAAAATCCTCCATTGTCCTTGTCTTTGCCTCCTCTCTTGACTTTGGGCTTCCCTAGTTTCTGTTCTTCACACAGCGCCTTGGAGCTCCTTCAACTGGAATCCACTGTTAAGGCGAGCCCAGCTGGTGTGGAGATAAGGTGTGGGGGAAGGGAGCATCCCATATCCTCTGGATTAAATTTCAGCATTTTCTTGGCCTGTTTCTTGAAGCTGAGACTTTCACAGTGTTCACCGTGGTGCAGCCTTTCCTCCTCCTGTTCCGTACTCACTTTCTTGGCTGCAGTGCTCCCCAGTCTATTTCCTTAAGGCCCTCACTGTGTTGGCTTTGTTTTATATACTGTGTTGGCTTTGTTTTATATACATATACGCATATGTGTTTGTGTGTGTGTGTCTGTGTGTGTGTGTGTGCATATAGGTGAGACAAGAAGACTAGAGGTTCCAGAGTGGGAGGGCTGTTCTTCCCACCTGGTATAAAGCTCTGACAGAGTTTTTCCTCCTGTAGAGTAGGCTTTTGCTATAAAGAGGGTTCTGGGTGAATTTCAACGTGATCACTCTTCCTCTCTCTCTGCTGAAGCCATGAGGAATCATTCATGGATCTCTATTGTGAGAACTGTTAGGATATCTGGGTGGAAAGTGACAGCAGTAGGTGTCTGGTTCTGCAGGCCCCCGATATTGGGATGCACAGTCAGCCCCAGCAATTCATCAGAGTGACCATTGACATGTCCCTACCAGTTCATATCTCCAGTGTCTTCTGCTCTAGGTGAGCAGATCCTGGCGACTTTCTGGACACAACTGTCTCCAAGATGTCAAGGTGGTACGTGGTCCTGTAATCTAAGTCTCTGATGGCTCTAAGAAAATTCATTGATTTTTTTTCAGTTTGTTTCTTTTCTTATTGTAAGGTTGGGAGTGACAACTTATAAGCCCTTTATATGTCAGAGCCTCACAATCCTGTTTCCAGGGTCATGCTTAGATTTTGCTTTTAGGCTTATGCTAACCTCATAAAAGGAATTAAAAATGCTACAATTTTTTTTTCTAAAAGACAAAGATAATTTTGCTTTTGAAGTTAATGTTTAAATTTTTATTTAAATTGGGGTTATGAAATAAAAATATTACTAAATAATTAAAAATACTAAAGCTTTATTTCTTTTAATAAGATATTCTGATTTGATAATATGACTTCTAAAATAATTTTAAAAACTATATTTGATTGAGGCTTTTTTAGCTTTCCCTGGAATCTAGTTTGTTGTTCTAAGTATATTTTTGATAAATTTTTAAATATTTGGGCTGAAATTTTATATCAAATTACCACACAGACTGTAGGAAAAACTCTAGGGTAATTTTGATAATTGATGCAGAGGAATGAAGTTTAACTTCCTGGCAGAGCATCTTTCTGTTCATTTCATTTCACTTTAATCCAATTAAAAATATACATACTAGTCTCCACCCTTGAACATTAATGGATTGACTCATTTTTTCAGGTACCTGTCGTACTGGGCACTGGGAACTGGAGATACAAAACTAATTAGGATTGTTTGTCTGATCTAAATAAGGAATAATCTTCTAGACAGATAGAGGAGGGAGAAAGAGAGGTAGACAGAGAGAGAAAGAGAGAGAGACACAGGGAGAGGCTGACCAAAAGAGAGAGAACATGAGGCTTAGAGCAGGAGAGTAGTCTGGTAGATGCTGTAACTCAGCACAGGCTTGTTTGAAGAGAAGTCAAGACAGATTTTAGCATGAGAAACTCTTGACAGCATCCAGGGACAGCATCAGTGCAGTGATTTTTCTAGATGCAACTTAAGAGACGAGCAAGACTTTCATGTTTGTACAAGAGGGAGAGAGACATCATGGGCAGATGAACCAATTTCTACAGAGACCAGTAGGCATGAAGCAGCATGATAAACCCAGTGAGTGTAAGTCTAGCGTGAGGCTGGAATTAAGATTCATAGAAGTCAACTATGAGGGGTGTGAGATTGGAGGAGACAGACAGGGATTGTGTTACAAAAAGATTTGTATGCCATGAAAAGTAATTTGAGTTCCATCTTGTAGGCAACAGATCGTGGATGTGTCTTAAGTTACAGAAGATTCTAACCAGACTTTCATAGAAGAAGGATTCTTCCTGTTGTGGTGGCATCGATGGATAGTTCTTTTCCAGGAGTTCACTAGAGAGATATTAGAATGTTTGACAATGTGCTGATTCATACAAATATGGTTAGGGCATTTCCAAATTTTCTGAGAAGTTCTAAAGTGTTGACAAATAAATTAGACCACTAAAGAAGTCTGCAATAAATGCTAATGCAATAGTAGAAAAAGAAATGTTCTATGAGCAAGGAATTGGGAAGAAATTTATTCAGTTGCAAAATAGAAGGGGTTCATGCAGAAACGTATCTTAATGTAAGTTAAACAAAGCTCCCTTTTTAGACAAGAAATATTCGTTATTGCTTATGATTCTGAGCAGATATTCTGCTGGTTTCTTGTGGGACATTCGTGCAGCTGTGTTCAGGGGTGGTGACTGCAAGCCAGGCTCTGTGAGTTTTGGTTGCCTCATTGAGCTCTCCCCTCCATGAGCTCAGGTATCCTACACCAGGAACAATGAGGTCGGATGCCTTGGGGATGCGTGGAGGGACGGGGTAGTGGTCCCTTGCCTAGTTTACCTTTCTACAGTTGACTTTTAGAACAAACTTAATGTTTCACAGTCTAAAAGTGAATAAATACATAAAATCCACAAGTATGGAAAAGATAACTACAAAAAGAAAGAAAAACAGAATAAAATGAGTGAACTTAACGTTTTTCAAATGAGTGGCCTCAGCACACTGAAGGGTGAGGAGAGGAGAGTGAGTCTAAGTGGCTCTGGGATGCACTGTTTGTGAGCACCGTGCTTTGGCTCTGTAAATACGGAGGTGTGGTTTAGAAATGATGCAACTACTCTCTGCAGCTTTTCATAAGAAAATAAATAAATAGATTGTGGTACCGGGAATAATGTGAGTGGGGCAAGCCTAGAAGAAACCTTCTGGTGTTGGATTGGGATCAGAGAGATCAGTGTGAACTCATGATTTTTAACACACATGTATAGAATTTAAAAAATAGATAGATATAGATGATAAATGGAAATGGACATAGATATAGATATAGAAGTGTGTGTATCTATATCTGCATTTATGCATATACATTTCCTATCTTTGCCCTGTATATACATACATTTCAAGCAGCAACAAGCATGCCTAGCACTCAGTTCTGGCTGTAAATATTGTTCTTCAGTAAAGGTAACCTGGGTTCATTAGAGATGTGGCTGATGCTTGTGCTGGGGTAAGAAAGGCTCCAGCTGCCCCATTACCAGATGGTTAGCAAGGGCTCTTGAGATGCAGGGGTCCCACTGGCCAAGTCTGGGACAATTTGAGTGACAAAATGATTGATGGCAATGGGCTATGTACCCCTGAATAGAATAAGAATCTACAAATGCATACTAGGTATGTACAAATAGATAACGAATAAATGGAAGAGAAGGGAAACCTCTTCCATATGGTAGGAATCTAGCTAATAAAGATAAAGGGAAGATGGAATTACAATCTCACCATTTGGTAACGACTTTAGTTGGAGAAGAATCACCAATGGTCATTAAAATTATGCAGAAATAGTCAGAAAAATAAGATATCTATATATTTGTTAGTTACAGAATACCTAAATATTTATTAGTTGCTAAAGGAAAAATAGGAACTTTATAGCAGGTTCCATCTTACTGTAGTAATCACGTGATCAAGTTAATATCACAGTGATGGGACGAGCTGACCTCCTGTGCTCTCAGACACAAGGAACATACTGACAAGAACACATCACATTGCCTCTGTGCATCTCCTCCAATATTTCATAACCTAGATCTGATCAGGAGGAAGCATCCAGTGAACCCAAATGGAAGTTATTCTTCAAAACAACTGTTCTCCACTCTTTAGTGTCAAGATTGTGAAACACAAAGAAAGATGGAGGAATTGTCCCTGATTACAGGGGACTAAGAAGATGCCCAAGTAAATGTGAGGATGGTCGGGTTTGGCTTCTGCACCAGATCAGGAGCACGAAGGTAACTGGCAAACCCGGATCAAGTCTGTGGGGGAGAAAATAGGATGCTGTCCACATTCACCTCTTCATTTTCACAATCAGATTGTGGTTATGAAATGGTCTATTTTTAGAAATACACACTGAAATTTTAATAGGTAAAGCGTCAAATGTGTCTGCAACTTGTGCTTATAATTTTCTGAAACTACAAACATGCACACACACAAACTGCATGTATAGACAGTAAAGGAAGGGTCGTCACATGTTAACGTGGGAATTCTCTTTTGCAGCTTCTTTGTAAACCTGAAAATATTGTGTGTGTGTACGTGTGTGTGTGTGCATGCGTGTGCACCTGTAGTTCTTTGCAGTTTTATCACGTGTAGATTTGCGTGACCACCAAGACAAGAAAAAAACGCACAAGGACAAACCCAACACAAGAGCCCCCTGCACACCTCTTTTATAGCCACAGCTGCCTCTCTTCCTCTCCACTCCCTAATAATTGGCAACTACTCATTTGTTTCCCATCTCCACAAATGCAGCATTTTAAGAATGCTATATAAATGGATTCAGACAATAGGGAATTCTTTGAGACTGGCGTAGTTAGCATAATTCCTGTGACGTCCGCTCGAGTTGTTATGTGTACCAATACTTTGCTCCTTTTTATTGCTGAGTAGTATTTTTTGCTGTGAATGCACTGCAGTTTATTCATCCGTGGAAGGACAGTTAGGATGTTTTCAGTATGGGCTCTTGTGAGTAAAACTTCTATGTTCATATAGGCTTCGTGTGAACATGCTTCCATTTCTCTGGGTCAACTGCCAAGAGTAAGAAGCCGCCATGCTGTTTTCCTGAGTGGCTGTTCCATGTTAAATTCCCACCAGCAATGTATGAGTGACCCAGTTTCTCCACCTTCTCAACAGCATTTGGTTTTATGACTATTTTTTTTACGTTAGCCACAGTGATATCTCACCGTGGTTTTATTTTGTGTTTTCCTGCTGCTAATGTCGTTGAACATCTTTGCATGCATTGATTTATCATCTGCATAACCACTTCAGTGAAATTTATCTTGCATTTTGCTCATTTTTGAATTGGATATTTGCTTTATTAATGTGTAATTTTGAGTTATTTATTATTCTATATGTTAGCCTATATTGGGTCTGTGGTTTGCAAATATTTTCTCTTAATTAGTAGGTTGTCTCTTTATCCTCTTAATGCGTATTTCACAGATCAAACTGTTTAATTTTGATGAGGTCCAGTTTATCAATATTTCTTTTTATGAATCGTGCTTTTGGTGTGAAGACTAAGAACTCTTTGCCTAGTCCTAGTTTCCACAGGTTATGTCCTATATTTTTCCCTAAAAATTGTATAGTTTTATATTTTACATTTAAGTCAATGATTAATTTTGAGGTTTTATTTTGTATAAGATGTGAGGTTTAGATCAAAATTCTTTTTTCTTCCTCCATTTTTGCCTTCTCCTCTTCCTCTCCCTCCTCCTCTTCCTTCTTCTGCTTATTATTGTCCAATTGCTCCATTATCATTTGTTACAGGCTATTCTTCTACTGAATTGCTTTTGCTCCTTTGCCAAAAGTCAGATAGATGTATTTGTGTGGGTTGGTTGCTGGGTTTTTGAATTCTTTTCTGTTGATCTCTGTGTCTGTTCCTCTGTCTATACCACACTGTCTTGGTTACTGTAGCTCTAGTGATAGGTCTTCACATCAAGCAAGAATGCTCACTCCCACTCTGTTCTTTTTCACAATTGTTTTAGCTACTCTAGGCCCTGTGCCTTTCCAAAGAAATTTAAAAATAAGCCTGTTTATGTCTACAAATACCTTCTTGGGATTTTTCTAGGAATGGAATTAAACCTATAGATCAATTTGGAGAGAACTGACATCTTTCCTGTATTGAGCCATTATATGCCTCTATTTCTTCATCTTGCCTTCTTGTGCTAGTTAGAATTTCTAGTAGTATGTTGAATGAGTGCTGAGATCAGACATCTTTTTATCTCCCTGATCTTAAGAAAAAATTTTAAGTCTTTCACCTTAGTATCACCTAAGTATGATATTAGTTGCAGGATTTTTGTAGGTGCTCTTTATTAATTTGACACTTGTTCTCTATTTCTAATTTTTGGAGAGTTTTTATCATGAGTGTTACTTTTGTGAAATGCTTTTCTGCTTCTATTGATATCTTCTTTATCCAACTGATACGGTGGATCACATTGATTGATTGTGGAATGTTGAACCATCTTTGCACACCTGGGAAAAATCCACTTGGCCATGGTGTATTTTTTAATACACTGCTGCATTTGATTATTAATGCCTTATAATTTGAATGGTTGGAAAATATATCCACTTTTAGATTTTGTGAATTCTCTCACCAGAAGAGTTCTGTTACAAATGGAAAACTGAAAACTACCTGGTGGAAATTAAAAAACAAGCAAGCAAACAAAGTCCATGCATCAGATAAGTGAGTTATATAAAATAGTTTCTTTCCAGTCCCAAAATTTCTATCTTATTAGTATTTTCATAAATGAGGGTATTTTGCATTCTCAGACTGAATGCTCTATTGGAAAATCTTTAAAAAATTCAGATGAGAAGTCCTGAAGTCCTAAGTTGAGCTAAGTGAGTGACAATGGTATGGGCAAATGTGGATACTTAATAGAGAGATGAGTGTTGTAATGATACAACCAACAGGGCATGACTACTGACTGTGTCAGGCAGAGTTCTTAACAGTAAGGAAAATATGTTAATTCTTGAGACTAATATACAGTATTAGTATGATTTATAACCATTGCAGAATATTAAATGTCACAAATATGGTGAGATGAATAATAAAACGTGTAGCTGTAATTGAAGAATCAAGGTCCTGAGGTAGCCTGGAAGGAAGCTGTTTGGAGAAATGGTGTTTCTTCTTGTGATGGAAAAGCAGAGTGGGTTAGACGCAGATGGGGCTTGGTGGTAATTTACAGGGGCAATTAAAACACCTGAGCATATAAGCACAGATTTGGAAGGGTTTGGCAAAAAGAACTGCACAGAAGAGTTGGAGGAAAGTAAACAGGTGAACTCAAAGTCAGCAAATGGCGGCCATGGGGAACCAGCAAGTGATGGGACAATTACCTTGAACTTTGAACTTTATTTTCATGTGAACTACTAAATGAACTTACCTGAATTCTTTAACACAAAATTTACAAAACTTGAATTTTGTAAGACTGTCTAAGAGGCCTTTTGTAGTGACCTGTCAATCACATTTATGTGTGCTAGAATTAAGATCCACGAAGGCAGGGGGCTCTGTCTGTTTTGTTCATGATGCCCTCCCATCACTGAGAACAGTACAGGCACAGGAAGGACTGCCAATCATCATGTGTTGAGTTAATGAATGAAACAATAAATAAATGAATACCAAGCCAAAACAGAAAAATTCTTAAAATGGTCAGTTTGATTTTCATTGCTTCTGCCTCACAAATCAAGTCAGGAAAACATTGCTATGTGTTGTCATGGTTTTCATATTACTCCCTAGAAATTTTGAAAATGTCAAAGCTATGAAAATGCCAGTGGTGCTTGGGCAGTAATGGGACCTACATAAATTTAACAGGTTTAATATTTTAAATATTAACAGGCAAAGACACCACCTGGAGGGTGAAATAATAATTGCCATGATTCTCATATTTCAAGTTGTTTTATTTATTAAATGAAACAGTAACTTCAGTTCAGAAGACCCATGTTTATCTATTTCACCAAGATCCTTCAAAGTACTGTTGAAAAACAACCAATCAAATAAGGTATGCATTTTTAGCAAAAGCACCCATGGCATTTTATGAAATTTATTTTATTAGTTCATTAGTGCATGAGAGGTAACTGTCATTTTGCTGGAGCTCATCATTACAAGTAGAAACTATACTCAGCTTCAGCGTCGGAATGGCTCTCTCAGGGACACTTAGAGATGCAATATCTCATCCTGATGGCTTTCCATGCACCAGCCTTGAAACAATCATGCATTCCCCAGTTGCAGTTAAGCCAGGTTCTCTATAGAAACTTAGGAAGAAACAGGATTGAGGATGTTACCTACACCTACACGTGGGGACATACATTGTTCCGTACTGAAATGAACTCTGAAAGACTAGAGACCTATTTTAGTGGCCTTACTGCACCACTTCTTAGTTTCTTGTTTTTAGATATGTTAATTAATGGTTTTGAACCCAGTTTCCAAAACAGGGATATTAAGAATTAGCCCATGTGAGGCTTGGGGGGTGGGCTCAAAGATTCCTTAAGGTACAATTTAACTCTAAAGTTCCTCTCAGCTTTTTATTTTCCAGGAAGCCCTTCTTTCTCTCCTGTTGTCTTTACATTTGTGTCAGGATCCATGGAGAAGATACATGGAAGTAGGGGACATTGCCCACCTCATAGGTTGTCCCCTGAGTCATTGGTTTTGGAGTTATTTAGGGTCAGACATCTGGTTCTGTTTCCTTGTAAGGCTTGACTAAGGGAACTGTCTTTTAGAAGGCCCAAGCTCATTGCTTGAAACCAAAACAATTAAATATGTTGATTTTTATTATGTAAATTATTTTATCCTCTATATCTTAAAGTATAATGTTAGAATCGATTCGTTGGCTGGGTGTGGTGGCATGCCTCTGTAATTGCAACACTTCAGGAGGCTGAGGCAGGAGGATCGTGGGAGCCCAGGAGGTCGAGGCTGCAGGGAGCTGTGTTTATGCCACTGCACTGCAGCCTGGGCCACAGAGTGAGACCCTGTCTCTAAATATATATATATATATATGAGTTATGTATATGTAAATTCTATATTTGTTGAGGAAATAAATAAGTTCCAGTTCTCATAATACACCATTCTTTTTAAAGTAGTTTTTCTGAGGAAATCACTTTTTAACGCGGTTGAAATATAGTGTTTAATTCCTATGCTTACTGATTATTAATTTTTTTATTTTTTAAACTTAAAATGTATAATTCTAATTATTTTTCTTTCCAAGTAGTAATTTCTGATATGATAAAATTTCCTATTTTCTCTGAATTTATCCACTTGCATTAATTGTTACAGTACTGCTCTAAATGAAAAAGAGAATTCAAAGTAAATATTATGATTGAAAAAATGGTACCTTCAAAAATGAATCAATCACTGTCTTTAAGTTTTTTTCTTTAAGTTAACCAAAGAAACTTTTTTTTTTTTTTGAAATATTAACAGCCTCAAAAGTGACCAAAGAGAAGGAAGTGAGTGTTGTGAGACTGCATATTCTCAGGGCACCTAGTCCAGGTGAGAGCCTGCTGGCTGAGGGCACTTGCTCCGTTCTGGGCACTGCCTGGTCCAGCTGTTGGCCACTCGACCTTGGGTTGGGCGTGAGCCATCGCTTGGTTCAGTTGCAGGAAAGATGAAGCTTCCCATCTCAAGGCTGTGGTGAGGATTAAATGAATTAACATACGAAGAGCACTTGGCATAGCTCCTGCAACTTTGTAAGGAGGCAGAAAATATTAGCTGATTAGATAACGATGGTGATGATAATTCTAAGCCCCTGAGCCATGTTGCCAGAAATGATTTCTTGTAGTAATTTCTATAGACCCATGATTTCTCCTCTGGATAGTGGCTGATGTTCATTATTCAGGGGGAAGGAATGTGTGCAAATTCTCCACGTGGCTGTTGGATGTCATAGTAAAGATGTGGAAAAGACTTACGGAGTTAACAGTCTAAAGCCACCCAACCAGCCTGTGGCCGGCTATTTCCCTATCAGACCCTCCGCTACTGCTCAGCTGGGCTCTCTCTGCTGTTTGATTCCCAGCATTATTTGAACGGCGTCTGTGCCTCATTGCTGCTCTCAGATCCTGCACTGTGGCACTCGGCTTCTGCTCTGCACAGCAGACTCCCCGAGACCTGGGTTTTTCCCTTCTCGTGCAGAGGGAGGGTGGGGGGCGGTTCTTCCTGGGCTCAAAGCTCCTTCTCCACCACCCCATTTGTACCCTCTGATTTTCTCTGGAATCCTGTTTTGTTTCCTTTCTCTCTTGTATTTTCAGCTTGCCCCTTTTCCTGACTTACTCTCACCTTAGAAACACACATGCATACTTAATTCCCCTTCACTGCTTTCTTTTTCCCATGGCACAGCCAAGCTTCTTGAAAGACAAGACAACAATACCCATCTCCCCTGCTTCCCACCTTATTCACTTTTAGCTCAATGCCTTGCATCTCTGTCCTCTTCACTCTGGTAGTTTGCAGTGGCATCATTCAAAGATGTCTTTTTTTCTTTACTAGAATACTTTGGTGACAACACCAGACTTTTCTGGATATCTTTTCATGTTCCTGATTTTTACATTTTCTTCTGCTGGTTCATCTTTGTGTGAATGATACTTAAATAATAGTATGACCAGGGCACTTTGCTGTGCTCTTTTTCCCACTAAATATTCTTCTTGGGGGATCTCATTCATTATGATCTATGTTGATTGTCATCAAATACATCTTGCATATAACAATTTTCTGATCTCCAAATTGGCATATGTAGAACACACCTAATGCCCCACACTGACAAGTTGGTTATGAAGGTCCTGCTCTTCTATTTCAAACCAGGTATCATGATATCATCTTTTCTCTGAGGTCAACGTACTGTTTTATCTTAGTGGTCTGCATTGTGAGCTACAAGAAGGCAGCATTTCTGTTTTTTTTTTAATTGCTGAATCCCCTGTACCTAAAACAGTGCCTGGCACAGAGTAAGCACTCAAGATAATTATTGAATCAATGAATGTATTAGTTAGGGTTCTCTAGAGGGACAGAGCTAATGGAATGGATATACATATAAATGGAGTTTATTAAGTATTAACTCACACGATCACAAGGTCCCACAATAGGCCATCTCCAGGCTGAGGAGCAAGGAGAGCCAGTATGAGTTCCAAAACTGAAGAACTTGGAGTTTGATGTTCAAGGGCAGGAAGCATCCAGCACGGGTGAAAGATGTAGGCTGGGAGGCTAGACCAGTCTCTCTTTTCACATTTTGCTGCCTGCTTACATTCTAGCTGTCCTGGCAGCTGATTAGATGGTGCTAACCCAGATTAAAAGTGGGTTTGCCTTTTCCAGCCCACTGACTCAAATGTTAATCTTCTTTGGCAACACCCTCACAGACACACCCAGGATCAATACCTGTATTCTTCAATCAAGTTGACACTTAGTAGTAAAAATGAATGTGATAGTTAAAGGTTATATTTCTATTTGCTCAAAGTGCAGTGAAGTAATACTAAGACAATGGAGAAGTGAGAATAGAACATTGAGTTTGATATCAGCTACTCCTGTGAGTCTACTTTGAATATAATCTATGGTGTTTTCCCCAACAACTCTTTGACCACGTGCTTTGGGGTTGTGTTGCCCTCATAGTTTCCTTGATCTCTGTGACCTGCTCCACCAAGCTCTGTTTGTTACTGTACAAAGCAGGCCCCCTTTCTGGGTACAGTTATCTCTCTTAAACAGACCCAGATATTCCACTCAAAGTAGGGAGGTGTGGGCCTGGATAACAAGAGTAAAGACCAATTCCAAACATGAAAATTAACAATGCAATTATGGTTTTCTTCCAGCACATTTTTACTTTCCATGGTAATTTTGAAACTTGCATAAAATAAAATATAATTTTAGGCTCCTCTAACTTCATTATCCAAGGGAGAAGGGTAAGGCTTGGGGGATGAGCCACATAGCACATAGCATATATAGACTTTATATAAAGTTATATAAATTAATAACTTCTATTTTTTAGATTATAGATTAACTCTGTCCCTCATTGTTTTTGTTTTATAAATGACAAGGAGAGACCAGAGACCAGGCCTGCTCTCCTTCCAATCACTGATTGCTGTTATAGATTAACTGCCTCTTCTATTGCCTTGTACCTCAGACCAGGTGATGCCAAAAACCCCATGACTGTTATATCTTCAGTGTGAAATGTTAAATATACTTGCCCCTCAAAAAAGACCACCTCAGCTATTCAGATCATTGTAATGATGCATTAAGCCTTATATAATGAGATGTTAAAATTCTGTTAAACTTCCTTCAACTTTGTCTATATAAATGAACCTAAACTTCTATACTTTGGAACACTGACTTTGATCCTTTAGAAGATGTGTTTCCTGGATGGCTTTGCTCAAACTTTACATTGAAATAAACTCTCTTTAAACTAGGCTCTGATTCTTTAGTAGGTTGACATTTTGGCGACCCAGATGGGACCTTAAGCTAGCCTGCAGTGATCCTCGCTGTTTCACTGACAAGCAGGGCCTGGGTACCAGCACACACAGCTTTCATTTACCCAAGCTCGCCAGGGCTGGCAAGGGTCTCTGGGAAGGCTCCTCTCAGATTGTAAATCTGTCTGGTTTAGGGTGAGATTTAGACTTTATTCCGGTGACCCGATTCCACGCTTGATGCAGCTGACAGTGAAGCCCTGCTTTAAGGTAGAAATTCTGTTTTTGTTCTCTAGAAGTTGTGCTGTTCACAAATTAGTGATCTTCACTTTTCTCTGAGGTTAAGGGTTGTTTGTTAAGCTACTTATTAAAATTCACGCTGCCTTTTCCCTTATTCAAATTTTAGTCAGGAAAAAAATTTCTCTCTCTCAAAAAGAGTGAATATTTTATGGCTTAGGCAAAATTTACAATTAAAAATATTAATTTATAATTAAAAAAACAAAACTCTGAAGCTCAGTTTATTTGACGTATCTGAAGTCCCTTTTTGAAGTGACCAAAGCCAATACAATTTTTCCTGTGAGGACCAATGTAAGTCCCCAGCGTGAGGAGCACTATTTCTCCCGGCCAAAAATCACCTTAGGCCACGAAGGTCTTGTGGGAGTGTTTGACCTCATTGCTCACGACATAAAACAATCTCATAGGAAATTATCCCCCCAGAAACACTCAAAAATTCTAGCTTAGCCTGGTGGCCACATATGAGGGGCTGACCTCCCAGTGCCTTCAGATCCCAGGATTCCTGGGTTTTACCAAGACATGTAAGAGGGGAAAAGTGACTCGTGAGTGACACCTCAAAATACAATTCTCATTAAGCAGCACACCAGATCCAAAACATCTTTCCCTTTCAATCTTTAATTTCTTAAAAAGAGAACCCAAATTATAGGTAGCTGTCCATCTGAAACCAAGTCTTCCTCCTTAACGGAGATTCGTCCTTAGAAACTGCAGCTAGATTTATGTCCAATACTTATGGCACCACCTCCTGTCAATATCTAAAAAATAAAATGGTGTTACTTAACCCATAAAAAAGCCACACAACAGCCAAAATGATACACCTTTAAAATATCAGAATTAATTGATTTACTTTACAATGAAAAGTACTGGCTCTAAAATGAAACAAAATAATTGGGAGACTTCCTTCCTATAGTACTTAGAAGCATCTACAAGAGGCTCTGACAAAATTCTTTCCATAAATGAAGAAAAAAGCTCCCTAAAATAAATGAATAAATAAGCAGCTGAAGCTGATTCTCTCCTGCTTCATTTCTTCTCTTCCCCGTCTGAACCGTCTCACCTGCACTCACCTTTGCCTCCTTTGATCCCCTCCTCCCACTCTTGCTCTTCTAGCTTAATCTCAGAAACAGCGAATATCTGGCAGAGGAAAGCCCACCTTAGTTTATCAGCCATCATCAAAAGTAAACCTTAAAGACATAAGAGATTTCCTGGCTAGGCACAGTGGCTCACACCTATAATCCCAGCATTTTGGGAGGCTGAGGCAGGAGGATCACTTGAGCCCAGGGGATTGAGACCAGTCTGGCCAACATGGTGAAACCCCGTCTCTACAAAAAAATGCAAACAAACAAACAAGCAAATAGCCAAAAATGATGGCATGTGCCTGTGGTCACAGCTACTCGGGAAGCTGATGTGGGAGGATCGCTTGAGCCCAGGGTGTTGAGGCTGTCATGAGCTGTAATCATGCCCCTGCACTCCAGCCTGGGTGACAGAGCAAGACCCTGTTTCAAAAAAAAAAAAAAAAAAAAATCTAATTTCCACGAGGATCCTATTGGTTTTGCCAGAAAGCTTAAGCTTAATATCAAAGTTACAAGGACCCTATTGGTTTTGCCAGAAAGCTTAAGCTTAATATCAAAGTTACCACCCTGTTTTTTCTGATCTATATCAACTAGTTCACATGTTAATTTTTTTAAAGTAAAAATTAAGTAGCTAGACACAAAAGAAGGGGTTTTTAAAAATGTGTCTTAGCTACTTAATTACAAAAGAAGATCACACATGTGCCTGTGAGGTTACAAAGACTTTGCTCCAAGCCATCCATTTAGTCTTCCAAAAAGTGGTAGACGAGAAGAAAATATAGCAATGTTGGCAAAATCCAGATAAATCAATACTGACATAGGTTGAGACATTTAAAAACATCTTTAAACAATATTGAAGATTATCTAATTTTTTATACCAGTACCATAGTGTTTTGCTGGCTATGGGTTTATAGTATAGTTTGAAATCAGGTAGTGTGATGCCTCCAGATTTGTTCTTTTTGCTTAGTCTTGCTTTGGCTATGTGGGCTCTTTTTTGGTTCCATATGAATTTTAGAGTTGTTTTTTCTAATTCTGTGAAGAATGATGGTGGTATTTTGATAGGCCATTGGAACAGAATAGAGAACCCAGAAATAAACCCAAATACTTACAGCCAACTAATCTTCCACAAAGCAAACAAAAATATAAAAGTGGGGAAAGGACACACTTTTCAACAAACGGTGCTGGGATAATTGACTAACCACATGTAGGAGAATAAAACTGGATCCTCATCTCTCACCTTATACAAAAATCAACTCAAGTTGGATTAAGGACTTAAATCTAAGACCTGAAACATTAAAAATTCTAGAAGATAACATTGGAAAAACCCTTCCAGACATTGGCTTAGGCAAGGATTTCATGACCAAGAACCCAAAAGCAAATGCAATAAAACCAAAGATAAATAGATGGGACTTAATTAAATTAAAGACCTTTTGCACGGCAAAAGGAACAGTCAGGAGAGTAAACACACAACCCTCAGAGTGGGAGAAAATCTTCACGATGTATACATCTGACAAAGGACTAATATCCAGAATCTATAACAAACTCAAACTTTAGCAAGAAAGAAACAATCCCATCAAAAGTTGGCTAAGAACATGAATAGACAATTTTCAAAAGAAGATATACAAATGGCCAGCAAACATATGAAAAAATGCTTAACATCACTAATAATCAGGGAAATACAAATCAAAACCACAATGCAATATCACCTTACTCCTGCAAGAATGGCCATAATCAAAAAATCAAAAAACAGTAGATGTTGGCATAGATGCTGTGATCAGGGGACACTTTTACACAGCTGGTGGGAATGTAAACTAGTACAACCACTATGGAAAACAGTGTGGAGATTCCTTAAAGAACTAAAAGAGGTAGAACTACCATTTGATCCAGCAATCCCACTACAGGGTATCTACCCAGAGGAAAAGAGTCATTATATGAAAAGGATACTTGCACATGCATGTTTATAGTGGCACAATTCACAATTGCAAAATTGTGGAACCAACCCAAATGCCCATCAGTCAAAGAGTGGATAAAGAAACACACACACACACACACACACACACACACACACACACACACTGGAATACTACTCAGCCATAAAAATGAATGAGTTAATGGTATTCACAGTGACTGGGTTGAAATTGGAGACTATTATTCTAAGTGAAGTAACTCAGGAATGGAAAACCAAACATCGTATGTTCTCACTGATATGTGGGAGCTAAGCTATGAGGATGCAAAGGCACAAGAATGATACAATGGATTTTGGGAAATTGAGGGGAAGGATGGGACAGAGGCGAGGGATAAAAGTCTACAAATAGGGTGCATTGTATACTGCTCAGGTGATGGGTGCGCCAGAATTTCACAAATCACCACTACAGAACTTACTTATGTGACCAAACACCACCTGTACCACAATAACCTGTGGAAATTAATATATATATATGTGTGTGTATATATATATATACATGTATATAATTTGAAGATATTTTCCATTTTATATAATCCAAATGTATCAACAATGAGATTTCAAAATGAAAACCACATAGAAACATTAAAGCAAAAATATTACTTAACCTGTTAATAAATCATAATTTCTGGTTGTAAAGTTCTATGTGCAAAAATGTAAAAGAAAAAAATTGAAATACAATACTGGCAAACAACAAAGATTATCTAAAGAAAGTTATGCTAATCATCAAAATGATATTCTCAGTTTCAATTTTATAAATAGAGTAGATAAAAAAATTGACAATAATAAAAAAACAATGTCTGAGTTGGGCAATTTCTCAGACTCATAATTTGGTTAACCTTGCTGATCAATTACTTTTAACTGAAAGAGAGAGAGAGAGATAGAGAGATCAAACAAAAAAGACTAATAAAATTATAAATCTACAATTAAAACAACTATCCACTTAGTCTAGACCTCCAAAATACCCCCCAGTAAACCTCAAAACAGACCTAACTTTCCACTTCACAATTGCTACAAAAAACCCGGACACTTAAAAAATGCCAAAAACTAAAACAAAGGAAATAACAGCATGCAACAAAAAAAATAGGGATACTCCAAAAAAACTTCAAGAGACTTTTCCCTTCCTTCTTACTAGCAACCTGGGAGAAATAAAAATTATTTTTTTAAAAAAGATACAAGCTCTGTTGACACTGGAACTACATTATCTCGAATTAATCTCACATTGCAGAGTCTCTTTTCTCAAAATTAACAAACAATTCAAATGATGGGTGTCAACGAGTACTCCTATATTGGTACATAAATTTCAGCCTATAGCTTTTCAGCGAAATCTTTCTCAGTCTATAGCTTTACAGCTAGATCTTTTACAAGACTCATATTTTTCTCTTAGTTCCCTCAGCCCCATCCATTTAACAAAAAGAAACTTTAAAAAATATACTCACATTTCTTTTTCCCCAAATGCAGGCATGTGTTTAGAATTAGAAGACAAAAATGAATTACTAGATATAGTGAGTTTTTGGAATCTGATTCTCTTCATTTACAAATTGCAAATTATGTTACCAAAGAGGACATTAAATTATTGAGTGATAAAGAATTACAAAAACTGCTAAAGGCATACTGGATTGTCTGTGGTCTGTCTTTTGCTGACATAAAAAACAAGAAATCTTGAAGATGATAATTATATAGCCTGAGCCATACTTGAGTTAATGTTGACTGCATCTGGCTGTAAGTCAACAACATGGGAAGAAAAATCTTTATTTTCATTTTCTGTCATCCGAGAGTGAACATTTTGGCTTAACAGATCTACCCCCTTGGATGTGGAGAACACATACTTATTGATTTGTACATGAGGCTTTCCATTAGCACGTGAAATTAGCATGGATTTCTTTTTTTGCTCTTCGTTGATGTACCAGTAGGGGGTGGATCCACATCGGGTTGGTGACTCAGTCCTAGTCTCCGTGGAATAGTGATTACAGGAAGTACAGGAGCACACACTGTCCCTCCCCGCTTTTGGCAATAATCCCCACTGTTTCACAGGAACTGAAACAGAAGCAATAATTTTGTCCCCTTGGAATAAATGGTTCTGAATAGTCAAGATGGAAAATATAGCACAAAGTCATGGCTTTCACTACAAAGAGCTGGGCCTCTGCAGTCAGATAAAAAAGGGTTCCTGTATTAGTTTTAACACGTTTTCTGTGTAACCTTGAATATATTATTTAACTTCTTTCAATTCATTCATCTATAAAATGTGGCTAGAAGTACTGTCCTTGTCTGGCTGTTCTGAGGACCAGGAATAACATACATAAGATATCTGGCACACGAAAACTGCTGTGTGTACTCTTGTAAAAATAGACCGTGTATGATGTATGCCGAAAACCCATGAGCTTCTCCCTCTCCTCTGGAAAGGAAGTGAGATTTTGTAAAGTTGTATGAAGAAGCACTTTGGTCTGGCATAGGAGGAGGTTTTCCAGACTTAGGAAGTAAAAATACCAGATACCCAGTTAAATTTGAATTTCAGAAAAGAAATGAATAATATGTTTTAATATAAGTATATCCCATGCTATGTATGGCATATACTTGTTTAACTGGGTGCTCTGTACCTTATATGGCAACCCTATGGGAAACTGTTTTGAAAAACTTTTTTTTTCTTTTCTTGGACTATTCTAAGGTCTTATTCTTTCCTCAATAGTCTCATCCTGTGTTTGACAATGGTGGTGCTTGCTGAAGCAGCAAACTGTAGTGATGGCCTGGGCATAAATGCCCTGTTATTGGAGCACTCCTTGTTCTTCATTTGTGATACAGTCTACTACACAGGTTTGCATATTGTTACAATTCAATTGGTTAATAAATATCATGGATTTGGAAACATGACTGGCACTTAATAAGTTTTCCAAATGTTAATTATTTCTATATTTAATTTATTTTAGTATGTTCACTTTTTTCACATTTTAAGATTTTAAAATTTGAAAGTGTGTTTGAATTGATGTCGATTTACAATTGCTGTTGGCTTGGCGGCAGTTGTAATGTAGGAACATGCACAAACTTGAACACCACTGTTCATATCATCATGGCTTCACTTGAGTTATATGCACCATTTGAAAAAACTTCACTTCTTGGAAAAGAAGGCATGGCAGGGGATCTCAGAGGAATAGCGGGGAATCTCAGAGGAACATGGCAAGATAAGTCTTTCCCTTAGAAAGAAATCCTTCCAAGGCTCAGAGAAAGAATAGAAAGGCTGGGCTTTCATGGATAAAAGCCACCGGAGTATGAGGAAAGCGTTAGTTCTTGGTGCATTTTCTTTTTTTTAAAAATTTTTATTATTATACTTTAAGTTCTGGGGTACATGTGCAGAATGTGCAGTTTTGTTACATAGGTATACACGTGCGATGGTGGTTTGCTGCACCCATCAACCCGTCACCTACGTTAGGTATTTTTACTAATGTTATCCCTAACCCCCCACCCCTGACAGACCCTGGTGTGTGATGTTTCCCTCCCTACGTCTATGTGTTCTCATTGTTCAACTCCCACTTATGAGTGAGAACACCCGGGGGTTGGTTTCTCTGTTCTTGTGATAGTTTGCTGAGAATGATGGTTTCCAGCTTCACCCATGTCCCTGCAAAGGACATGAACTCATCCTTTTTTATGGCTGTATAGTATTCCATGGTGTATATGTGCCACATTTTCTTTATCCAGTCTATTATTCATGGACATTTGGGTTGGTTCCAAGTCTTTGCTATCGTGACTAGTGCCGAAATAAACCTATATGTGCATGTGTCTTTATAGTAGAATGATTTATCATCTTTTGGGTATATATCCAGTAAAGGGATGGCTGGGTCAAATGGTATTTCTAGTTCTAGATCCTTGAGGAATCACCACACTGTCTTCTATGATGGTTGAACTAATTTACACTCCCACCAACAGTGTAAAAGAATTGCTATTTCTCCACATCCTCTCCAGCATCTGTTGTTTCCTGACTTTTTAATGATTGCCATTCTAACTGGTGTGAGATGGTATCTCATTGTGGTTTTGATTTGCATTTCTCTAATGACCAGTGACTGTTGTTTATAAGGTACCCAGTCTACAGTATTTTGTCATAACAGCCAGGAAAGATAAGACAATCTCTCTATGCTTCAGTTTGTCATCTGCAACATAGGAATTATAATAATACTTACCTCTTTGGTTTATTGTGAATATTACATAAGTGAGTACGAGAAAATCACTTAGAACTTTTCCTGTCACATAGTAAGTACTAAACAAATGCTAGCTATTTTATTCTTACCATAACGGTAGTAGGGCATACTGTTGAAATATAAAATCTAGAGCCAGACTGCCTAAAGTGAAGTTCCTTACCACCACTTCCTAGCTTTTTTGTGTATGTCACTTAGCTATGCTTAGGCTCAGTTTATTCATCTGTAGGATAAGGCTAGTAATAATATCCATCTTAATAGTTGTTGCAATAATAAATTATTAAATGTAAAACGCTTAGAAGCTGTAGTCCCAGCTACTTGGGAGGCTGAGGCAGGAGGATCACTTGAACCCGGGAGACAGAGGTTACTATGAGCTGAGATCGCGCCACTGCACGCACTCCAGCCTAGGTGACAGAGTGAGACTCTGTCTCAAATAAAAATAAAAATAAAAATAAAATTAAAAAGACACTATATGTCTATATGTCTAAGTACATCTAGGAGATTTCTCTAAATATTATAACTCAAAGTGAGAAGAAAGCATTGGGTCACTTCAGTTGGTCTCATTATTTTTTGAAATATCTGTATGACTTAGAACCAAAGGAATTTTAGAATCTATAAATGAAGTATTGTTTATTTTCTCTAGCCTTGCTCCCACTAAGAATAATGACACCAACATTCCCAGGGGATCGTCTTCATTCGGTTGCTTTTATTGAGCACGGCCTTCTCTTCTAGGCACTTTGTGTTAAGCAAAGGATGAAAAAGCAAAGAAAACAGAAGTGAACCTGACATTGTGGACTTTTTGTTCTAGGCCTGAGGTCAAAAGAGGTCAAAAGGTTCTAGGCCTATGAAAGTCCAGATGTTAACAAGTTTAGGCTTTCTGGACTGTACAGCCTCCATTGCTGCTACTCAGCTCTGTCACTGTATCCTAAAGACAGCCATAAACAGTGTCTAGATGAATGAGTGCAGTTTTGATGCCAAAAACTTTATGGACACTGAAATTTGAATTTCCCATGCATTTTTAAATATACATCACAAAATATCCTTATTTTGATTTTTTCTGCTTAGAAATATAAAATGCATTCTTGGCTTTCAGGCTGTACCAAATCCAGAGATTGGCCATATTTTGCCCACAGGCTATAGTTTTTCAGACCCTGTTCTAGAGGATGAGGAAGGTAAAAATAGGCAAACAGGCAAATGAAGTGAGTACATACTGTGAGGAAGCACACACGAGGGCTAAACCGGAGACCAGGAGACAATGCCTCCCATAGGAAGGGAAGGCTGGAGGCTTCTGCAAAGATGAAACAGGCTGAGAAGCAGCTGGCCTAGGAATGTCCTTAAAGGGCTTGCAAGCAGAGGGAACAGCTCACATACAGAACTTAAGACCGAAGAATGCCTGAGCTTGGTGGGTGCCTGTAATCTCAGCTACTCAGGAGGCTGAGGCAGGAGAATCACTTGAACCTGAAAGGCAGAGGTTGCAGTGAGCTAATATCATGCCACTGCACTCCAGCCTGGGTGATAGAGCAAGACTCCGTTTTTGTTTTGTTTTGTTTTGTTTTTTAAAAAAAGAAGAAGAATGCTTGGGCTGTCTGAGCAATTTAGGAAGACTGGTGTAGCTGGAAAAGACAGTGTTACAGAGAACGGCAGGCTAAGAGAGAAGGGGAATGCAACAGAGACGGAGGCTGCTGAGAGAGCCAGCAGCAGACCTCGTCACCTTCTTTTGCAACCACTAGAGTCGTTGTGTTGACTTTAGCTGTGTGATTTAATAATCTTTTTAAATATACACTTTCCCTGGAGTTTTCAATGAAAGAAACACTTGAGTGTGAATGGGTGTGTGCAGAGAGAGATAATTATTAACCATCTATTATGGACCCGGTGGGTACTTTTCAAGAGTCATTTCAGGTGAGGACTTAGAGATGGAAAATTAGACCCAGAAGAACTAAATCATTTGCTGTAGCTTATTCAGCTTCAAAAGCAAGTCTGTGTAGTTCTGAAAGCTCATGCTATTTCTTCAGTTGCCGAAAGAGGTGAAAAAGAAATAATTACCTATAATAGTAGTAATATCTTCTATTGTTAATGAGAAGAATATAAGAACAAACTAATAGATGTGATGTGGAAATGGAATGAGGGTTAATGAGTTAGTTGTTTTATTTTAAAATTTATTCTTATAATTTTAAAAATCAGAAATGCCATACAAAGGAATTATCTCAGGAAGACATTTTAGAACTCATGCACTGTTTATTATTCTAGAAGATGACGGTGCTTGTTCATTTTCCGGGAGCCTGCCCCTGTGGTCTGAAATCCTGACTACAAAAACGTCTTCTCTTTGTCCTGTTTTCAGTCCACTAATAAGCACACAAAAAAATTGTTAAGATGAGACGGTGGTTTAGGAAAAGGCCGTCGATCCTCATTATTCATGGATTCTATATTTGTGAATCCGCCTACTTGCTAAAATAGCTTTTAACTTCGAAACCAACTCTCACTCTGCTTGTGCAGCCATTTGTGGACATGCACAAAGAGGCAAAACGTTTGAGTTGTCCACTGTGTACCCTCCCAGTGAAGGAAGAGCAAGAAATGCTCTGCCTTCTGGCTTTGGCTCTTACTGCAAACAAGAGTGTCTTTCAGTCTATAAGGAGACACGTATTTTGCATGCTTGTGCTTTGCCTTGGTGATTTCACTCTGTAAAATGGTCTACAGGTGTAGTGCTAAACGCTGTTTAGTGTTGCCAAGCTCCAGAAGGCTACCCTTGCATTTTTTTCTGATCATCTGCTTTCTGATGGCTAAATTTTAAGTTGTTCCTGCTGTCTTCTCCCACTGGAGCTTTAGAGATGAGCACAGGCTAGTTCCTATTCAGCAAATGAACATGACATAGACCCAGTACTCCTGGATCTCTGAGTTTAATAGGAAATGGAAATACGTAAGCAGGTGTGTCCAATGAGATAATTACAGATGCTATCTCAGCAGTATTAACATGATGTGAAAGGGTGCTTGAAGTGGGAAGAAGGCCATTTTATACAGGGAGAAAAGAAGCACTACACCCTCAGTGAGTTGTCAGGTTCACAGATAACCTAGATGTGTGAAAAGGGGCAAGATACTTAGAGATGTGTAAATAACTCACATAAATACGGTACAGAGGGTGAGGAGAGAGTGAAGAAATCAAGCTTGACAAGAGGCAGGCTTCAGACAATTGAACTGGTCAGTTATGACTAAGTTAGAATGCACTCTGTAGGCAATTGGGGTTATTGAAAGGTTTTCAGTAGGAAAGTAATGTGAAAATATTTGCGTATTAGGGGCATATTTCTGGTAGCAGCAGGAGAAAGGGACTGGAAGAAGGCAAGATTGGAATCTGGAGACCTTTCATCCAATCCATGGTGAACACCACACAAGCACTGTCCAGAAGGAGATGAGGCTCTGAAGTAAGACTGTAGCAGTCAAATACTTGGTTTCCTCTAAAATGTTAACATTCAGCTTGACTATTAAAGTAGACTGCAAAATTAGGAACTCTATCCAGCCAAGTCAGCTTTATGTAAACTTAAATTCATCCTTATTTTTAACAATATAAACATTTATCCCAGCACTTTGGGATGCCAAGGTGGGCAGATCACCTGAGGTCAGTAGTTTGAGACCAGCCTGGCTAACATGGTGAAACCCCTTCTCTACTAAAAAATAAAAAATTTAGCCGGGCATGGTGGTGCATGCCTGTAATCCCAGCTACTTGGGAGGCTGAGGCAGGAGAATCGCTTGAACCCAGGAGGCAGAGGTTGCAGTGAGCTGAGACCACGCCATTGGACTCCAGCCTGGGCGACAAGAGTGAAACTCTCTCTCATAAAAACAAAAACATTATCACCCAATATTTTCATAGCCTTTTGGCACAACTTTAACTTTAGATGAAACAAATCACTTGCTGCACTTGAGGTTACTGGTACCACTGGGGTTCTTGGCTACTTGCTTAGGTTGGGTTCCCTAGAAGCAGATCCTGGACAGAGGTCTTTGCAGGTGATCTAACATGGAAGTATTCTCAGGCAAAACAAGCAGAGCCAGGAGACACTAAACAAAGCCTGGCAATAACTGAAGGCTAGCCTCAGTGTGATTCCAGGGGGAGCTCCGAGGCGTGCCTGGGTCTGCTGCTGCATCCCTGTGTTAGTCGTGGTTGGCTGTGGACTCCCCCAGGTTGCAGGAGAGTACACTTCTAGGCATGTCATGGTGAGGTAGCTCCTAGTAGCTGCAGGCAATTCTTCAGAGAATAGTACAACTGTGAGCCTGCAGCAGCCAACTCCAGCACAGCTCTAGAAATGGGGGTGGGTCGTGTCTCTTTATAGTCACCGACTCCAACTGTGTGCTCAACGCTACCTAATAATCATACTATAATTCTAATGCTCACTCACTGAAGGGTTGTCTATAAGGACTGTTTTAAACCTTCTGGACCTTGTTAAACCTCCAGTTCCTCAGCACACACACCCTTCCTTCTCCCCAGATGGCCTTGGGCCTTGCTTTACAGAGAAAATAGAAGCTGTCAGGCAAAGAAACCCTCAACTTGCTGGCTCCAAATCCATCCTTCCCTGGCATCTGTGCCCACACCGCCTTCCTGCTCCCTGGTTAAATGGGAAAATGGGACACCTGGCCCCTCCCCACCCCACACACCTGTGGGAAGACAGCGCATTCACTTCTGCTGGGGGCCAGACCCTCACGGCTTTGAGGAAACCATGCCCCTCTGTTTTATCTTCAATGTTGCCCTCCCTCAGATCCTTTTCCTATTAGCATCTTGAAACTTACAGGTTTTGTACATCTCATGAACAATACCCAGTGATCCTCCAAGGAAATCCGCATACCTCTCCAGGGCCTGTCCTGTTTGGCTCCTCCCCTTTGCAGCAGTCCATTTCCTCACTGCTTAACAAGTTTGAATGCTGCTAATTCCCCACTGAGCCTGAGCAAGCCAAGAGAGAAGTCACGGATGTGGACACACCCTAAGGTGTCTCCTGGTCATCCTACCTACTACCATCTACACCTCTGTCCTACTCCCTGCCCTGGAGTGTGAGCCAGGTTGGTGACTTGCTACTTACAAATCGATGACAACAAAGGTGATGGTTTGCCCACATGCTTAGGTTCTGTAACCTGACAGGGGTGATAGGCTGTCCCTCCTGTGCGTATATCACATTAAATAAGACTCTGTGAGGGCAGATGAGCTGGAGCCATCTGTGGGCTGCATGGAGCTGAAAGTCATGCTGGAAAAGTGCACGTGGCTGGTGGCTGTGAGCTCTGGGGAGTCTCTAGGGCCCAAGGGTGGCACCCTCCTAATAGCCCTTGGTTGTACAACCATAAGGAAAGGTATTCTGCCAGCAACCTAAATGAGCTCAGAAATGGATTCTTCCCCAGCTGAGCCTTCAGATGATAATGTAGCCCAGCCAATGCCATGCTTTCAGCCTTGTAAGATCCACAGCAGAAGATCCAGATAAACACATGAATGAAAGTTGGAAAATTTACATTCATGAAAAAAGCATGAAAAACGGTGGCTTAGTTCAGAGTACTGAGTTCAGAGTAATTTATTTAGCAGCTCTACATCCTTAAATTCCAGGTGCGATTTTTCATGTGCATTCCATCATTCACTCATTTGTACATTCACATGAAAAAAGCAGCTCAAGATTTATCTCAGAGTAATTCAGATCAGCCACGCTTCTTTTAAAGTGTGATTTAACTAAGACCTGCATAAGGAAGATAAGAATTTCTGGTGATGAATACCAGCTGTAGAGTATTCCGCACATGAAGATGGGACAGTTCCATGTCATCAGTTACATTGCTTTGAAATAAATAATGAACAGATTGCTCATATTGACTGGCTGGAGGGAAGGCCCATGAAGGCAGGTATCATTTTAACCTCAGGACAACACCGGCCTTCAATCACTGCAGTGAGAGATATGTAAGTCAAGGAGGAGCTATGCAAAATACTGAGTTTGTGTAACGCAAAGTTATGAATTTTAGAAACCTGCATCCTTCAATTTATCCTAATAGCAAAACAGGCTCAGTGCCAGTCACTTTGCTGAGAGTGAGACATGATGCTAAGAACTGTGAAAACAGGAAAACAATGAACAGCTGAAAAGAGAAGACCAGCAGTATGTGGGTAATGAGTCAATCATGCTGGGCATACACTAAACATGTCCTGGTGTCACTGCTAGGAAATAAACGTTGCCAATGACTATGAGCCTGAGTCATTCATTCTAATAAGTGTTCTTGATAGAAAACGCAGCCAAGTAGGCAGCAATTTTAGAGAATTTTCAATCTCTAAATTTTGAATTGTGAAGAACAACAAATTTTGCTTATTAAATGGGCATCATGTTAGTTTTCTACTGCTACAGGAACAAATTACCACAAACTGAACAGCTTAAAAAACACAGGGTTATGTTCACCTGAGAGTTCTGCAGGTCAGAATGCTGGGCGATGCTCCTCTCCAAAGGTTCTGAGAAAGAATCCACTCAGGATGCTGGCAGAATTCAGTTCCACGCGGTTGTAGAACTGAAGCCCTTGTTTTGTTGATGGCTGTTGTCTTCACAATGCCTTTAACTTTTAGAGAAAATGTTTTATTTTCTCTGTTTCTTAGTAGTTCCTTCGTTTTTCTGGCTATTTGGTGTGGCTTCTGTCTCTGCTATTGGACCCTGGCATCTGAGTGTTCTTCCTTAGGAAGCAATGCAAAGCCATTAGGAACGCCGTCTGCAGGGGTGAGCACGTGGCCTGCAACCTTCAATGTCATGTGTCTCTTTTTACTTGAGTCACCCAAATGCTTGGGTATGTTTGCCTTTTGGTGGTGGTTGGGTATCTCTGAGAAAGAGCTTCCAGTTTCTTGCTTTGGGGAGAGCCTGGCAGCTTTGGTTGGGGAGACAGGGAGGTCCCTGTTCCAATCTTTCATCTCCAGCTGCTTGGTTTTTCACTTGCTGATTGTGTGTGTGTTTGTAATGTCCTCTTGGTGTGTGTTTGTAATGTTCTTTTGCCTTCCTCAGTGTCTAGATATGGAGGATTTCTGATTGAGTGCCTTTAGAAACTATACTTTTCGTCTCCTGAGGGTTGGGGAGGGGTGGTTCTAACCACCCCTTCAGCAGAAACTGGCTGCTCTAGTTACTTGGCTATTTTCCTGTTCTCCAGGTGAGCTGGCTTCCTCCTAATGGTTTCGGAGACATTCAAGCTTCATCTTCCTTTGTTCTGCTAACTCATTTACTGTTTCAACTTTTTTTGCTTCATAAATTTGGTACTGGGCTACAAACGTCTCCTTGTGTCATTGAAGATGGTGTTTATATGTTTTGTTCATAATTCTCTTTTATTTGGGGGTGAAATAAAAGACTATATAGGTTTTTACCTCATCATCATGAAGCAAATGAAGCTTGACTTCATTTTACAGGTGAAGAACCTGATATTCAGAAAGACTGGATGATCTTCACAAGGTCACACAGCCGTTTGTAGGTTTCTGGTTTCTCAGTCTTTGTGTGATATGCGCTTACAGACTTGACAGTAACTTTCAGTTCCTTTCATTCAGCCGCTGGTTGCCAGATGGAAGTGACCATACACATGGGAAATGAAATTTAAACTACAGAACAGGGTATTGCATGAAGGCAAATTTATATTCTGATAAACAACCTGACCAATGTTAGGCTATTAGTCCTTCCTTCCTTTCTTACAGCGCTCTTCAAAACTCAAATACTGCCTAGAAAAGTATATGTAGGTATAAATACATAAACCATTTGAATGCATAAAAATTGTATGGGATTTCTTAAATTTGCACATGGGACTTTGAAAGACTTTCATATTTCTTGAGAAGGTTATTGCAAAGCCTGAACAGAATTACTCCTTGATCACAGGACCTGGCAAAGACTTTATGACAAAGATGCAAAAAGCAATTGCAACAACAAAAAATTGACACCTGGGATCTAATTAAGGAGCTTCTGCACAGCAAAAGAAACTATCAACAGAGTAAACAGACGACTTAGAGGATGGTAGAAAATATTTGCAAACTATGCACATGACAAAGGTCTAATATCCAGAATCTATAAGGAACTTAAACAAATTTACAAGCAAAAACTAACCCCATTACAAAGTGGGCAAAGGTCATGAACAGACACTTCTCAAAAGAAGACATACAGATGGCCAACAAGCATATGCAAAAATGCTCCACATCACTAATCATTAGAGAAATGCAAATCAAAACCATGGTGAAATACCATCTCACACCAGTCAGAATAGCTATTATTAAAAAGTCAAATAATATCACATGCTGGTGAGGTTGTGGAGAAAAGGGAGCCCTTATACACTGCTGGTGGGAATGTAGATTAGTTCAGCCATTGTGAAAAGCAGTTTGGTAATTTCTCAAAGAACTTAAAACATTCGACCCAGAAATCCCATTATTATACCTAAAGGAATATAAATTATTCTATCATAAAGACACACTTGCAAATATTCACTGCAGCACTATTCACAATAGCAAAGACAAGGAATAAACCTAGATGCTCATCAATGGTAGATTAGATTAAAAAATGTGGTACATATGCACCGTGGAATACTATGCAGCCATAAAAAGGAATGAGATCATGTCCTTTGCAGCGACATGGGTGGAGCTGGAGGACCTTATTTTAAGTGAACTAATGAAGGAAACAGAAACCTATTACTGCATGTTCTCCCTTATAAGTGGGAGCTAGACATTGAGAACATATGGACACAAAAAGGGAATAACAGACACCAGGGCCTACTGGAGGGTGGAGGGTGGGAGGAGGGAGAGGATCAGAAAGCTACCTATCAGGGACTATGCTTATCACCTGGGTGACGACACAATCTGTACACCAAATCCCTGTGACACACGATTTACCTGTATAACAAGCCTGCACATGTTCCCCGGACCTGAAATAAAAGTTAAAAAGCAATTGCTCCTTGGTGAAATTACCACAAGGATTCTGATGTTCCTTTGCTTTTCTCCTCCCCTTACCTCCTTCCCATGAATCCTCAGCCACGGACCCCCCTGCCTGGCATCCAGGGCCCTCTCCCGCTCTTCGTGGTGTCAACATATTTGCTAGGATGGTTCTTTTAACATCAAAAAACAAATCTCTAGTGCTGTATGAAATCTTCAGTGCCCTCACATCTCAGAAATGCTTATCACTGTTGTCACAAGCTGATCACAAAGATCAATGTCTCAACCAAGCTCAGAGCCAGTCTCCCTGAGTTGATGTGGAGGTCCTTGTGGTCTCATTTGTCTTTGTGTCATGTCACCAGCACAGTACTGGAGCTTGGCCTGTGGGTAGCCATGCCGTGATGTCATTAAGGGAGTGACGGGGTGTGTTTCCTTATGCCTGTGGTCCTGGGGGATCAGGGCAGAGAGGGAAGGTTATGTGACTAGTGCCTATGGTACGCACATTTACCTACTGCGTTAGGGGTGGAAAGTGTGAGTGATTGTGTTAGGAGTGGAAAGTGTGAGTGATTGTGTTAGGAGTGGAAAGTGTGAGTGTGTTAGGAGTGGAAAGTGTGAGTGATTGTGTTAGGAGTGGAAAGTGTGAGTGTGTTAGGAGTGGAAAGTGTGAGTGATTGTGTTAGGAGTGGAAAGTGTGAGTGAGCGGATTATTGGCTCAGTACTGGGCTAGATGTTACAGGTAGTCGGAATGGGTCACTTACAGCAAATTGATAGCTGTGTTATAAGACTCTAAGCACTCCTGATGGAGACATACGTTTGTACAGTACTGTTAAGCTTATTTGACTTCCACAAAAACACTACTGAATAACTGGCTCAGTTTTTGCAGATGAAGAATCCAAGGGCAGCTGGCTTAAGTAAGTATTCGCAGCCACAAAGAGGATAATCTTGGAATGTACTTGAGTTTTCAGATTGTTTGGACTAAAATGATGAATTAATAAATTTCACTGAGCTCCTAAAATATTGTTTTCATTATTTTTTCCCTGAAATGAATAAATGTAGTCAATAGACATTATTAAGGACTTTTAGCAGGAAACATTTAAATTGCTATGTATATTGAAATTTATCAGAAGCTGTTATTTCTGCTCAACAAGGATCCATCTAACTTCAGATTTTATGAGTATACGCAATAATGTGCCTAAAACACACAGGAAAGTGTCACAAAAGAGGTGTGATGTTGAACTCAGGAGTGCTGAAATTATTCTAGTTGCTGCCTGATGCGTAATATCCCTAGATCCTATTAAAATCAGTGCATCACTACAGAGGCAAACAGTGACGAAGATAATCTAGCATCATTTTAAAACTCTCATCATCAAGGGATGATTTCACGGGAAAATGCCTCACCGTGTTATCAGCTGATTCACATCCGAAGCTTATTTTTACAATGTTTCTCATTGGAAGGATAATGATTTACTTTATAAGTGACAATGTCTCCAAGGCTTTCTATAATCTCCCACATGAAAAAAAAGACTTTATTATTAAAAAACCCTGAAAATGTTAAAATAAAATACTATAGTCTTGTTTCTATTAATTTTGATATAACAGCCTTTTTGAGAAACACTGGTACTTAAACTTTTTGATTAAAAATATTAAAGGTTTAGAAAGTAGAGAAATCGAGATTAAATCTATAGATTATACTTTAGTTGGAGCAGTTTATTCTGTCAGTTCTTTTGTGAAATGTTTATGTTATCTGTCCTCCTGTAGTGTTTATCTTGAAGGATAAATAAAATATATTGCATATAGTTGGGTATTACCTGTAAGAACCCTCAAGAACTATGTGTTTTGTTGATATCAGTGAGATTAAACTAGATATGGTTGATGTGTGTATGTTCCTGGCCTGCGCTATTTGTTACATTTGTTAAATATATGACTTTCTGTTTGTAAATAGTAGGGTATAGAGAAAGCTGCCAATGAGACAAACACAGACAGAGTGGGCAGAGGGGACAATGGAAACGACTTAAGTTTCAGTAAAGTTTAGGTTCAAACAAAGAGCCATCTGGGAAGAGTGCCACAGCAAACCTACCAGTTGAGGGGCAGCTGTCTCACTCACGTCCCACTAGCAAGTATTGATTTTGTGGCCTCCGTGTGGAAGACAGTTTACTGGACACACAAAAATAAATGAGACCTACTCCCGGAAAGTTACAGTTTAATAGGGAGGGGGCAGTGTACAGGCAAATAAATCATCAAGATTTCAGTAAATAGCGACAGATGCTGTACAGGTGGTAGCACAAGCGTGGGAGCAGAGGGCAGAGTGTCTGCTTAAATCCAATGGAATATCGGGCAAAAAGTCCAGGTTCCTGCTGAGGCTGAATTCAGGGATTAGTTGGCTAAAAAAAAGACAGGGGGAAAAAGGCCTCCAGGCAGAGGGATAACAAGTCCAGATTAGGGAGCAGCACGAGGCGTTTATTGGCGTGACTGTGTCCCTCGCACATGGCTGAAGAATGAAACTCGTGGGAAACGGGAGCAGGAGATGGATTGTAAGCACGTTCCTCAGAGGCTCCTCGCACTCTGGAACCTACACAGAACCAGGGGAAAAGAAGCACACAAAAACCAGTGCTTTGTTTAAGGTGAAGTGCAACCTATTCAGATCTGCTTTTTAGAAAGTTGCTCAGAAAGTAACTTGGAAGTTCAGGAACTTGAATGGAGCACAGCAGGGGTGGCTGGTGGGATCCGTTGTGCCTGGGACCTCAGCTGGGAAACTTACAGTCTGGGCTTGACTGCACCCAGGCGCCTTGCATGACCTGAAGAGTGGTTCACTCGCACTGTGGCTGCTGATGGTGCCTATTCCTGAGACCTTTCCAGGACTCTCCATATGGCCTGTGCCTCCTCAAAACATGACAGCTGGGTTCCCAGGGGAAGTGTCCCAGGAGAGAGTTCAGCAGAAGACATGCAGCATTTCCCACCCTAATCTTGTACACAACACAGCATCATTTGGGTGTACTTGGCCCACGGGGTCCATCACAAGGTCCACCTGGGTTGAAGGTGAGGGAGCATAGATGTCACTCAGTATGAGAAAGAGGCAGGTTCTGGAGGAGCTTCTAGGGTTGCTGATTAGTTGCAGTTACTTTTGAAAAATACAATAGTGTTGCAGTCACCTGTGGAAAACACTATTTTCTATATGCCAGAATGTGACTCTGTGAAGCCATCATTTTCAGTGCAAAAAACACAAGTTGCAACAGGAGACAAGGTGCACAGTACATAGTATAACAAGCAAGTGGGATGGTGGTGTGAGAAGTCAGACTGGGCCAGAATGTGTCCTCTTAGCCCATGATAAGAAACTTGGGTTTTCTTCTGTGTGATGGAGGCCACTGGAGGCTGCAGGCACAGAGGTGTTACCTGGCTGTGTTTCTTTATTTTTAAGCTCTGTAACTCCTGGAAGAACATTGAATGACAGGGGAGAAGGTGGAGGTGGGGCCTGAGCTGCAGTGGAAGTGAGCAACTGAGTGAGGAGAGCAAACCCTTGAATGCCCCAGGCTAAGGAAAGGGGAATGTGGGCAGAGAAATCTACAATTCATGGGACTCAAGTGGAGTCGGGGGGTCTGTTTTGGGAGATTCATGTTTGAAATCCCTTTGAAAGGTCGGGGCTGGAGATAAACATTTGGTAATATGATGTAGATCAGAGGTCCCCAATCCTGGGCCATGGACCAGTACCTGTTAGGAACAGGTACTGGTCCATGGCCTGTTAGGAACTGGGCTGCCCAGGTGGGGCAAGTGAAGCTTCATCTGTATTTACAGCCACTCCCCATCGCTCACATTACCGCCTGAGCTCTGCCTCCTACAGATCAGAGGCCGCGTTAGATTCTCACAGGAGCCCGAACTCCATGGTGAACTGTGCATGGGGGCAATCTAGGTTGCACGCTCTTTATGAGAATCTAATCCTGATGGTGCTGCGGTCTCCCATCACCCCCAGACGGGACCATCTAGTTGCAGGAAAACAAGCTCAGGGTTCCCACTGATTCTAAATTATGGTGAGTTTTATAATTATTTCATTACATATTACAATGTAATAACAGAAATGAAGTGCACAATAAATGTAATGGGCTTGAATCATCCTGAAACCATCCCCCAATCTCATCTGTGGAAAAATCATTTTTGACCAAATCAGTCCCTGGTGCCAAAAAGGTTGGGGACCGCTGATGTAGAAGATACTTGAGATGAATGTCAAAGTTGAGTAGGATTGGCCAAGTGAGTGAAGAAGGATGATGGTTTGGCATCCCAGGGAGAGGAAATTGCTTGAGAAAACCACAGAGGCAAGAAATTGGAGATCTCTGCTCTAGTTATGCCTTTGCATGAGAAGATTTAAAGACAGCAGCAGCTCCTCTAGGGAAGAAGGGGTCCACTGTCTCCGACAGCAACAGATTTATAGCTGTTAGTATGAAACTGGTCCCTTCTTGTTAACCCATGTGCTCATTAATCTATGGCATCTTTCCTCACTGAGTCTGTGATTAATGTTATTAATCCATTTATTTGTTTATTTATTTATTTATTTTTTAAGATGGAGTCTAACTTTGTCACCCAGGCTGGAGTGCAGTGGTGCGATCTCAGCTCACAGCAACCTCTGCCTCCCAGGTTCAAGAAATTCTCCTGCCTCAGCCTCCTGAGTAGCTGGGATTACAGGTGCTCGCCACCACTCCCAGCTAATTTTTGTATTTTTAGTAGAGATGGGGTTTTACCATGTTGGCCAGGTTGGTCTCGAACTCCTGACCTCAAGTGATCTGCCCACCTTGGCCTTCGAAATTGCTGGGATTACAGGCGGGAACCACAGAGCTCGGCCTATTAATCTCTTTAAATCCAAAATATGCAAATACAGAGAGCATGAAAGCACAGTAAGAGGACGCTTATGAGTTAGTGACGGAGACAAAAGTGATTAAAAGGGTAAGAACATGGCGAACGTTGCACAGGCTTATGTAATAGACATTTCAAGGGTAGGATTAACTTTGAAAGATTAAGCACGAGTTCTAAAGCCAAAGGAAAGTCCCAGCCCAGGCAATCGAGCACAATGCGTGAGAGAGAAGAGAACACGACTGGGGCTTTGTGTGGAGAAGCACCCGCACCCTTTGGTCTGGTTGAGCTAATCAGGTGCGGAGGGTGATATGGTTTGGCTCTGTGTCTGCACTCAAATCTCATCTTGTATTATAATCCCCATGTGTCAAGGGAGGGACCTGGTGGGAGGTAACTGAATCACGGGGGCGGTTTCCCCATGCTGTTCTTGTCATAGCGAGTTCTCAAGAGATCTGATGGTTTTATAAGTGGTGGTTTCCCTTGCTCTTCTCTCTTCTGTTGCCTTGTGAGGAAGGTTCCTGCTTCCCCTTCCGCTGTGATTATAAGTTTCCTGAGGCCTCCCAAGCCATGTGGAACTGTGAGTCAGTTAAACCTCTTTTCTTGATAAATTACCCAATCTCAGGGAAGTTCTTCATAGCAGTGTGAGGACGGACTAATCCAGAGGGGGTTTTGCCTGAAAAGATTTTCAAGGTAATGAAACTGGGAACAGTCACCTGAGAGAGTATGTGTCCGCAAGAAAGATTTCAAAGGACAAGCTAAGACTTCTACTTCGTGACACTTTGTGACAATTAATCCAAGGACTGTGCATCAACGCTGCCTACTCACATTGAAGTCGTATACCAGTGGCCTTCTAAATGTCCTTCTGGGAGCTATGTATGGGTAGAGGGCCTCCTGTACACCGAACTGTCTTTTCTGAAGTCTGTGTATCTGTATACAACACCATTACCTCACACAAATTTTGCACCCAAAATATTTGCAAGCAATTTCCCTCTCCTTGTCATTTAAAAACCTTTCTGTCTAGATAGGAGGGTGTAAATTTTGCTCTTAGAAACTGAACGAGGTATATACCGGTATTTTTTTCTTCTTTAAAGGCCACATCTGTGCTAGGGATTTGACATGCATCTTTGCATTTTATCCCCAAAACACCCTATAAAGTAAATATGGTTGTCATCCCATTTTACATATCAGAAAACAAGCAATCTAAACAGATGATAACTTGCATGTCCCCAAACTTATGAAAAGTGAGGCTGGGATCTGAAGCCCATTCAGTCTCACCCCAAAGCCCATTTGTCTTTCCCCACATGGTGCTGCCTTTTTAGGCTGCCTAGTTTTCTCTTTCTCATATTCTTGGTTAGTTCCATGCTGCCTTCTTCCTTGTCCCCTCTCAACCCAGGGCCAAGAGAAAGAGAAACAACAAGCATTGCAGAAACTGACTATTCACAGCCTGTCATAGTTCTGAATCAGCATTTCCTGCTCTCTCTGCTAAATTAACTAGCCGGAGAGTTGCCTGTTTTCAGCTCTTAGTTGCTTTTTGATCCATATTGGATGGTTACTAATAAAAGATCACCCTTTATGCAATAAATGTTAATTGGACACCTATTATATGAAATGCAGAAGACTAAATAGTATGGGAAAATTCCTGGTTTCTGGGTAAATTTTCTTAAAAGGATGTGATACTATGAAAATGTCATTCCTCACCAGGGTTTTGTCACATATTCTATACAGTCAGAGTTTCTGTCCAGTTCAGTTCAATTGTACCACATTATAGTCAACTCTTGTGTTGCATGTATGTTTTATTCAACAAGAGGATTAATACTAAAGCTTGTATTTCAGCTGCTTTCCCCAGCTCCTTCCTACTTCCTCTGCAAATTAAATGTCATCCCCTAGTGAACCATTGGCTGAGGGCAAGGAATGAATCCTCTAATGGCCAATTAAAATTAATGCATATCAGACTGAAGAAAGCTTATCATGAACATGAGGGTCTTTCACTGGCTCTAGATTATAGCTTTTTTATGAAAACAAATACAAATTAAATGAGCAAACAGAACAACTAGAGTTGTAAAGTTAAGCAAGCTAAGGGGTCGTTTTCACTTGCCTATAAAGCGTTGTGTGAATTCCAGTTAAATTTTACTGGTTTAGGATTTAGACTATTTTAACAATGAAACATATACATTGCCCCATTCCTCATAAATGACCAATAATGAGCCTGTTTTGAGCATCTCAGAATTAATGTCTTTGTTTATTAACTACTTTAAGATTGCTTAAGTTTCAATCATGAAGATTAAAAGATAACTAACAAACGTGTAATGAGATGCTACCACAATTGACAAAACTGAGCAATTGCTTTATTACAGGAATTTCTTTTTTAAAAAATAATGAATCTTCTCAATCCTAAAAATGTAAAAATTTAAAAGATACTTTTGTCATTCTAAGTCCTTAAGGATTATGGAATTGTAAGTCACACATTTAATGCTTGTTTTCAAACTCTTCATCATATTAGCAGAAAATAAATTCACTATGATAAATTCACTACCAAAGCCTAGGCATTTAGTAAATATTTGTTGAACAGATGAATGAACCAACAAATGAGATAAGGATAAAAATTTCTGTCTAAGAATTTTGAAAGTCAATTTAGTCTTATTTAAAGAATAGTCTTAGTTTGAATTTTACTTTTCCAAGTTTTTGATATTATAGCAAGGGATCAATATTAATAGACATTTTGGGCATAAAAGACCATACCTAGAAGGCATATCTCTACACAATCATTTTTGTCTTAGGCATTACACTCACGGAATAGTAGTACCATTATTGTTTCCATAGGAACAGTGATTTTTTTTTTTAAAGCAGAAAGGAAGGCAAAGAGAAAAAAAAGCACACAAGGAAAAATAATTATTCCAAATACTAGTTTGCGCCTCCCATAGTATTGTGGAATATTTATTGCATTGTTTACGTAAGAAATAACAAACCAAGAGTATTCAAAAAATTGTTCCAAGAATTTTCAGCTAAATGGATTTACAGTTTTGTAGCATCTACAGGGAGTAGTGAGTCTGATCTTGGAGGGAAAACTAAAACTGAACAAAGTCAAAATGGCTAAGGAAGTGACTTCGTGGGAGTTAAATGTCCCATGTTTAATTTTTACGCAACTTCCTCCCAAAGGCCTCTGGGATGCCACTATTCCCATTGCATTAAGCCCTTTCTTGCTTCCTGGGGAGGCTTTTTCAGCGGTTTACATGGCAGTTTAATTTTACTAATGCATTATTTCTCCTGGGACCATATAGGTCTTGCATATGTTCATTATGTGGCGAATGGAATTGCTCCCTGTATATGGACAGGGCCCCACAGCAGGTGAGAGGACAAGGGGTCTGCACAATTATCTCTGGGATTATGAAACAAAGAGCACTTAATACAAAGCTTGTTCTGACCACTTACTGCTTCCACAGTTGCCAGAATGTAGCAGAGAGACTGGTCTCTTATCTCTTACAGAACTTCAGAGGAAGAGATTAAGCTTCTTAGAAACTTTAGCTATGATGGGCAGGGCGTGGTGGCTCACGCCTGTAACCCCAGCACTTTGGGAGGCCGAGGCGGGCAGATCACGAGGTCAGGAGATCGAGACCATCTGGCTAACATGGTGAAATCTCGTCTCTACTAAAAATACAAAAATTAGCCAGGCGTGGTGGCGGGTGCCTGTAGTCCCAGCTACCCGGGAGGCTGAAGCAGGAGAATGGCGTGAACCCGGGAGGCGGAGCTTACAGTGAGCCGTGATTGCGCCACTGCACTCCAGGCTGGGCGACAGAGTGAGACTCCATCTCAAAAAGAAAAACAAAACAAAAAAGAAACTTTATCTGTGATGGTTGGGGCAGGAGAACCATTAGGGGTTGTTACGATGTGTAGTGGATATTGTAACACATTACCACAATTGGGCCTTATAACAAATAAAGTTTATTCTCTCACAGTTCTGGAGGCCAGAAGTTCAAAATCAGGGTGTCGTTACGGCCATGCTCCCTCTGCAGACTTTAGGAAGAATCTTTCCTTCCCTATTCCAGGTTCTGGTGGTGCCAGGTACTGATGGTTTCTGGTTCTGATGGTTCCAGGTACTGGCGTTTCCAGGTACTGGTGGTTCTAGGTACTGGGGGTTCCATGTGCTGATAGTTCCAGGTTCTGGTGGTGCCAGGTGTTGATGGTTCCTGGTTCTGGTTCTGGTACTGGCAGTTCCACGTTTTGGTGCTGCCAGGTACTGATGGTTTCTAGTTCTTGTGGTTCCAGGTACTGATGGTTCCAGGTTCTGGTGGTGTCAGGTACTGATGGTTCCAGGCTCTGATGTTCCAGGTGCTGATAGTTCTGGGTTCTGATGATTCGTTGTCCTTGTTCTGGTGGTTCCTGATTCTGGTAGTTTCGTTTACTGGTGGTTCCTGTTCCTGGTGGTTCCTGGTTCTGGTGTTTCTATGTTTGGGGGTTCCGGGTTCTGGTGGTGTCAGGTACTGATGATTCCTGGTTCTGGTGTTCTAGGTTCTGATAGTTCTGGGTTCTGATGGTCCCTTGTTTTGGTGTTTCCTGATTCTAGTAGTTTCATTTACTGGTGGTTCCTGGTCCTGGTGGTTCCTGGCTCTGGTGTTTCCATGTTCTTGTGGTTCTGGGTTCTGGTGGCCCCTCAGTTCCTTGGCTTGTGCCTGCATCACTCAGTTTTTGCCTCCTCCTTCTCATGGAATCCTTCCCCTTGTCTGTGTGGCTTCATAAACCCCTCTCCTTATAAGGATACCAGTCCTTGTATTAGGGCCCACCCATATACAGTAGGACCCCATATTACCTTGGTTACATTTCAAAAACCCTATTTTGAAGTGAGGCCACATTCACAGGTACTGGGGGTTAGGTTTGAACATTGTTGTTCTGGGGACACAATTTCAAGATGCTGGTGGGGGCTTGGCTAGAGATTTTGATTTTAAAAAGGTTAGTGAGGAAAAGAAGGGTGACAGTGACACCAAGTAACGTTTGTGTTTTGAGGGGATGATGTCCAGGTGAAAGTGAGTACTGAATAGTCTCTGTGTGTGAGGGTGATGTCAGATGCCAGATGTGAATGTGGGAACCCGGTAATACTCCATACTGGCCATTGCCTAAAGTTCAGACTACACCAGGAACCGCCATTCTTCTTACCCAAACAGCCATCTTGGAAGAGAAGGAATGAGTTGGTCATTGTGAGTGGTAGAGAGAATAGAAAAAAAAAACCTTAATATTTATAAATTCTTGTGATCAATATCAACCAATGTGGAATGCAGGCAAGACCTTACCCAGAGCATATTCTCCCTAGATTGCCATCTTTCATATACCTAAGTGAAAATATTTGAAGCAAATCTTAAGGTACTATCAAATTTGTAGCTCTGTCGAGCTCTCTGTGTTTTGTCAAAAATCAGAATCGGGAAAACTTGGTTACTGTTGTCTGAGACTGCCTTTGACAAATCCTTTGTTTTCAGCTGGAAATCATTTTCCTTCTAGATTGAGGAGAGAGGGAGATAGAAGTTAGACACTCGCTTGGCTTCATGTCCTTCTGAGATGCCGATTATTATCCGTATGATGATTAACCTCAAATACGTATCTCCAGCTTAGGTTGTTAAGCAAGATTTAACTCAAAATCTTTAAATGCTTTCCAGGCCTCTCCATTTTGATAATGACAAAGATAACAAAGCTGATAGAAATTGAATTAAACATCTTCCTCCTAATTCAGCTTCTTCTACGTATATTAATTAGATTGATATTATTAGTAATACAGGGATATGATATTAATAAGAAAGTAACAACTTGCGCACAGTATATGCATCAACTATTTATTCCCAAAACTTACTCAAGAGCTTAAGCTAAATAACTTGAACAGTTGGAATCTGCATTATTATTTTTTTCTTATTATTGATAAGAAAAATTGCCCCAAATAATTGTTTTAAATTGCCATCGCCCCTTCCAGTTTCCCAAATCAAATCATATACTATTGGTCTGTAAATTTAAGATCAATTGCTTCTTTGATGCACGAGGCTAAACTTGACAATTTTGGAGAAAGCATAGAATGTTACAATCCTTAAGGGAAAACCAGGTAGTTCTCCTTTTCTACCCCTTTGGCAATGTAAGCCCACGTTATTGGGAGGTGATTTAATTTGGTATATTTATAATACTATAAGTATAATCATATAAAATATCTTTCTTATAAATTAATAATAGTATAGTATATGATTCTAATAGTATGAATCACAAATGATAATTCTAATAAATTTTTTAGCCCAATGGAGTTTACAAACTCTTTCTCCTAAATTTTTATAAAATCTTGAATTCTCAGCACATTTCTTCATTCAACAAATATTACTTATGGCCTATTAGTCACCTGACATGGTGAGGGTACTAGGAAGGTCTTAGGAGAAAATAATTCAGTTGGCACCTTTCTATTAATTGTCTGATACATTATACACCAAATTGATTATTCTTGCACTTAAATTATTATTTATGATGAATGCCTTGCATTAGAGTTTAGAATCATTTGTAAATACACTAAAATCTTCTTCTGTGCCTCAAGAACTCTGACCCTCTGAACTTCTGGATCAAATATTCCTTATCCTTATGTCAGGGACACACATTTTGGGGAAGTGCAGGCTGCATAGCAAAGGATTACAGATGGCATTCTGTAGGGAGAGGGTGAGCCTGTGGCTGCTCCACTGAGCTCTGAGCTTATCCCAGCTCTGAACCTTGGCTGAAGTGAGGTGACTGCACAGCCTGCACCAGCCGCTCTACACAATTGGGCACGCATGGTTTGAGGGCCTGCACCCCATTTACCAGGCTGCACAGTGGGGTTTTGGCTACATGGTCAATGAGGTAGAAAAGATGTCTTGGAAACTATGGTACTCATCAGCTCTTTCAGTCACCAGCATTTTTAACATATGGAAAATGCAGCGATTGAGATTCATCAATCAGGAACTTTCTTAGAGTGATTATAAATAAAAAGATTATTTTCAGTTCATTATTTTAGTGCTGTTAGAAACTTCCTTAAGTTTTCTCTTGTAATGCAAATTCAAACCATGCCATTTAAGAAGATCACCCCATTGTAGTATAGAGAGAGATGATGCGTACTTGCAATCAAAGTTATAACCCTTTCACAAGGCTGTTGATTCCACCTGTGAAGGGAGAATGTCCTCACAAGGTGTCAGTCTGCCTTGTCCAGCATTGAATACTAATGGCAAGGTAGAAGGGTGAACATGGTGTAGACAGTGTTGTTGGTGTAGACTCTGCATGTTTTGGCCTCAGGCTATAGGTTGCCAACACCTGCACTCTATTATCTGTTATACTGCAGCACAGGAATTCTGAAATTCAAAAGAATTCAACCAAGTTAATGTTGAACTACACTGAACCCAGCATAAATAGGAGTCTACCCTAGGCAAGGGAAAGATATCCTTTTTGTGACAAGAAAATTCTTATTGAAGTTGTAAGACTATATCCTTCTTTTGAGACTTTTACATTTCTCAAACGTCTTACGGTTTAAAACTTAGAAATTGCCATTGTAACTATTTCAATTTTAAATTTCCTAATGGTTCTAGAATTAGTAGCTATGATCATATTTGATAGGTAGAGATTGCATTACATATATCTGTGAGTGCATGGTGTTAATAACCTTCATAAGAACTTTTCGAGGTAGACTAGATGTTTAAACTCCCTGAGTTTCAACAAATTATCATCTCTCTTCAAGAGTTTCTGGAAGGGCCAAGTGAAGGACCATGCATGAAAGCAGCAAACACAGTGTCCCACACGTGGAACAGATCCTGCTAATGCTGGGCTTGCGTGCTTTTGTTGCTCGCTTCATGGGCAACCTCGTGTGGACTCTCCCGGCTAATTTTCCACATTCTAGCACTTAGCCATCTGCGTTGTTTCTTTTAGCACAGTCGTTGATGGTACCCTTGCTACTACATCGCCATAGCCACGTCCCTTTTTGGTTCCTGGGAGACAGAGACCCTGCCCCATCTCTGGCCCATCCCTGTCCACACCCACCCACCTGCATGGGGTGTGGCCCATTCCCTGTCTCTGTAGGCCCAGTTATGCGTCTTCACAAGGTGAGATGTGGGGCTGGGTCAATGGGAAGTAGAATGGCAGAAGAAAGAGGGAACCACATTTGGATATAAGAAACTCTACAGAGAATTAGCTGGAGTTGGTAATTATTTGGATGCAAGAGAGTAAGGGAAGGAAAAGACATCACACTAAAAGGTTTCTTTTATTGCTGTGTGTTCAAGGTGAAGGTGCCACTGACAAGGGTAAAGAGATATGAAGAAAGAATTAGTTTAGGGAAATTAACTTTTTAAATAAAATGTATTAAATCTATACATAGGTACAAAGAGGAGAACACAAATGCCCACATGACTGCCACTGAACGCACAAATGTCAATATATTGTGGCATACATATTTTAGATTTTTTTTAGAGAACTAAAAGTGTTACACACACAGGTGAAATGCTCCCTGAGCCCCGCCCAGCTCTTATTCTCCTCTGTGTTTCTAATGAGTAACTATTTCACTTGGAACAACCTTCAGTCCACATTTGTATTCTCATTTTATTTTATATTTTTATTATATATGTAATATTTAATGTGTACACTATGCTCTTTTAATATACACACATAGGCTGGGCACGGTGGCTCACGCCTGTAATCCCAGCACTTTGGGAGGCCAAGGTGGGCAGATCACGAGGTCAGGAGATTGAGACCATCCTGGTTAACACGGTGAAACCCCGCCTCTACTAAAATACAAAAAATTAGCCGGGCCTGGCGAAGGGCACCTGTAGTCCTAGCTACTTGGGAGGCTGAGGCAGGAGAATGGCCTGAACCCGGGAGGCGGAGCTTGCAGTGAGCAGAGATTGCACCACTGCACTCTAGCCTGGGCGAGAGTGAGACTCCATCTCAAAAAAAAAAAAAAAAAATTTATACATATATATATATACACAAACACACACACACGCACACACACATAGTGAAATGATCACTACAAGTAAATTAAGATACTTATAATCTTAGTTACTGTGTGTGTGTGTGTGTGTGTGTGTGTGTGTGTGTGTGGTCAGAGTACCTAAAATCTATTCTTTATATTTAGGAAATTTTCAATATACAATGCAATATTATTAACTATAGTTCTGCACAATTTTTATTCTTTTCCTAGTTACAAAGCCATTAACAAATAGGGTAGTTCAGTGTGATTTTAGAAAACATACACAGATGCCTGGTTTATTTGAAGTTATGATTCTGATATGTTCTATAGGTCGTCAGTGAGGGGAACAGAGATGCAGTGCTTAGCCTTTGATTCTACCACGTGCTTTTCAGTTACCTATGACTTTAACAATTAGGTTCTTATTAGTTTTTTTAAACCACTGTTGCATTAACCATTCCTTTGACACATTTTCTTATTTTGGAGATGCTTGTTTTTTTTTTTTTGTTTTTTTGTTTTTTTTTTGAGACGGAGTCTTGCTCTTTTGCCTTGGTTGGAGGGCAGTGGATCTCGGCTCACTGCAAGCTCCGCCTCCCGGGTTCACGCCATTCTCCTGCCTCAGCCTCCGGAGTAGCTGGGACTACAGGCACCCGCCACCACGCCCGGCTAATTTTTTGTATTTTTTTTAGTAGAGATGGGGTTTCACCGTGTTAGCCAGGAAGGTCTCGATGGAGATGCTTGTTTTTGAAAATACTTTAAGGCAATATACCTAGGCACAGAAATGCTTAGTCCTGAGATCTACCCATTGTCAACTTTATAAAGTGCTGAAAACTAGTTCTCCAATGTGTTCACAAAACATGACCTGCCATTAGGAGTGGATGAGAGTTCACGGTTCCCCACATCCAGCCACCATTTGGTATGCAACACTTAATACTTGCTCCTGCTTCACCTTCCACCATGAGTAAAACCTTCCTGAAGCCTCCCCAGAAGCCAAGTAGATGCTGGCGCCACGCTTGAACAGCCTGAACAACCAGGATCCAATTCAACCTCTTTTCTTATAAATTACCCAGTCTTAGGTATTCCTTTAGAGCAACACAAGAATGGCCTAGCAAACCATATGTATTCTATAACATCATATTGTATACCTTAAATATACATAATAAAGTTTATTAAAAAATCAATACTAAGTCATAATTTTTTCCAAGTTTTCTTTAAAAAGTTTTATAGTTTTGCATTTTGCACTTGTGCCTGTGATCCATTTTGCATTAATTTCTGTATAAGATGTAAGTAAGATCTGTGTCTATGTTTATTTTTTTAATCATAATTATGATTATTTGCATAAGAACATTCAACATTTGCAGCATCGTTTGTTGAAAAAAGTATCCTTTCTCTGTTGAATTTCCTTCAGGTCTTTTAACAATCAGTTGACTATTTTTGTGTGGGCTTTCTATTCTCTTCTATTGATCTATCTGTCTACAATTTCAGCAATAGCACATTGCCTTGATTATTGTAGCTTTATAGTAAGTATTGAAACCACGTAGTGTGTCTTCCATCTTTGTTCTTCTTCAGTAATGTTTTAGCTATCTTAGATTCTTTCTCTTTCCATATACATTTTAGAATCAGTTTTTCAATACCTACAAATATTTTGCTGGGATTTTTCTTGGAATTGAGTCTGTAGTTCCAATTGGGAATAATTGATATTTTAGCAATATTGAACCTTCCAATTTATAATAATAGAATATCACTCCATTTATTTCAATCTTTGATTTCTTCCATTAGAATTCTACAGTTTTCCATAAAAAGATCCTACACATATTTTGTTAGCTTTATACATAAGTGCTTCATTTTTGGTGCTGTTGCAAATGGCTTTTCTAAATTTTTAAAATTCTAATTATTCATTAAGTAAATATTTTAGAGTTTTCTTGTTACTAAATTCAGTTAGATATTCTCTTTTCTTTTTGTTTCTTTTTTCTTGTTGTTATTAATGAGGTCATCTCTTTTGTTACAAATTCTAATACACACACATATATCTTCTAATCCATCATATATATGTAGAAATAGATATTGTGTGTATAATATATACATATGAGCTATTTCTCGATATCAATTTTACAATCTGCTACCTTATTAAATTATCTTATTTTTGTGTTAATGCTCACATCATAAATTCCTGTTGGCTCATTTCCTCCTTTTTAGTTGTTTGTTTCTGATTTTATTCCTAACACCTTGCTCCTAACTTTAGTGGAAACCTTGTTTTTCTTCAGTAAGGGAGATGATGCATTTGGGCTGAGGCAAACAAGAAATGTCACAAATTTCTATTTATTTGTTTTTAACATTAATGAGTGATGAATTATGTCAAATGTCACATATATATATGAAAATCATGCTCTTTTCTTACCTTTAATGTTTCGTTAATGTGTGTATTAGTCCATTCTCATGCTGCTATGAAGAAATACCTGAGACTGGGTAATTTATAAAGAAAAGTTAAATGGACTCACAGTTCCACATGACCGAGGAGGCCTCAGGAAACTTACAAGCATGGTGGAAGGACCTCTTCACAGGGTGGCAGGAGAGAGAATGAGTGCCAGCAGAGGAAATGTTAGACGCTTATAAAACCATCATATCTCATGAGAACTCACCCACTATCACGAGAACAGTATGGGAAAAACGGGCCCCATGATTCAATTACCTCCCTCCAGCCCCTCCCATGACATGTGGGGATCATAATTAAAGATGAAATTTGGGTGGGGATACAGCCAAACCATATCAATGTACTTTCTAATACTGAACCACTCTTGAATTTTTAGAATAAATGTCATTGCCCATGATGTACTTCTTTTTAGATAAATTATTTTGTACTTAATTCTTTTTCTTATAATTTTATGTGAGAATTGACTGGGATTCTTTGTTTTTGCTGATTTTTAAGTGAAATGCTTTTCCTTTACTTTTTGGAGGGATGATTGAATCAGGACAGCTTTCTAGTCTCACAGCTTCAGAGTTTTCCCTGTCCCTTAAAAAAAAATTATGTGGGCTTCAGGGTGTGATAAAAGACATGAACTCGCAATTTCTGAGGTTGTTTTCTCTGTTCTCCTTGTTCCTTTTATCTGGATCTTCCTGATGTGCAGACTTTTGTTCTGGAAGGTGTCTGGTTTTCAGTTTTGAGGTTCACAGGACCCTGGACCCAAGGCAATTTCAGCACCATTAGAACTCTTCATGGTTTTCTTGCCCTCATTCATTTAGCATTTTTTATCTATGCAAGTGAATGAATGCCAGGGAATGTTTCCACCACAAATACATGAAAAATGTCTGAGATGATGGATATCCTAGTTATCCCGACTTGATCACTGCACATTGTATGCATGTATCAAACTATCAGATGTATCCCATAAATATGTATGATTATTATGTGTCAATAAAAATAAAGACTGGGCCAGGCATGGTGGCTCATGCCTGTAATCCCAGCACTTTAGGGGGCCAAGGTGGGCAGATCACAAGGTCAGGAGTTCGAGACCAGCCTGGCCAACATGGTCTTTTAGTAGAGATGGCCAATCCTGTCTCTACTAAAAATACAAAAATTAGCCGGGCATCGTGGTGGGTGCCTGTAATCCCAGCTACTCGGAAGGCTGAGGCAGGAGAACTGCTTGAAACAGGAAGGCGGAGGTTGTAGTGAGCTGAGATTGAGCCACTGCGCTGCAGCCTGGGTGAAAGAGTGTAACTCTGTCTCAAAAAATAAATAAATAAAATGAAATACAATTTTAAAAAGCTAAAAAAAACCCACATGAATATGTACAAAACACTGAGAGAATAAATGTTGACCTCACAGAAGGGGCCGGCTTGAAGATAAACTTAGACTCTTGCAGTACGTCATATGGATGTGAAGACCGACAGCAGAAGGGGCTGGCTTGAAGGTAAACTTAGACTCTTGCAGTACGTTGTATGGATGTGAAGAACGACAGCAGAAGGGGCTGGCTTGAAGGTAACCTTAGACTCTTGCAGTACGTCGTATGGATGTGAAGAACGACAGCAGAAGGGGCTGTCTTGAAGACAAACTTAGACTCTTGCAGTACGTCATATGGATGTGAAGACTGACAGCAGAAGGGGCTGGCTTGAAGGTAAACTTAGACTCTTGCAGTACGTCGTATGGATGTGAAGACTGACAGCAGCAAGACATTTTGTAGAGCAGTGTTTCAAACTGCAGCAAATGAAAACACACTCAATTTCCTACAGATTCCTGATAAGACTAAGAGAAACCAGGTGAAGTATCAGTAAGAGAACACAAATGCCTGCCTCTGCTTCTGCCTCGTGTCAGGGTTCATGAAAATCTGCACTGTGTGGAACCTGGGTAAGCCGTGGTGACCTCTTCTTTGCTCGTCTTACCTTATTAAAATTAATGCAGAGTGAAATGATTTTCTATAAGAGGAAGAAATCTGAGCCACAAGTAAAACACTTCGCATACCAAAAATTCAACATTTGTTTTCAAAATGTCTTCAGATGTGGTAGTATCTGACATCCTCCTCTGAAGCAAGACAACATGCCAGGTTTTTGTCTGAATATTTAGGATTCGTAGTTGTGTTTCAGTGAACCCCAAATCTCCTTTGTTTTACTCAGTTTCTTGAGTTTTTACTTAGAAGACCTTAATCAGCACGTCGGGAAGTCTGCATAAATAAAATGTTTATCAGAGCCAAGCATTAATGCAAATAATTTTTTTGAAAAAAATTATTAATATTAAATTATAACACTGTTACTAAAATTTTCAAAATAAACACAATCAGAAAATGCAAAAGATTATCTGTCCAAAGAACATCTATTAACCACTAAATTGAGCCCATATATATTTATTATATGAATAATATAATGAGGGCATTTATAAATGAATGCCCTGATTATAAATTCATATCCTGATTATATTATTCATTTTTATTTTTTATAAATGAATGCCCTGATAATATGTTGTAAACTTAAGGGAACTGGAAGAGGAAAAAGGATTGACAGTGTCTGTCTATATGTTTAAAGGGATAACGTATTTAGAAACATCCCTGTTAACCATCTGAGTAATTACGTGGGTAGGGTACTTGAGATATGCTGGATTTTTACGGAAGAATCCTCAGCATATGGATTTCTTGTGTGCAATTTGCAAGTTTTTATACATTAATGTATAATAATATGGATGTAGTAATATATAGAATAATATGAAGTGATAGAGATGCCTTGTAAACTTCAAAGGTGGGGTAAACATGTAATTTATCATCAAGACAAGGACAGATTTGAGAGTGACATGAAAGATGATTTATAATTACCCCTACTGAAGGAGTTTAGGACTGCTCAGGCCAGGCTAGGTTGTGTGGTCAGCCCACTCAGGGGCAGTGACTTCCAAGTGAAACTGTAACTATGTACATACACAAATGAGTTATACTTCTAACTCTGGCCTGAGTCTTAGGAAACATGGAGGCTCTGGCCTGTGAGGACTCTAACTTTTAACAATCCAATTATTCAAGGGATCCAATTTATTGGGAGGCTGAGGCAGGCAGATTGCTTGAGCCCAGGAGTTTGAGACCAGCCTGTGCAACATGGCAAAACCCCATTTCTACAAAAAAGTACAAAACATTAGCTGGGCATGGTGGTTTGCATCTGTGGTCCCAGCTACCGGAGAGGCTGAAGTGGGAGGATCACCTGAACCCAGGAGGTCAAGGCTGCAGTGAGCCATGATCATGCCACTGCACTCTAGCCTGGGTGACAAAGTGAGACCCTGTCATAAAAAAATATTACTTAAAAATCACTTAAACATCCACTTAAATGTGGATGATTTATACAAACAGTAACACATGACAAGAGTGCAATAATGAGCTCTGGGATTGTTGAGAGTTTCTGGTCCTTAGATCAACGGGAAGTAATAAAGGTACAAACACACATGGTGGGGGTGACCTTCTTCCACAAGGTATTGTGGATTCTAAGAAAAAAGTCATGAGATATTTATCCTTCAGAAGTAAGTCTAATTGAATGAGACTTACTGTAAGTAGTGAGCTCATTGTTTCAGTTACGTAGTTGTTTTGTTTGCTTTTTGTTTTGGTTTTTTGGATTTCAAAGAGATGAAAAAATGAAATAAAAGATGATTTAACCCAAAAAATAAATGTATTGGGGCATATTATTGGATAAAGAAGATGTGGTACATATACATCATGGAATACTATGCAGCCATGGAAAAGAATGAAACTGTGTCCTTTGTGGCAACATGATGGAGGTGAAAGTGTTATTCTAAGCAAATTAACACAAGATAGAAAACCAAATACACATGTTCTCACTTATAAGTTGGAGCTGAACACTGGGTACTCATGGACACAAAGATGGCAACAATACACAATAGGGACAAAAAGAAGGGGAAGGAGAAGGTGGGGCAAGAGCTGAAAAACTGACTATTGGGTGCTATGCTCACTACCTTGGTAATGAGATCATTTCTACACCAAACCTCAGCATCACACAATATACCCATTTAAAAACACCTGCACTCTTTTTTATGGCTGCATAGTATTCCATGGTGTGTATGTGCCACATTTTCTTAATCCAGTCTATCATTGATGGACATTTGGGTTGGTTCCAAGTCTTTGCTATTGTGAATAGTGCCTCAATAAACATCCGTGCGCATGTGTCTTTATAGTAGCATGATTGATAATCCTTTGGGTATATACCCAGTAATGGGATCTCTGGGTCAGATGATATTTCTAGTTCTAGATCCTTGAGGAATCACCACACTGTCTTCCAGTGTGAGTTCATGTCCTTCGCAGGGACATGGATGAAGGTGGAAACTATCATTCTCAGCAAACTCTCACAAGGACAGGAAACCAAACACTGCATGTTCTCAATCGTAGGTGGGAATTGAACGAGAACACATGGACACAGGGCAGGGAACATCATACACTGGGGCTTGACGGGGAGGTGGGAGGCTGTGGGAGGGATAGCATTAGGAGAAATACCTAATGTAAATGATGAGTTGATGGGTGCAGCAAACCAACATGACACATGTATACATATGCAACAAACCTGCAAGTTGTGCACATGTACCCTAGAACTTAAAGTATAATAAAAATAAAATAAAATTAAAGAAATCATACAAACTATTAAACATATACTTAATTTCCAAACAAAGGAAAAAACCTGCACTCATACCACCAAACCTAAAATAAAAGCTGAAAAAAATTCTGCTAGGGTTTATCAAAAGAAACTTATACGAAAGCCCACATATAAACATATATGAAAGTCTCTTATATGAAAGTTTCTTATATGAAAGCCTATATATAAAAATATATGAGGCCAGGAGCCATGGCTCATGCCTGTAATCCCAGCACTTTGGGAGGCTGAGGCAGGCGTATTACCTAAGGTCAGGAGTTTGAGACCAGCCTGGCCAACATGGTGAAACCCTATTTCTACTAAAAATACAAAAATTAGCCGGGTGTGGTGGCGGGTGCCTGTAATCCCAGCTACTTGGGAGGCTGAGGCAGGATAATTGCTTGAACCCAAGAGGTGGAGGTTGCAGTGACCCAAGATCGCACCACTGCACTCCTGCCTGGGCAACAGAGCGAGACTCCATCTCAAAAAAATAAAAAATAAAAAATAAATATAAATAAATAAAAGTATCTGTCTGCCTATCTATCTATCTATCTATCTATCTATCTATCTATCTATCTATCTATCTATCTAACTGTCTCTCCTCATCCTGCTGACCCATTCTTATTGAGAGTGGTGCCTCTTTCTCGCGGGAGTGATGATGAATTTGTCCTGGTCCAGTTTAGCCATTCACTGTTTCCTGGACTTCTCTGAAGCATTTAACACTGTCTCATTGAAATTCTCTTTCCTTAGCTACTGTGATTCCACACTGTTTGAATATTATCTTTGTAATTTCATTTTCTGATGTTTACTTTCTCTTCTAGTTAGTCCCATTTCCTCTACTGTAACCTAAATGTGCCACAGAACTCAGTTTGTTAAGCTTCTTTGCAGATCTCTTTTTCTTGGTGATTATATCAGCTGTTATAGTTTCAATAATCTATACCCAGATCCTGAATCAATACTTCCATTCAGATTCTACTGCTGTTCTCTCATTACCTATTAAATGTTCCCACTTGAACATACCGTACATGCCTAATTCTTGAAATCCAAATTGATTTTTTTCTCCTTTACACCTCTTGTTTGCCAAGAACACTCTATCTCCAAGCCTCAAAACGTGGAAACACCTGAGATCCTTCCTTCTTTCCTAACAGCCATCACATCATCTTGGATTTACTTAGAAAACGTCTTTTGCATTCATTGCCACGTATCTTCCAAATGCACCGTTCTAGTTCAATTTGTGATTCCTTGAAACTGAGATTACTAGACCTGTTATTTCTGCCCATAGAGTTTTTTTCTGCCCATAGAGATTATTAAACCTATTATTTCTGCCCATAGAGTTTTTATTCCACTAATCAAATTTATACATTGTAATCTCATTCACTTTCTCAAAATCTGCTTTTCGTTGAGTTTCCTCTCTGTTCCCCACAGCATCGGTGAATATTTATTTCTCATGAAACAACTTTCAGGCTCCTTATCCTGACCTGCAAAGCCCCCACGATCTTGTCACAGCTGTTCTAAACCCCACCTTTCACTTTTGCTTTCAGTACTCTCCACCTGACCCAGCCCTCTGCCCAGCCTTCCAAGCCACATGGGCAGGAAGCGTTGTGCTGCCCACTCCTGCTTGGTTTACTGTGCCTGCCTTTAACCTCTTGCCTTCTGCAAACCCATCCTCCTCTCCTCTCTGACAAGGGCCATCACCGTCTTCATAAAGAGAGCCAGTGACAAGTCCTGCCCTGGGACCTAGGAAAGACCCAAGAAGCCAGGATTATCCAGAACCCCAGATCTGCTGACTCCTCCATGTCCCCCGCCAAGGCTGGAGAAAGGCAGAACACTAACCTGAGACAGGTGAGTAGCCTGGGGCCCCATCGCCATGCTGTCCTCAAGGAAAACCTTTCACAGTCAAGTACACCTTTACTGAAGTCTCAAGTCTCTCAACCAGTCCCAAGTGTGATTTATGAAAGGTCATGATATTGGATGAAACTTAGTGAAACCAAGTCTCAACCTTACCTTTTTAAGGCTCAAACCAAGTCCTAACTTTTAAATAAGTATTAATTCTATGAATCATCTTTGTAGTCAGCCCTTTATTCTCTGATTAGTATTTGTTGCACCAGTTTCTGAGCACAGGTGATTTACCTTTTGAAGTCAGTTCTCAGTGACCGAATTCTCTCCTCACCTTGCTGCTGTAAGCACTCGAGGACGTTTCTCTGTGGTTCCTTCTTTGCAGGGCGGTCATACTTCCCTTTCTCCATTACGCACCCGACGAACACTTCCTGATCAAATAATTTTGAAATTATGGGTAGTTTATTAATTTTGCATCTCTGAGCTTTATTGTAGCAAGAGTGTGTTACCTTAGTATATGTGGTGGCTAGTCTGTTCTCTAGTCCTTTATCTGCAAATGTATAAACCAAGTCCTCTGGTTTTTGGATGAGTGGTACCACCTAAAATTGTGATCTGCTACTTTGTTCATCTGAGATGGGAGTTTTTCTTTTCTTGCCTGGAAACAAAAATTATAATTCTTAGTAGAAGAATAAAATTAGTAATGATATAAAAAAAGGCAGAGTAAAAAGATTTGTGAATTGCAAAGAACATGAAATCCTTGCTGCTTAACTTGCAAATTGGCGTGCTCTTGCTGTACTATGTTTTTAGCCAACTAATGGAAACACTTTCATCAAAATCCACCCAGAGACTTCATCATGCTTTTCACCAGATGTTCTTTGAAATATTGCTTTCCCATTTCATCACCGTAGTTCTTGCGACCTGAGTACTCTATTTTGTTATGTCAAAGGGAAGATGCCTTTGGTCAAAATGTCTTATCTTTCACTTTGCACAGTGTGCACTGCAACTAAAAAGGAAAATGGAATATGTGAGTTTTACTTTGACTCTGCCTTAGAAGCTATGCGTGTATGTTTAATTTTATTGGCTAAGTACTGGTCCACAATTTCTTATCTGTAATTACAAAATCCCAAAAGTTTTGGGAAATAAAGAGTATTTTTATTTTTTATTTTATTTATTTATTTATTTATTTATTAATTTTTGAGACAGAGTCTTGCTCTGTCACCCAGGTTGGAGTGCAATGGTGCATTCTTGGCACACTGCAATCGTCTCCTCCCGGATTCAAGTGATTCTCCTGCCTCAGCCTCTGGAGTAGCTGGGACTACAGGCATGTGCCACTACACCCGGTTAATTTTTGTACTTTTTGGTAGAGACGAAGTTTCACAGTGTTGGTCAGACTGCTCTCGAATTTCTGGCCTCAATGCCCGCTTTGGCCTCTCAAAGTGCTGGGATTACAGGTGTGAGCTAAATACATTTTAAAATACATTTTTTTACTATTAAATCTGTTCTGAACTAATGTGAGGCTAGTTATAATCTATATCCCATGTGGAATGTTGGATAACAAGGCGCTATCCCGGAACCTCCTGAAATGTTATATAATATGAAAAAAATCTTAATTCTGAAGCACATAAGGCACCAAGAGTTTTAGTAAAGGGACTGTGTACCTGTAATACATAAACATGGGTGAATAACTCAAAAATTATAGAATGATATGAAACAGAAAGTAAAATATTTTCAACTTCAGCCTCAATTTATTTTTCCTTCTATCCCTAACCTTTCATCAATTGCTCCAAATTAAGACATTCATATTGTTTTATTTATCTGTGGACCAAAATTTTCATACAAAAATTATTGGGCATTTTCCTGTCATTTTCTAATCACCTTTCAATATAATTGCGAAAACAAATGTAAATAAGATTATCCACTCTTTTGAAAGTGATTCTACTGTTTGAAAGGTTTGACTTGGAACAATTTTACTCAACTGTAGTTCAGAGTTGTTTCTTATTTATCCCAGTGTGTTTTTGGTTTAAAGCTCTATCTCTTGGATCTCATGTCTGCTTCTTGGATTTTTTTTTTAAATACTTGAGTATGTACTCTGATGTAAGTGATCTTGGCTCTCTCATATCTGAAACTGACTTATTTGTCCTGAATGACAGTTTAGCTGGGCATCAAATTGTTGTTTCTAAATACTTTTTCTCTGTAACCCTTGAAAAAGATGTACATTACATTTTAAAATTTCTATAATATAGTTTTCATCTACATTTGTCATTGTCTTTACACACAAGAAAATTAGGAAAAGTTTGCTTTGAAAACAAATAGTTCAGGGAATTAAAGTGTAATGGCAACTTTGGTGGCTGTATCCAAAATCTTTTCTAAGACTCAGTCATTTTTTTCTTTTATGTTATTCTTTCCCTCATCAAACTGCTACCTCTAATTCTAACAGGTAACATACATCACCATGTCTAGTAGCAAAATAAATTATTTGAATTAATTTTAGATAAAGATTATTTCTCAACCCCTTTTCTCTATAGGTTTTATATTATTATATTTCAATTATTTTATTAAATCAATATTTTATGGAAGTAAACACAATTGAGGTGCTTTGCTGCACTAAAATTTTATTTCAGGTGATTCAAATTTGATTTAAATTCTTTATTCCCCCCCCCAGAAATAAAATGGAAAAGGGAATCTAACAAGAACAATGGCCCATCTTTTACAGTTTGCGAAACAACATGATTTTAAATATTTTATTGGTTTCAAAGGTTGATAAATTCTAAATTTCTAGATTTTCTGATTTTCTACCAATTAATTGCATTTAGCTACAGATAGATTTGTCCCCTTTTAAATAGGTGGCCTTTGAAAATATAAATTCCACCCTCCCCTGTCCAGCTCCTTTCCTTCAGTGCCACTGCAAATCAGGACTGAGAGCCTCCACTTCAGATCACCAGGCACCAATTCATGTCAGCCTCATTTAGTTCAACTTGAAATAATTCTCATCTTTTACAATAACATTTTGGGTCTTGGGAGAAGGGCGTCAACTAAAAGGTGATTCAAATAAATGATTAATGAACATATTGGCACTGGTGGGATTATGGCACTTGCTCATTTCAAATCACACTTTCCTAAATGCTCAGCCTTTTAAACACATACTTTTTAAAGAAACTTATATATTTAAAATTAACCCCTCTCCTAATGACTTTGCATCTATTTGCTTTATTAGTGGAAGCTACAGAGCACACTATGCAATCTGTATTGATCCTTCAGGTTAATACGGAATTTAAAGTGAATCCTCCCCCTCTACCACTCTGGCTGAAAAAAAAGACCCTCCAAATATCACTTATGAATAGAAAAACATAGAGTTAAACAAACCACTGTCATCAGCTTGTCTTGTACTGAAACCGCTCTTTAGAAATGCCTTAGGCATGATTTTTAATACTAAAGCTTTTTTAATACTAAAAATATTTTTAAAAGGACATTTCTCTCTCTCCCTTATATATATATATATAATTTATATATATTATATTATTTATATATATTATATATATTATTTTGCATTAACCACTTTTAAACCAATGGCAATTGAAAAAGAATATTTTAAAAAGGGAATTAAATGGTGAGAAAGACTCTATGTACGGTGCATTTTCCTGTGTAAAAGCTAGGCTTTGGTTTATTATTTCTCATCACACGATACCATGAACACACTCTAATAAAGTTGCGTGCAATCTTCAGCAGGCACTGTTGTAGAATATAAACCCAGAGAATAGGCAAGTAATTATTTTGTGTGAAAAAATAACAACACGACAATTGTGTATGTATTTAATATTTATCTGCAAGTAAGACATAAATAGCACCTCACAAATGCATGTGGATTGACATCAGCCCTTGTAGTAGGAGGCTGACAGGGACTCCCTGCCTGCTTGTTCTCTTCATTGTCTTGTCATTTGTGGCTGGTTTTACTCTACTGTTTAAGTAGACTTAAAGACTTTTTTTCTGATTCAATCAAATTACTCTTATAAAATACACAAATGTCTTAAACAATTCCTGCTAAAACCAGAATTGAGCAGTCTTACCATCTCTAGTTTTCTTCCTTTCTCTTCAAATGTTGATTGGGATTGGATTGAATACCCAAATCAATTTTGAAGACATTGACCTACGTACTACCCTCAATTCATGAGCAATGTGTATTTTACCTTTAATGTAAGAATTTTAAAATTCTCTTCAGTAATGTTTGATATAGTCAGTGTATAAATTTTGTACATATTTCATTAATTTCTAGAAAGAAACGGAAGCTTTCTTTATTTTATATAGGCTAGCTGCCATAAAACTATGTTAAACATCATACATAATGGTGAAATGCAGTAGCTTTCCCTTTGATAATAAAAACAAGGTGAGCTATTCTCAACAATTTCATTCAACCTTTTATGGGAAATCAGGCCAGTGTAATACGGAAAAAAAAAATATCAGTAAGGGAAAAATACTCACCATTTTCATATAAGATTATATACTTAGAAAAATAAAATAAAGTTTTATATAAAATATTATAAATAATATGTGAGTTTTGCAAGGTTGCTGGATACAAATTAGTATATGACATTACTGAGAACAATGATTTAAAAGTAAGCATTTAAAAATATGCCATTTACAATAGCACCAAAAATGTGAAATGCTGCAGAAATGCATACACACATGCACCAGGAGACATACAAAACCCACTCACAGCAGCACTGTTCAAAATAACCCCAGGGCAACATCAACCCAGTGGCCGTCAAGAGTCAAATGGATGAGTCTGAGAAATGTAGTGAGACCTTGTCTCTACAAAAAACGGTTTAAAAAATTGGCTGAGCATAGTGGTGTGCACCTGTAGTCCCAGCTACTCAGGAGGCTGAGGTGGCAGGATCACTTGAGCCTCGGACGTCGAGATTGCAGTGAGCCTAGATCGTGCCACTGCACTCCAGCCCTGGCCACAAAGCAAGACCCTGTCTAAAAATAAACAAACCGTAAAAGAAAAAAGTAGAATGAATGATTCATTTAGAGAAAACTATACAGTACTATAAATGAAGGAATTACAGCTCTGTAAAACAATACTAGTGAATCGCCAAACGTGTTGATGCACGAAAGAAGTGACACCAAATGATCATACACCGTCTGCGGCGGCTTTTCTGTGTCCACAAAGAGACCCTCCCACAGGCACATGCATGATGCTGCTTCCCAGTGAGAAACTTCGGAGAGAAGACAGGAGGAGACGTGGAATGTTTCGGGGCTAGAAATGTCCATTTCTTGAGGTGTGTCGCGTGCGCGTTTTGACCTCGGACTGCACATGTGCGCCTCCACCCAGGGCTGGTCTTCAACGGGCAGGACCTGGAGACGGGGCGCACCGAGGCACAGGTGGAAGGTCCCCCCAAGAGGCTGCAGGGCAGAGAAGAGCCGCTCGTTCCTTGTGGGAACTGAGCTCCACGGGTCTGCCCGAGTGCTGCAACCTGAGAGTGTGTGGCCAAGAAGGTGAGTGAGCACGGGGGTCCGCTGGCCCGTCCCACCGAGGCTGTGCAGTGGTGCAGGGGACACGGTGCTGGGAAGAGCTGCCATGCCAGGGCCCATCCCCCGACGCCATCCCCGCCGAGAGAGCCAGGGTCTTGGGACCAGGGCCCGGACAGCCCCTGCAGGGGTTCCGCTCTGCAGAGTGGGCCCTTCGGCGGTCCTTAAATTCTTTGCAGTGAATGACCCAAGGGAAGGAGGGCGAGCGGGGAACCACGAGGCTCGGAGCTGAGTGGTGGCCTCAAGGACCCTTCCAGAATGCGAATGAATATTTACTGGAAAGAGACCATTAACCCAAAGCAACCAGAACGCTTTGAAGAGACAAGATGGATTTTCCTTTCCGTGGAGGGAAGAAGGGCTCGCCGAGGCAGATGAGTTAGCACGAAAAAGAGGGCGTCGTCCTTTCGAATACGTTTGACTGAAGAAAGTCTCAGGCTTATCAGGTCCATATCACACATATTCATAGATTCCTTAACTTTTACGTCAGAAGCGAATCCACTTTCCTTCTTTATGTCCTTTATTATTGTGAAATCAAAGGACTCCGAAAGGAAATTTACTCCTGTGTTTAAAACTGAAGTCTAGCTCGTGCTTCTGAAATGACGCATAAATAATTCAAGCTTGAGAGGGAAGAACTGGCCACACTTTGGAGGCGCCGAGCTGGGGAACCTGGTGTCCGAAGCCAAGCTCTGCTCGGGCCCAGGAGGACGCAGGGACATCGCACTGTCCCCCACGCCTGGCCTGTGCTCCTTTAATCTTGGTCCTAATGATCGAATTAAAGAGGGATACAAATCTTTGTAAAGAATCTCTGTTAGATGTCTACATGGTTCAGAGAAGCTTCTCAAGTGAACGCAGGGCTTCATAAACTTGGGATTTGCAGAACATTAATATTTAATAACGGGCAGCGTTTACTCCCTCCCCATTCTCCTCTCCTATACACACAATAGCTCAGACACACACAACCACATGCTCACACATGCACCCATAACTACACAATCACACACACAACCCTATACTCAAGCTCACAACTACAATCACACATACACACGGCCATGTGCTCACACATGCACAAACGACTACACAGTCACACACACAACCCTATACTCACACAACTACACACTCACATATGCACAGCCACAGGCTCACACATACACACATGACTACACAATCACACACACAACCCTATCCTCACAAACACACATACACAACCACATGGTCACACATGAACGTACGACTACACAGTCACACACATAACCCTGTACTCATGCACACAACTACACACACACACACACAACCACATGCTCACACATGCACGCATAACTGCACAATCACACACACAACCATATACTCAAACTCACAACTTCAGGCACACACATTCATACATGGTCACATACTCTCACATGTACATTCAACTACATAGTCACACACACAACTGTGTACTCACACAACCACATGCTCACACATGCACGCATAACTACACACACAACCATATACTCAAACTCACAACTGCAATCACACACTTTCCTACACGGTCACATGCTCTCACATGCACATATGACTGCATAATTACACACAGCCATATACTCACACACTCAAATACACAATTACACACAACACAATCACATACACATAATAACATGCTCACACATGCACATAGGACTACCCAATCACACATACAACTCTATACTTACACACACAATTACACAATCATACACACTCACACATGACCATATACTCACACATGCACATACAACTGTGCAATCACACACACAATCATAAACTCACAACTGCACAAGCATACACACAACCACATGCTCACATATGCACATACAACTACGCAATTACACAACCGTATACTCACACAACTACACAATCACAACCATATACTTACACACAACCACACTGTCACACCCACTCACACACATAAGGGATTTAAACCTAGACTGCATTCATTTTTAAAATAATCCCTATCTCAATGCTTTATGTATTAATATTAACACAAAAAACTGTCAACACAATGTTTTTCTGAACTAATTTTTAAGTATCATTCATATAGAAATAATTCAATGATCTAGCTTAGTGAATTTAAAAGGCAGTCATTTAATTTTTATAAAATTTGTAAAGTTTCAACTGAAATGTTTATTGTCTGTTTTTGTTGACACTGTTATTGTTAGGCTCAATAAAAATAATTTCATGGCGTTTCTAAGCAATTGCATCACTCCTCTATATCACATGATTTGAGTTATAACACAGTCATAACTAAATCATATATTGGGAAATCTCTCATAGCTTAAAAGCCAGGCAGCCTGCAGTGGCTTTGCCTTTCTGTAACCTTCTCCTTGTATTATGTGGTACATCCCACGGGGAGATTCTAGGATAAGATGACACCAATATAAAAATAAAATCACCTGAAGAGAGCAATTATAATGTCGTTTGTGAAGTTTTTCAGTGAGGTTATTTGGAATAAAATGACTGTTTTGTGTTCTGAATACACAGAAGTTGCATAAATATTTGCTATGTCCATGGTGGTCACTTAAAACAATGCACATTTTGGTTACCGTTGCTAGTCTTAGGGTGATCTGTGTTATAGGAAGTTTCTGTATTAAAAATGAGGCCCTCTTTGTACAACACATTTTTAATGTTTGCATTACATTTATTTTAATTAGCATAAGTCAATGAAAGAAAACCTTAATAAGACTGATAATTTTGGTGGTGAGCTTTGGTTACTGAAACGGGATGCATCTTCTAGGGATTTTCATAGACTCCGAGTAGGGCTCCCAGAGGCGAGTGCTGACGGCCGGGACTCCCCCTCCAGCTCACCTACCACAGGCTTCACACACAGACCTACTTCTGAGCTAGCTGCTGCTACATACAGTTACCTCACTCATTCCAAGATTAGTGTAAATATTAACATGCCTTTCTCCACCAAAAACTTAGTGACTTTGAGAACCCATTCCACAGAAACAAATAACCTCTTGATGGCTATCTCTCTCTCTGATTTATTTACAATAGCTCCTTTTAATCTTGTCATTTATTACCCGCACTAACTCAGGGTTGCTAGAATCCATCCATTCTTCCTCTTACACCTGCCTGATCAAACCGTCCCTGAAACAGGAGGTCCAGTGGTTCTAACAACTTGGCAGTTCCTGCACCTTCTGCTGGGTGGTTACTTGTGCACAGCCTTCTCTCACAAATATCAGACACAGATTTTCCACTAATTTATGTGATTATTTGCAAAATAAGGTGTATATTCCTCCTGAAATCATTTCTTCAAGAGGGCGGAATTTCCATTTGTTGGTTAACAAAACGGGAGCAGCCGGCCTGTGTGGGGACGAGGGGGACTATCCTTGTCCCAGCTCTGCATCAACAGATAACTGCCCTGTCACTCACACCACAATACTTCCCTCCTCCACCCTCCAACAATCAGCGACAACAATCGCAGTAAAAAGCTCTATTTGCCAAAAAAGTTAACTGACACCCGGATTAAAAAAATATATGGTGGATTTGCAGTTGTCTCTCACACTAAATTATCCTCTGATTCTATATCCAGCTGAACTCAATCCTGAGTTAGCACATATTTGATAGAAATATAGAGAAAGTGGAAGCAGGGAGAAGGTAAATGAATTGTCAAAAGCCCTGCAGCAATGAAGTTCTGCAGCCAGGAATGAAATCCAACATTTCCAGCTCAGAATCTCCCCTCCCCAGGATATGCAAGCAATGCTCCTTTGCACCCAGAAGACAAAACCTGCTTGGCTTTGAACCAGTGTGGATCTCTTGCCTGACAAAACTTGGTTTCTAAAGGTGTCAACGCTCTTCAGAATTACTTAAAATTTAAGTTCAGCACAACAGATTCTGAGATGTTTCCTAATGACAGCACTTCTGGAAGTCATTGGTTTATCCTGTTAGTTGCGAAACCCCATCCTCAAAATCCAGTTCCCACCGCCACTGAGAAGAGGTTGGAGCCAGCAGCGTGGCTAGCTGCTCTTGGTCTCCATGGTGACAGACATTGCCCCTTCTTCCGGGCAGCCTGCATGTTGATGCCATCCATGTCGTTTAAAGAAAGAGGCTGGTTGTGAGGAACAGATGCCCATGACCACCAAGTCATTCATTCTGTTCCAGCCCTGAACAAGTGATTGCTTCTTCCCACTTCGTTGTGTGAGAAAAGTGAGTCAAGATTCTGGCACAGAAACTAAAGTTAAGACAGTCATCTTTAGTGACCGCCCTGACAATGAACATAGTGTAACATCACTGTAATCTTTTATTCCAAAAAGTGGCCAAATGATGACGTGAGTGAGAGAAACTGATTAGCCAGAAGGGAAGGCTTTCTTCCTCTTTGTGAAGAGGTTAAGCACAGTGGTATTTGGCCAAGTGATGAGAACCTCCTACGTTCTTTTCAGGGAACTTTTCTTCTGAAAGGACTTTGGGTTTTGTTCATCAGTTTGAGTCATAGCAACTCATGAAGTCAGTGCCTCTTTTGAATTTTCTAGGAGGTTAAGTAAGTTGCCTTCAACCTTTGAAGTTTCAATTTCTACCACAAAAGGTAAAAGTATAAATAATAATGATATTAGAGGCAATTATCTTAAACACTGACCCTTAGAAGTGGTGGACGGTCCACTGTCGTGATTCAAAGCATTTATCAAGTGTTTGAATATGTGTTTTGTGATTATTCTAGGTTCCACACAAAAATAACTGAAGATGGGCCTCCAGTCTTACGACGCCACAAAGTGCCCTGACACCACTGAACACGAAAACTCATTGCAGAGGTCAGAACAGTACTTCATCAATATAAAATGTATTACCTGTATCACACTTATCACATAGTACATGTTTTTCAATCAGTCAATAGTGTTGTATTTGGAACTTGTTCTGTGCAAGAACAGATTTTGGAACTTGTTCTGTGCAAGACCAACTTTCAAATATTGTAGAAAATAGAAAAATTTGACTTATGGCTTCTGTTCTCAAAAAGCTTATAGCTGACCATTTTAGAGTCAGCCTCAGGAGAGAAGGGCACTGCTGGAAGCAGAGTTGTAGTCAAGAAAGGAGAGTTCTTGGACCACCAGGCTGAGCCATGGGGCTGGGGGTGGTGAGAGGAACTCGTTAACACCTGAAGTGACCAATCACTCAGAGACTTTCATCCACTGGGTTGCCTTCTTACTTAACAGATACTTGCTCTTCACCTACTGGGCTTCGAGCACTGTGTGGTCTATGCCTTGAGGATCACTTTCCAATTCATAAGGCTTATAAACAATTTTCTTTTAAAATACATTTAATTTATTGAGACATTGTATGAGCAAAATCATAAACAAGGGGCCAATTCAGAAAATAAAAAAAAAACTCTGGATTTTAATATAGTCAATGAGTTAAGAAAATAGTCAATGTGCTTTTTAAGGAATGAGTAAGAGTTGACTAGATAGAGAGACTGGCTAGGGGTATATCAGGTACAGAAAAAGCTTCAGTGGTTCCATATGAATTTTAGGATTTTTTTTTATTTATGTAAAAAATGTCACTGGGGTTTTGATGGGGACTGCACTGAATCTGCAGGTCACTTTGAGTAGCACGGACGTTTTAACAATATTGACTCTTCCAATCCATGAACATCACATCTTTCCGAAAACTGTAGTCATAACACTTCTTGATTCCAAAATATATCACAAACCAACAGTAATTGAAAAAGGTCTGGCAGTGGCATAAAGACACATAGATAAATGAAACAGAAGAGAGAGCCTAGTAATAAATTCAAACCACAATGGTTAACTGATATTGGACAAGTTCCTAAGAGCACACATTGGGGAAAGAACTGTCTCTTCAACAATGGTGCTAGAAAAACTGGATATCCACATGCAAAAAATTAAAATTGAAGCCTTATCTTATATCATACACAAAAATCAACTCAAACTGGGTCAAACTCTTAAATGTAAGACCTGAAATGATTGAGCTCCTGAAAGAAAACATAGGGGAAAACCTTCTTTATATTGGTCTTGGCAATGATTTCTTGGCTAGGACATCAAAAGCACAAGCAATAAAAGCAGAAAGAGACAATTGTACTACATCAAACTAAAAATCTCTGCACAGCAAATGAAGCAATCAACAGAACCCATAGGTGAACTTTTCATCTTGTTGACTGGCAGCCTATGGATTGGGGAAAACTATTTGCAAATCATTATCAGCCTCAGATGATAAAAGGCTTACACCCAACTATATAAAAAAAAGCTCTTACAACTCAGTAGTAAAACAATAATAGTCTAATAATATGATTTTAAAAATGAATGAAAGTCTTAAATAGCCATTTTTTTCAAGGAAGACATACAATTGACCAATAGGATCTATGAGAAAATGCTCAACATCACTAATTATCAGGGAAATGCAAATCAAAACCATAATGAGATATTACATCATACCTGTGAGAATAGTTATTATTTAAAAAAAGAAGTGTTGATGATATTGCAGAGAAATTAGAAACCTTGTACACTGTTGATAGGATTGTAAATTAGTGCAGCCATTATGGAGAGCAGTATAGAGGTTCATGAAAAAATCAAAATAGATTGATTCAACATGATTCAGCAATTCCATTTTTCAACATAAAATCCAAGAGAAGTGAAATGCGTATGTCAAAAAGATATCTTCACTCCTGTGTTCATTGCAGTATTATTCTCAATAGCTAAGATATGGAAACAACCCAAACGTCTATCATCAGAGGAATGGATAAGGAAAATGTGGTATATTCCTATAGTGGGATATTATTCATCCTTAACCAAGAAAGCGATCCTGCCATGTGCAACAACGTAGATGTACCTTGAGGACATTATGTTAACAGAAAGAAGTCAGCCACAGAAAGACGAATACTGAATGATTTCATTTACATGAGTTCTCTAAATTAGTCAAACATATGGAAGCAGACAGTAAAATTGTGATTACTAGGGCGAGGGGGAAGGGTTTCTGTTCAGTGGGTAGAGTTTCAGTGGTGCAGGGTGGATAGCTGTAGACATCGGCAGTACAGCACAGTGCCTATAGCTAACAACACTGCACTGAAGTGTCCTTGAAAATGCTGCATTGCACACTTGAAAATGTAAATACTGCATTGTGCACTTGAAATGTAAATCTCACTTGACACGAGATCGACCCTCTTATATTTTCTGGTGCTACTCTTGGCCTTGTCTTTGTCTTCCCTTACCAAAAAAAATAAAAAATACACAGAAACACAAAGAAACTTTTGGATGGAATGGGTATATTCATCACCTCGATATGGTGATGGTTTCATGGGTGTAAGCTATGCCCAAACCCATCACATCATATGCATTAAAGATGTGCAGAGTGTTTGTGTACCAGTTATACTGCAATAAAGCTGTGAAATAAACAAAAGACTTTAGTAAGTTAATGCGGAGAGACATTACCACCGTATTTCAAGAGAGAGCCAGTAGTCCCATCTGATCCAAAAATGTCACCAAGAAGCGTAGACTGAGAGACAGGGATGGAAAAGGAGTTTGGCCTTAGATTCGGGACGCTGTTCGGCAATTACCATCAGTTCTGAAATACTCTGTGGGAAATTGGAAAGTATTTAAAAACACAAGAAAAGCAATCCTAGCGCACGACACTGTAGGTTTTCACAGTATTCTTTACTTGTAAAAGCAGTACCTGGCTGGGTCTCCGCATTGCCACAGGGTTTACCAAGATGCAGACTCTGATTCAGGAAATTGTGTGAGGCCCAAGATGCCTTATTCTATGTTTTTAAATCGCCATTTTATTTTTATGTTATTGGCTACTGGAAATATAGTAAGCGATGTGGAATTTCCAGCAGTTCCCTGGATCCACACTCCGACTAACCAGGAGCAACAGGAGTTGAACTTATCTGGAGCCATGAAATTGTACTGCAAATGGGATAGAATGTTTCCCTATGTTGGGTCAACAGTGTGAGAATCGTGATTCAGGAAAGAGAACACAGCCCTTGGTAAATCCAGATTGCTGGCTGATATGGTTTGGCTATGTCCCCATTCAAATCGCAACTTGAATCGTATCTCCCGGAATTCTCACGTGTTGTGGGAGGGACCCAGGGGGAGATAATTGATTCACGGGAACCAGTCTTTCCCGTGCTATTCTCATGATAGTGAATACGTCTCACGAGATCTCCTGGGTTTATCAGGGGTTTCCTCTTTTGCTGCTGCTTCATTCTGTCTTGCTGCTGCCATGTAAGAAGCGCCTTTCTCCTCCCGCCGTGATTCTGAGGCCTCCCCAATCATGTGGAGCTGTAAGTCCAGTTAAACCTCTTTTTCTTCCCAGTCTCGGGTATGTCTTTATCAGCAGCATGAAAACAGACTAATACACTGGCTTAGAAAGAAGTGGCAACAAGAAATGAAACTTCATTGAAAAGCAGAATACACTAAAGGCCATAGCCCAGACACAGCCTCCTTCTTGTGGAAACAGACATCTGTGTGTGTGCACGTGTGTATGTGTCTGTGCGTGTGCATCGTGAATGTGTCTGTGTGTGTGCACGTGTGCATGTGTCTCTGTGCGTGTGCATGTGTCTCTGTGTGTGCACGTATGCATTTGTGAGTGTGCATGTGTGCATGTGTCTGTGCGTGTGTATCTGTGAATATGTGTGTGCACGTGTGCATGTGTCTGTGTGTGCATGTGCGCATGTCTGTGTGTGCATCTATGAATGTGTGCATGTGTCTTGTGTGCATGTGTGCATGTCTGTGCATGTGCATGTGTGTGCATGTGTGCGTGTGTCTCTGTGCACGTGTGCATGTGTCTGCGTGTGCATGTGTGCATGTCTCTGCACGTGTGTGTGTCTGTGCATGTGACTCTGTGCACATGTGCGTGTCTGTGCATGTGCATGTGTGCATGTGTCTGTGCCTGTGCATGTGTGTGTCTCTGTGTGTGTGTGCATGTGTGCGTGTGTGCATGTGTGCGTGTGTCTCTGTGTGCACGTGTGCATGTGTGCATGTCTCTGTGTGTGCATGTGTGTGTGTGCATGTGCCTGTGTGCATGTGCACGTGTGTATTGTCTGTGCACATGTGCAAGTGTCTCTGTGTGTGAACATGCACATGTTCATGTGTCTGTGTGTGTGCATGTGTACGTGTGCATCTGTACATGTGTCTGTGTGTGTGCATGTGTCTGCGTGTGCATCTGTGCATGTGTCTGTGTGCACGTGTGTATGTGTGAGTGTGCACATGTGCAAGTGTCTCTGTGTGTGCACATGCACATATTCATGTGTCTGTGTGTGTGCATGTGTCTGTGTGTGTGTGCATGTGTCTGTGCGTGTGCATCTGTACATGTGTCTCTGTGTGTGTGTGCATGTGTGCATGCATCCACCCTCCCCCTGCATCCAGAGCTTAAGGTCCTTAAGGTCCATCGGGAGATTAGGGTCAACCCTCATACCTGAGACAACTTTGAGGAATCTTCGTAGCTACCACAGCGACTCAACATAGCAATGGAAACCAAGCGTCCTAGCCCTTCACTCTGAGCATGAAAGGACCACCAGGGCCCCACGCAGCCCACTAAATGCTCCGCTTACTCAGCTCTCTTTCACACATCCGCCTTGCACCCTTACTGGAGCTTCTGAAACACCGAGTCAGGTCTCTTCGTGGCTCTCCTGCCCTGGCTTCTTCCTGTCTAGAGAAAGTCAAGGGCATCCTCGGACAGCCACCCGGCTCTTCCCTGTCAATCATAACCTGCTGCGCCAGCCCCCTCTCCTGTCCCAATGGGTGCCCACTGGGCTCCTGGGTACAGTTTTCCTTACTTTTTTTCAGACTTTTCACCATCTTATAGCTTTGTTCAGGATAAAACCATTCCTGGGCTCTCCTTCTGCTCCTTGGAAAGTCCCCACATTTTTCTGAAGTAAACTCCTCATAAGAATTAAGGTTTGGTTTGCATGTCACCATCTAGTTACAGCCCTCCCCAAGTCGTCTGGGTTGAACCAATTAAACTGCTTGCCATACTGTGATAGCTTTTTAACACGATCCTTAATTTATTCAAGCATTCATAAAATATTTATTAAATGCATATAGGAAACCTTGACGGTAGCATTTTCTAGTTTGCATTGTTATTTTTTCTCTCCCTTCTAGGTGGGTGTGAGCCTCTCCTGGGCAGAAACGAATTCAACTTTCTATTACTCTTATTGTTATCATTAGCATTATTTTAGTGGCAGTAGAGTACTGTGGTTAAGAGCTTAGGTATCTGAGAGGCTGAATTGCAAGGAGAGTTTATATCATTGGATAGATTAATAAAACACTTTGAGCCCCAGTTTTCTGATCTGTAAATGGAGTTAATAATAGGATTTGCCCTCTAAACTGCCATGAGGCTTCAACAAACCGGGCTATGAATGACTTGCTGCACAGTAATGGTAATTTAAGTGTTAACCATTGATGTCCTTATCCCAGCATCTGGTATAGTGAACCTACAGGTGCCCCTAAGATGTTTACTCAATCAATCACGTGGAACTGAGAATGCAACGAAAAGCTCAGGCCGGCCCTTGCAGAATCCTGGATCTGAGGGCCGTGTATTGTTGCTGTAGGACCAAAAGAGCTGCCAGCATCCTTTACTAATACAGTGTGGTGCATCTGTTCTTTTATTTTATTATTTAAAGTTGAAGGAACTTAAAATTAAGAAGAAATCAAGACCAAATGGAATATTCTGGCAAACTCACTTATCTCAAAAGGCAGAGCTCTACTTAATTAGTAGCAGGAATCAGATACTGAAGAAAAGGAGAGGCTGGGAAAGACTGACACTGACGTTATTATTGTTAAATGTACATGCAAATTAGGAGGATTCCAAATGAGCATCAGTCTGGCCTGTAGCGATTTCCTATTCCAGGGCTGGAGAGGAATAACTTGTTCCTCTAATGGCAGAAAATGCACTGGGATTTGAATCCATTGTCAATACCATGTCTCACTCTTTAAGCCCAGAAGCCTCGTGTTGTGAAATCAGGTGATGACCCATGGCAGTGTTTCTCAAGCTTTTTGGTTTCAGGATCCCCTTTTACTCTGAAAAGTTATTGAGAGTCTCAAAGTAAATTTAACTTTGTGAGCTATATCAAAATTTAGAAAGGCCCTCTAAATAAATATCACACCCTGAGGAGAAGAGATTAAATAAGATGTATCTTTGCTCCAAAAAAGAACAAAAATGTACAAGTTTATCTTAAGTAAAAGGACACTTTCTAAATGAACTCTAAGATGACCTTAGAAAAAGAGAAATATTTTTGCTTAAAATAAAAGTTTGCATCGAATCTATTTTTTCTTTTTCCTTCTTTACTGAAGTGTTGAGGCTTTTTGAAATTTAGGTAGGCATTTTAGTAGCCTCCAGAGAATGAGAAATAAGAATGTGCATATTATTATTTTTTTCTTTTTTTTTTCTTTTACTTTAAGTTCTGGGATACATTTGCTGAACATGCAGGTTTGCTACATAGGTATACATGAGCCATGGTGGTTTGCTGCACCTGTCAACTCGTCATTTAGGTTTCAAGCCCCACAAGCGTTAGGTATTGTCATAATGCTAAGAACATGCGTATTATTACTGTATTGAATTTCCACATACTTCAGTGGCAGAAATGCTGTAAAGAGTGATGTCTAAATGTGTTGATGCAACTGATCCTAGCAAGAGCCACTGCCTATTTGATAACTCCAGCAGGCGAACCGTGTACACTTCTAATTGTGTTAGTATGAAAGCAGATTATATATTAGAGCTTCCCCCTCAGATATAATTCCTTTTCTCTTGTAAAAGCAATGTGACTTCCTCTACTAAACTGACCATGCCATAAAAATAAAACATATTTTATTCACTTATCACTAAGGAAGTAAAGCCTGGTTTCTAGGTATGACTTTGTTGCCATGGAATCCGTGCTGAAAGCCTGTCTTAGTTATTAAGTTATAGCTCCATCTCCAATTAGCACTGCATAGGTCTGACATTAGCTGTAACAGAAGCTTTGCTTTTGGTGACGACTTCTGGTATTTACAGACAGTGTTTATGTTTGCCTCCCTCTTTTCAATTTGAGACTCCTTGTTGATAAACAATAGTTTGACCAAACCACGAAGGTATGCCCATGTGCAAGAAGCATGAACCTAAATAGGTGAGTTTATAAGAATCTTCCCATTCCCTGAGAAATTCTTAGATTACAACCTACTTCCATGAGCTTCTTTCTAATTTTGAATTGCATGTGATTGGTAAGAATATTGAAAACCCACATATTGAAATGTCTTGTGATAGTTATTCCTGTCTTCACGATCCTGAACGTCTGAAAAATCTAGAATTGTGTTTTCCAAATGAATACATTTTCCGTAGTGCTTAAGGAAAATGCCCCATGACTGGCTGAATTTTTCACCATTCATTGGAATCCCTCTGTCTTCAATGTGAAACAAGAGCATGCCTCTCTGGTCTGAGGTGTGCAGCTGGAGGAAACTTGATCTTTAGCTTCTTTACAATCAAATCTTTGTTGCACTCTATGTCCTGCAGCCTTGAGTCAAGCTTCCAGGTTTGTCTTCACTCACAACTTCACACTGCTTAGAATCCGTAAAAATCCCCATTTCCTGGGCACCCTGTTGCTATTGATTTCTCTTTGATGACTCTAGCTGTTACCTTGAATTAAAGCAAAAAGGCTTATCTAAATCTTTCTTGTCTCGCCTTGTGGAAGGATTGACTTAAGCACTTAACACACAATATTAAGAAGAAGGAAAATAGGTTTATTGGTGTCCTGGGAAAAGAAGGAGGGGCAGGAGGCTGTGGAGCCAGCGTTGCTCCAACTCCACTCACTCTTCCCAGCCGTCCCAGGCCAGGCCTCCTCCAGGGGAAGGTGATGTCCGTCCAGGCATGCCCGCTGCATGGAAGTGGCTAGACCAGCTGTCACACGCATGGTCCCTCTGAGATGACTCCCTGACTGTGGATGAAAACTCGAGGCTTGGGGCAGTGTCTCAGGGTCACCTCTCCAGTGGGTGTGCAACCGCCCCAGCTTCCACCTCAGACCAGGGCTCGATCTTCTCTGAGTTCTCCCGGGCACCATGGACCCCCCGACCCGTCTTCAGGAGACCATTCCAGGAAACGTTGAAAGGCTCCGTGTTGATTTATTTTACTTCTAAAACTCATTCAAGTTATTTGTAATTGCTGAGCATAATAATTTCTGCTCAATTGATGTATTTCAGTTAAGGAAACAAAGTTTAGTATTCAAAGAATTTTTCACACGATTGCTGTTGTCTTGCTGACTAGCTAATGTGATTCTTCGCTCTTTGTTTTCCCATAAGATTTGGAATTTAAAAACTGACTCACTTTTCTACACTTTTCCTTACCTCTGGGCAAGACAATAATTGGAAACTTCTTAAGGAATTTTCCCAGACAGTAAGCATTACTCCCAATTCACTTTTTTTTTCTTATCTTTTTCCTTAGAGATAAAAAAGTCTAAGACTCAGAGACAGTTGAAATACTTTTATAACCATGTTAGCAATTAAAATATTTGAATTTGGATATTTTAAGGTGCTAACCAAAGCCATGTAGCTCTTCTGGTAGAAGCAACACTAGAATTAACATACGTGAGGTTTTCATTATGAAATTATGCATAGAAAAGGGAAATAAAACATGGTTTATAATTTAGGAAAATAATTGAAGAGTTTCCTTTTTTTGTTCATGTTATTTCTTATACCAATAACAAAAATGCACTTCACTCAGAGGCTTTAATATTTTTATATATTTTTAATAGTTTCATATTTTTACATCTAGTTGTTAATACATCAAAAATTCATTTTGGTATCTAATGTAAAACAGGGAGATATGTATTAAATAATACATTATTCGGAAATAACATTGAATTATGAACCCTTTTCTCATTAATTTGAAATGTCACCTTTGCCATATACTGGAGTTATATATATTTTAAAATTTACAATATGTTTCTTAGCTTTCTGTTCTGTTCCACAAATCTGCCTATTTTTAGACTAACACCAGTGTAAATTTGAAGCTTTAAACTACAGTTAGTGTTGGCAAAGCAGACCCTTCTTCTTTTATTTATTTATTTTTATTATACTTTAAGTTCTAGGGTACATGTGCATAACGTGCAGTTTTGTTACATATGTATACGTGTGCCATGTTGGTGTGCTGCACCCAGTAACTCGTCATTTACATTAGGTATATCTCCTGACGCTATCCCTCCCCCATTCCCCGACCCCACAACAGGCCCCGGTGTGTGCTGTTCCCCTTCCTGTGTCCAGGTGTTCTCATTGTTCAATTCCCACCTATAAGTGAGAACGTGTGGTGTTTGTTTTTTTGTCCTTGAGATAGTTTGCTGAGAATGATGGTTTCCAGCTTCATCCATGTCCCTACAAAGGACATGAACTCATCGTTTTTTATGGCTGCATAGTATTCCATGGTGTATATGTGCCACATTTTCTTAATGCAGTCTCTCATTGATGGACATGTGGGTTGGTTCCAAGTTTTTGCTATTGTGAATAGTGCCGCAATAAACATACGTGTGCATGTGTCTTTAGAGCAGCATGATTTATAATCCTTTTGGTATATATACCCAGTAATGGGATGGCTGGGTCAAATGGTATTTCTAGTTCTAGATCCTTGAGAAATCGCCACACTGTCTTCCACAATGGTTGAACTAGTTTACAGTCCCACCAACAGTGTAAAAGTGTTCCTGTTTTTCCACATCCTCTCCAGCACCTGTTGTTTCCTGACTTTTTAATGATCGCCATTCTAACTGGTGTGAGATGGTATCTCATTATGGTTTTGATTTGCATTTCTCTGATGGCCAGTGATGATGAGCATTTTTTCATGTGTCTGTTGGCTGCATAAATGTCTTCTTTTGAGAAGTGTCTGTTCATATTCTTCACCCACTTTTTGATGGGGTTGTCTGTTTTTTTCTTGTAAATTTGTTTGAGTTCTTTGTAGGTTCTGGATATTAGCCCTTTGTCAGATGAGTAGATTGCAAAAATTTTCTCCCATTCTGTAGGTTGCCTGTTCACTCTGATGGTAGTTTCTTTTGCTGTTCAGAAGCTCTTTAGTTTAATTAGATCCCATTTGTCTATTTTGGCTTTTGTTGCCATTGCTTTTGGTGTTTTAGACATGAAGTCCTTGCCCATGCCTATGTCCTGAATGGTACTGCCTAGGTTTTCTTCTAGGGTTTTTATGGTTTTAGGTCTAACATTTAAATCTTAAATCCATCTTGAATTAATTTTTGTATAAGGTGTAAGAAAGGGATCCAGTTTCAGCTTTCTACATATGGCTAGCCAGTTTTCCCAGCACCATTTGTTAAACAGGGAATCCTTTCCACATTTCTTATTTTGGTCAGGTTTGTCAAAGATCAGATAGTTGTAGATGTGTGGTATTATTTCTGAGGGCTCTGTTCTGTTCCACTGGTCTATATCTCTGTTTTGGTACCAGTACCATGCTGTTTTGGTTACTGTAGCCTTGTAGTATAGTTTGAAGTCAGGTAGCATGATGCCTCCAGCTTTGTTCTTTTGGCTTAGGATTGACTTGGCAATGTGGGTTCTTTTTTGGTTCCATATGAACTTTAAAGTAGTTTTTTCCAATTCTGTGAAGAAAGTCAGTGGTAGCTTGATGGGGATGGCATTGAATCTATAAATTACCTTGGGCAGTATGGCCATTTTCACAATACTGATTTTTCCTATCCACGAGCTTGGAATGTTCTTCCATTTGTTTGTATCCTCTTTTATTTTGTTGAGCAGTGGTTTGTAGTTCTCCTTGAACAGGTCCTTCACATCCCTTGTAAGTTGGATTCCTAGGTATTTTATTCTCTTTGAAGCAATTGTGAATGGGAGTTCACTCATGATTTGGCTCTCTGTTTGTCTGTTATTGGTGTATAAGAATGCTTGTGATTTTTGCACATTGATTTTGTATCCTGAGACTTTGCTGAAGTTGCTTATGAGCTTAAGGAGATTTTGGGATGAGACGATGGGGTTTTCTAGATATACAATCATGTCATCTGCAAACAGGGGCAATTTGACTTCCTCTTTTCCTAATTGAATACCCTTTATTTCTTTCTTCTGCCTAATTGCCCTGGCCAGAACTTCCAACACTATGTTGAATAGGAGTGGTGAGAGAGGGCATCCCTGTCTTGTGCCAGTTTTCAAAGGGAATGCTTCCAGTTTTTGCCCATTCAGTATGATATTGGCTGTGGGTTTGTCATAGATAGCTCTTATTATTTTGAGATAGGTCCCATCAATACCTAATTTATTGAGAGTTTTTAGCATGAAGGGCTACTGAATTTTGTCAAAGGCCTTTTCTGCATCTATTGAGATAATCATGTGGTTTTTGTCTTTGGTTCTGTTTGTATGCTGGATTACATTTATCGATTTGCATATGTTGAACCAGCCTTGCATCCCAGGGATGAAGCCCACTTGATCATGGTGGATAAGCTTTTTGATGTGCTGCTGGATTCGGTTTGCCAGTATTTAACTGAGGATTTTCACATTGATGTTTGTCAGGGATATTGGTCTAAAATTCTCTTTCTTTGTTGTGTCTCTGCCAGGCTTTGGTATCAGGATGATGCTGGCCTCATAAAATGAGTTAGGGAGGATTCCCTCTTTTTCTGTTGATTGGAATAGTTTCAGAAGGAATGGTACCAGCTCTTCTTGTACCTCTGGTAGAATTCTGCTGTGAATCTGTCTGGTCCTGGACTTTTTTTGGTTGGTAAGCTATTAATTATTGCCTCAATTTCAGAGCCTGTTATTGGTCTATTCAGAGATTCAACTTCTTCCTGGTTTAGTCTTGGGAGAGTGTATGTGTCCAGGAATTTATCCATTTCTTCTAGATTTCCTAGTTTATTTGCGTAGAGGTGTTTATAGTATTCTCTGATGGTAGTTTGTATTTCTGTGGGATCAGTGGTGATATCCCCTTTATCATTTTTTATTGCGTCTATTTGATTCTTCTCTCTTTTCTTCTTTATTAGCCTTCCTAGCGGTCTATCGATTTTGTTGATCTTTTCAAAAAACCAGCTCCTGGATTCATTGATTTTTTTAAGGGTTTTTTGCATCTCTATCTCCTTCAGTTCTGCTCTGATCTTAGTTCTTTCTTGCCTTCTGCCAGCTTTTGAATGTGTTTGCTCTTGCTTCTCTAGTTCTTTTAATTGTCATGTTATGGTGTCAATTTTAGATCTTTCCTGCTTTCTCTTGTGGGCATTTAGTGCTATAAATTTCCCTCTACACACTGCTTTAAATGTGTCCCAGAGATTCTGGTATGTTGTGTCTTTGTTCTCGTTGGTTTCAAAGAACATCTTTATTTCTGCCTTCATTTCGTTCTGTACCCAGTAGTCATTCAGGAGCAGGTTGTTCAGTTTCCATGTAGTTGAGCGGTTTTGAATGAGTTTCTTAATCCTGAGTTCTAGTTTGATTGCACTGTAGTCTGAGAGACAGTTTGTTATCGTTTCTGTTGTTTTACATTTGCTGAGGAGTGCTTTACTTCCAACTATGTGGTCAATTTTGGAATAAGTGCTATGTGGTGCTGAGAAGAATGTATATTCTGTTGATTTGGGGTGGAGAGTTCTGTAGATGTCTATTAGGTCTGCTTGGTGCAGTGCTGAGTACAATTCCTGGATATCCTTGTTAACTTTCTGTCTCATTGATCTGTCCGATGTTGACAGTGGGGTGTTAAAGTCTCCCATTATTATTGTGTGGGAGTCTAAGTCTCTTTGTAGGTCTCTAAGGACTTGCTTTATGAATCTGGGTGCTCCTGTATTGGGTGCATATATATTTAGGATAGTTAGCGCTTCTTGTTGAATTGATCCCTTTACCATTATGTAATGGCCTTCTTTGTCTCTTTTGATCTTTGCTGGTTTAAAGTCTGTTTTATCAGACACTGGGATTGCAACCCCTGCCTTTCTTTGTTTTCCATTTGCTTGGTAGATCTTCCTCCATCCCTTTATTTTGAGCCTATGTGTGTCTCTGCATGTCAGATGGGTTTCCTGAATACAGCACACTGATGGGTCTTGACTGTTTACCCAATTTGCCAGTCTGTGTCTTTTAATGGGAGCATTTAGTCCATTTACATTTAAGGTTAATATTGTTATGTGTGAATTTGATCCTGTCATTATGATATTAGCTGGTTATTTTGCTCGTTAGTTGATGCAGTTTCTTCCTAGCCTCAGTGGTCTTTACAATTTGGCCTGTTTTTTCAGTGGCTGGTACCGGTTGTTCCTTTCCATGTTCAGTGCTTCCTTCAGGAGCTCTTGTAGGGCAGGCCTGGTGGTGACAAAATCTCTCAGCATTTGCTTGTCTGTAAAGGATTTTATTTCCCCTTCACTTATGAAGCTTAGTTTGGCTGGATATGAAATTTTGGGTTGAAAATTCTTTTCTTTAAGAATGTTGAATATTGGCCCCCACTCTCTTTTGGCTTGTAGGGTTTCTACTGAGAGATCCGCTGTTAGTCTGTTGGGCTTCCCTTTGTGGGTAACCCGACTTTTCTCTCTGGCTGCCCTTAACATTTTTTCCTCCATTTCAACTTTGGTGAATCTGACAATTACGTGTCTTGGAGTTGCTCTTCTCGAGGAGTATCTTTGTGGTGTTCTCTGTATTTCCTGAATTTGAATGTTGGCCTGCCTTGCTAGGTTGGGGAAGTTCTCCTGGATAATATCCTGTAGAGTGTTTTCCAACTTGGTTCCATTCTTCCTGTCACTTTCAGGTACACCAATCAGACATAGATTTGGTCTTTTCACATAGTCCCATATTTCTTGGAGGCTTCGTTGATTTCTTTTTATTCTTTTTTCTCTAAACTTCTCTTCTCACTTTATTTCATTAATTTGATCTTCACTCACTGATACCCTTTCTTCCAGTTGATCAAATAGGCTACTGAAGCTTGTGCATTCATCAAGTATTTCTCGTGCCATGGTTTTCAGCTCCATCAGGTCATTTAAGGACTTCTCTACATTGGTTATTCTAGTTAGCCATTCATCTAATCTTTTTTCAAGGTTTTTAACTTCTTTGTGATGGGTTCGAACGTCATCCTTTAGCTCGGAGAAGTTTGATCATCTGAAGCCTTCTTCTCTCAGCTCGTCAGAGTCATTCTCCATCCAGCTTTGTTCCATTGCTGGTGAGGAGCTGCGTTCCTTTTTAGGAGGAGAGGCTCTCTGATTTTTAGAATTTTCCGTTCTTCTGCTCTGTTTTTTCCCCATCTTTGTGGTTCCCCATCATCTACCTTTGGTCTTTGATGATGGTGACGTACAGATGGGTTTTTGGTGTGGATGTCCTTTCTGTGTGTTAGTTTTCCTTCTAACAGTCAGGACCCTCAGCTGCAGGTCTGTTGGAGTTTGCTGGAGGTCCGCTCCAGACCCTATTTGCCTGGGTATCACCAGCGGAGCCTGCAGAACAGCGAATATTGCTGAACAGCAATGTTGCTGCCTGATTGTTCCTCTGGAAGCTTCATCTCAGAGGGTTACCCGGCCGTGTGAGGTGTCAGTCTGCCCCTACTGGGGGGTGTCTCCCAGTTAGGCTACTCGGGGGTCAGGGACCCACTTGAGGGGGCAGTCTGTCCATTCTCAGATCTCAAACTCCATGCTGGGAGAACCACTACTCTCTTCAAAGCTGTCAGACAGTGACATTTAAGTCTGCAGAGGTTTCTGCTGCCATTTGTTTGGCTATGCCCTGCCCCCAGAGGTGGAGTCTACAGAGGCAGGCAGGCCTCCTTGAGCTGCGATGTGCTCCACCCAGTTCAAGCTTCCTGGCTGCTTTGTTTATCTACTCAAGCCTCAGCAATGGCACACACCCCTCCCCCAGCCTTGCTGCTGCCTTGCAGTTTGATCTCAGACTGCTGTGCTAGCAATGAGCGAGGCTCTGTGGGTGTGGGACCCTCTGAGCCAGGTGCAGGATATAATCTCCTGGTGTGCCGTTTGCTAAGACCCTTGGAAAAGCGCAGTATTAGGGTGGGAGTGACCCGATTTTCCAGTTGCCGTCTGTCACAGCTTTGCTTGGCTATGAAAGGGAATTCCCTGACCCCTTGTGCTTCCCTGGTGAGGAGATGCCTCGCCCTGCTTCGGCTTATGCTCAGTGCGCTGCACCCACTGTCCTGCACCCACTATCTGACAAGCCCCAGTGAGATGAACCCAGTACCTCAGTTGGAAATGCAGAAATCACCTGTCTTCTGCGCCGCTCATGCTGGGAGCTATAGACTGGAGCTGTTCCTATTTGGCCATCTTGGAACTGCCCCCCACTCTGATTTCTTCATGACTCTATTGTTAATTTGCCTGAGGTCTGTGGGATCATTTTTAACTTCTCTAACTTTGAGTTGACTTTCAACAAAATAATGATAACTTAATAATTCCATGAAACCTTTTCCAAAACCTTTACATTCATTTGAACACAATCGTAGGGCATCAATTTTAAGATCTTTGTTATTATTATTATTACTCAGTTGTTTTCTCTTTAGAGAGACTGTACAGTGGTCAATCCCATATTTTACATTTTTATAACTTGGTAGTTAACTATACTAATAAAAGTGTGTATTTATAGCTACAAAAACATAGATGGGCATTCAGTGTTTTCATGGTTCTAAACAAGATAGCAGATTTAGCAGCCGAAAGATACCAATCGTGATACTAAGGCCCGACATGTAGGCTTTAGCATTCCCTCCATTTACACATGTAAGCCACTGCAGAGAAGCAAAGTGGAAAGAAAAGGAAGAGTTCTACATTAATTTTTTAAAAGTCTTGGTTAATATTTATGCCAATTAGTCAAGCTTCTTCTAAGTACTTAGAAACATGACATTTGTGTATATTCATGTTTTCAAGGCCTCTTATTTCTACTTAAAAGTTAGGAGTAACTTTTACTCTTAAACAGCACTAGGATTTTGTCTTCTTTTTATCCTGTGTGGTTTCGTGCTGCTTATTTCCTGATAGCTCTCTACAAGCATCTGGAAATAGTACTCAAAAGAAAAGAATAAATAAGATTTTAATATGGTAATTATTAGAGGTTAGAAAGCTTTGGCTTTATAGACCCTTACAGACCTTTGCTGTTTCAAAAAGTATTTTCTCATGTTTTATGTTTACAAAAGCCTCATCAGACAGGCCAGTCAGACATCACTAGCCCCATTTCCAGTGTAAGAAAACTGGCATTAGATAGGCTTTGATATATAACTAATTGTGGAACCAAGATTTGAACTCAGAGTTTACAACTTCAAGGCCAGTGTCCTTTTTCTACAAATTGAGAGAAAATATCAATTTAATGTAAATTAGATGCAAGCGACTCAATGATAAACTGAATTGCCCACTGTTAAAGTAAAGAGCTGAAATTTGTCATAGCATAGATGAATGCCAATGGTGTGATCATAAGTTTCTAAAAATGATAAGATGGTAAATTTTAGAGGAAGACTATATAACTTTAAAATGTTGGCCCAAGTAAAACTTCAAGTTCGTCCCACCAACTATGGTTCTATTCATCTCAAAGGGGTTATGTGGGTTAAAAGAGGAATCATCTGTCCCACGAGTTACCATTTTGATTATGACCTCCTCCGATTGTTCTGGAATGATGCAATTTTCTTCCCAGTGATGAAAGAAATTCTCCCTCTCTTCTTTTATTTCTAGATAAAGACATCCTCTATTCCATGCTCGCCATGTCTCTGTCTCTAAAGAAGCATTCTCTACAACTCGCTGTAGCCAAAAAACACCCACACTTCAGAGGGAGGTTGTGTTGTTTGTTACAGTTTTCCTAACCCCCTCCAATTAAGCAAATTGAATGCTTTCTTCAAAACCTCCTGGAAATTCCATCCATTCTAAAAGCCCCCGCTTCTCCCATCCTCCCCAAGGCTCCCTGCCCTCTCTGCTTTCTCCTCCTGCCACTGGCTCATTGTCAGGTTAGTTTTTTCCTGAGGAACAACCTCCCAGTCTCCCACTCACAGCCACAGGAGGCTGGTCAGTATCTGAACCCATCTTACCAACGCGGTGATGACATCATCTGCCACTGTGTGTTGTCTTCTGTCTCTCCAGATGACATGAGGGACCTAGTCTTTCTTGTATCCTGGAGTCTAGAATATTTCCTGACACAGTCGATTGTCGGTAATTATTCAATGGATTAATTAATTAGTTCTGTAACCTTCCCATTGTCTCAATCCTCCTTCAAGGTGAAGCCCTTGTTCTGTGTCTCTGCATCCTCCATGGCACCAGCGCATCCCTGTTCCTCAGGCTCGTGTGTGAGTTGATGGGGTGCTAGCGTTGACACAGGGCTCTGAGGGCAGTGGTGCAGCAGGACTACCACCGCCCCAATCCAGAAGCCCAGTGTCCAAGTCTGAGTTTTGCCCCTTACTGCAAAGAAAGACTGGCCTGAGTTAGGTTTTCTTTCTCAAGCTTCGTTCTTGAACTTCATAACAATCAGGTGAGAGAGAAAGCAACTTGTTCACTCTACTCAATATACAAATTTAAAGTGCTGTTATCAGAAGTGAAAATACAGAAGCAAATTTAAAAATAGACCAGAGGTTTACTCCTGAAAGGGGTAAAATACAACCAAAGTGAGCCTTGTCTTCTGACTCTTGATTCATTTTTGTTGTTTTAGAGACAGTGTCTTGCTCTGTTGCCCAGGCTGGAGTGCAGTGGCACCATCTTGGCTCACTGCAACCTCTGACTCCCGGGTTCAAGTGATTCTCCTGCCTCAGCCTCCCGAGTAGCTGGGACTACAGATGTGCAGCACCATGCCTGGCTTCATTTTGTATTTTTAGTAGAGATGTGGTTTCACCATGTTGGCCAGGCTGGTCTTGAACTCCTGACCTTAGGTGATCCTTCCGCCTTGGCCTCCCAAAGTGCTGGGATTACAGGCATGAGCCACTGTGCCTGGCCGACTCCTGATTCTTTACAAACGTTTCTGAAGCAGGAAGTTATTAAAATATGAATAAGATTTTTTATAATTTCTTGTCAATCTCCACCTAGCCATGGTGTGGTGAAAGTCTCAGCTGTCTCGTTGTGATTAGCGTTGCTCTCTAGCCTCATTACGGAATTCAGTGACTTACTTCTTCCTTCCTTTTTCTTTACAAATAGCCTTCCTTTCATGCTAAGAAAAGCCACATCAGAACAGGTCTGTAAAAACTCAGGTTAAATAACTGGGATATTCTGTGAGGTCAAAATTACTCTTTATCTTTTGCTTTGTAATAATCCTGCCTTTCACTGAAACAGATGAAAATCAGATGGAATTTAGTCAGTTCATAGATTTCAGTAACTTTCTGAAAGTACATTTTAATGGTGGGCATTACCTCTTTGTTCACATAATTGCTATCGTGTCCCTTTGGAGATGCCCCAAAGCCCATTAACAGCCCGGTTTTCTCTAGTGCTTCTTTTCATAATATGAGCAAAATGTCAGTCTGCTGTGGTATTTCGGATCCCTCGGATTTAATGTTCATACAATGCTATTTTATGATGAATTAAATAATACTAAATTTGCAAATAAAATGACAGTTCGGGTTAATTTTTTATCAACTGGCCTGATTCCAATTCTATTTCTACTTTTGATTCATATGAAATGCCCTAATAATTTAGTGTTGCACTAACTTTACTGAGAAAAACTTCTCTCTTCTAGTCTCTGTAATGTCTCATTTGTAACTATATGTTTTGATGTTACATCCTAGAATGTGGGATCTGTTTGGTATAATATCATTGGTTCCTTTTAGAAATCTTCATAATAACAAAACTGGATCCATCCTCAAAACAATGCTATTGATATAACTGGAAGACTCAAGAAGACTTCCTGATTTCTCATTCCTGGTGATGACAGAGTGGTCCACTGTAAGGTGAAAATGTATTCACATTGACATAGCCTTCAGTTAGAAATGTGATGTGTGGCCAGGTGCGGTGGTTCACACCTGTAATACCAGCACTTTGGGAGGCCGAGGCGGGCAGATCACTTGAGGTCAGGAGTTCGAGACCAGCCTGGCCAATATGATGAAACCCTGTCTCTTCTAAAACTACAAAAATTAGCCAGGCATGGTGGCACGTGCATGTAATCCCAGCTACTCAGGAGGCTGAGGCAGGAGAATTGCTTGAGCCTGGGAGGCAAAGGTTGCAGTGAGCCGAGATCACGCCACTACACTCCAACCTAGGTGACAGAGTGAGACTCCATCTCAAAAAAATAAATAAATAAAATAAAATAACAGTAAAAATAAAAAAAAGTAATTTGTTACCATGGAGTGGACTTTTTATCCTAGAGATGAATATGTGAAAATGCCAACAATATTTTAGGTCCAAGAACTTTTTCTGTAGGAGTCATGGCTTTCCTGAGCTGAAAAGAAATCCAAGCCAGTCAATTAAAAAATCTAAGTGATCTATATCCTTAATCATTAATACCTTTCATGTAAGGTTATGTTTATTCCATCGCCAGGGGGCTGAAAGCCAACCTCCTTGGTTTCTTAGTAGATTATGGTTTCCATAGTTGGAGAATAACACAGACACACACACAGACAGAGAGAGAGAGAGAGAGACATACACACACAGCAGAGTGCAGACAGATACATCTCTCGCACGTATGTTTTTCTTCTACTCTGACTTAACATTCTTCCCACTACTAGGGTCTATAGTCCCTGTCCTGTCAATCCCAGCATCCAAATTATGAGAAAGCTTGAACTAGCTCCCTAGGTAGCCCTCTGGAGGGGCCCAGTGGAGAGAATCTGAGAGGCTGGAGGCTCCATCCAGTGTAGTGGGCAAACCTTTAGACGATTCCAGACTCCGGAAATTTGTCTTTGAGTTGAAGCCCCAGGATTTGAGGAATAGAATCGGGTTATCTTCACTATACTCTGATCAAATTCCTGACCCCTAGAATCTATGAGCAACAGAAAAAGTATTTAAAATTAAAAAGAAAGAGACGGCTGTGTTATATCACTAATTTATAGGGTAATATGGTGCTTGGCCCCAGTAACTGGCCTATGGATACTAGAGTTTGAAGTCACCTGGAGAATTTATTCCAGAAGTGAGTTGTACTAGAAGTTGGATATCTTCCCTTCCATGTATTTCAAAAGTTTATGTATATTTCATCTCATTTTAAAATAGATTTGCACTGAAAAATTAATACTTAAAACTTTAAGGAAAGCTCTACAGCAAAATGTCAATTGGTAAGAGTTTGGAGGATTGCGATTTTTGTAATAATTTCAGTCCTTAGCTTGGCAAATTTTTCAAGAGTTCTTAACAAATGACAGCAATTATTTACTTGTATATCAACTGCATTCTTAGCCATCATTGAGGTCCCTCAAGTACAATATTTTTAATGAGGATTTCTGAAGTTATAACTCTTTCCCTCATATTATATTTTTAGTCTACGTGTGTTTTAACACTTGTTTCCTAACAGTTTCATTTATGATAATTCTGTCTTCCCAATGTAAGCTGTAGATTTCTTAAGCCATTTTTTTTTTCTGGGGGCTTGGGCTTATAAGAAATGTTCATTAGTGGCCGGGTGCGGTGGCTCACGCCTGTAATCCCAGCACTTTGGGAGGCCGAGGCGGGCGGATCACGAGGTCAGGAGATCGAGACCATCCCGGCTAAAACGGTGAAACCTCGTCTCTACTAAAAATACAAAAAATTAGCCGGGCGTGGTGGTGGGCACCTGTAGTCCCAGCTACTTGGGAGGCTGAGGCAGGAGAATGGCATGAACCCGGGAGGCGGAGCTTGCAGTGAGCCGAGATCCCGCCACTGCACTCCAGCCTGGGCGACAGAGCGAGACTCCGTCTCAAAAAAAAAAAAAAAAAAAAAAAAAAAAAAAAGAAATGTTCATTAGTAATGACTGATGGGAACTGATTTACTTTACACATTTAACTTTCAGTGCCAGGAGTTTCAAAGCAGGTCTGCTGAAGAACAGTGAGAGAATAAGGTAAATCAGAGTTGAAATATTCTTAAGACTAAATAATTTCCTCAAAATACTGAACTTGAGGAGAATTTCATCAGCATTTCTCATAATACAACTCTGTTTTACTTCACAAATAAATCAAGGAGAAAGATTAAAAAGCAGGCAGGTTTTATGGTTGTCAAAGGAAACAATATGCCTTTGGGTATAAAGGAAAATAAAACACTCATAGGGTGACAAATCATTATATGGGTTTTAGATTGCTGCTGGGACAAACTACCACAAATTCCATGGCTTAAAACAACACCAACTTATGATTCTATGGTGCTAGAGGTTAAAAATCTGACATGGGACTCACTGGGCTAAAATTAAGATGGCAGCAGGTCTGTGTTCAATTCTAGAAGCTCTAGAAGAGAATCAGTTCCTCTAATTTTTCAGCATATAGAGGTTCTGGTCCCTTCCCATCTTCAAAGCCAGTTATAGCTGGTTGAGTCTTTCTCACATTGCATCACTCCGACCTCCTATTCTGACTTGCTCTTCCACTTTTAAAGGCTTGCGATGGTTTCCTTGGTGCCACTTGGATAATCCAAGATACCATCCCTATTTTATGGTCAGCTGATCAGTGAATGGCATCGGCAACCTTAAGTTACCTCCTTTGCTGGGTAAAGTAATGCATCCACAGTTTTCAGGCATTATGATGTGGACATCTTTTGGCACTTTATTTTTCTGTCCACCACATTCATTTTGAATGTAGATCTCTATAAAGAAAATATCAGATGCCCAGATGCAGTGGCACAGACCTGTAATTACAGCATTTTGGGAGGCTAAGGTGGGAGGATCTTTGAGCCCAGGAGTTAGGGGCATTTAAAGTAATGCTTTATTTGCATCTTGATCACAAGTACATAGATTTCAACAAAGATCTGTGGGCCAGTTAACGGGTAGTGTGGTCACTGGAAATTGATGGCACCATGTTTCCTTTTAGGAAGAACTGAGAGTACTTGGTTCTTCATTCAAAGGACTCACCTTCATGAGTGTAGCTCTCATGCTTTCAAGGAGGTGAAGTGCTGTGACCGAGTACCCTTGAGTGGTCCAGAGTGCTAGTCCAAGGCATAGCTCCCGGTTCATTGTCAGGGAAATTAAATCCTTGGAAAGTGGCTGGGCCTGTCCACAACGCAGGAAGCCAGCCAGTCCGTGGGGGCCTCTGTGGGTTCTTGTGAGGATGCAGGAGTTCATCTCAATACACCTGCCTCCTCCGTGGCTAATCCCAGTACACTCCTCTCCAAAAGGCCCTTCAGAATCTGAATTTACATCTCCATCATCACCCGAATCAGTGTCCCTTGAGCAACCTTATCGTTTGTCTCCTCAAATGTGCTGAATAGAGCATTCTCCAGTTGGTGAATAAGGGCTTCTAGAACCTACTGATTTTGAGAAACACAGCATCTCCTCTTTCACAGTCATCAAACCTATTAATGCCCAGAGTCAGTGGCCTCTTAAAGTTGCTTAACTGTTTCTCATATATATAGATATGATAAAATACATATATTCATCTCAATACACCTGCCTCCTCCATGGCTAATATATATATTATATAATATATATATTTTATATTTATAATATATATAATATATATATAATATATATTTTATATTTATAATATATATAATATATATATAATATATATTTTATATTTATAATATATAAAATATATATATAATATATATTTTATATTTATAATATATATAATATATATATTTTATAGTTATTATATATAAAATATATATATATTTTATATTTATAATATATGTAAAATATATTTTATATTTATAATATATGTAAAATATATATTTTATATTTATAATATATATAAAATATATATTTTATATTTATTTTAATATATATATATATTGCTGTGACATTTGTTAGTATTGCATATCAGAACCACTCCACACAATGGACTTTGGGAGATTATTTCTTAAGTGCCACTTACCAACTCTGAACACTGTTTGTCTACCTAAACTACTTCCCATATTTTTTACCTGGCAAGCCTCTGCTAATCAATTGATCCTTGAGTACTTCAGATGGAACACCTTAGGACTATGTGAACCCCTACATCACTCCTGCAGGAAGAAAGTGTTTCAGGCTTCCTAAAGGAGAACTTCTCCAAGTTCCCAATGCCAGCTTTATTGGCCTGTCTGCATCTGCTCCCAGATTCTCTACTTTTTCACATGTGCCCAGAAGAGACATATTCCTGCCCCATCTGAAGCCAGCCTCCCATCTGAAACCAGCCTCTCCATTTTTCCACTTGCCAATTCAAGGATGTTACTGCACAACTATGTCCCTTCTCCTTCATGATTACATGATCCTTTTTCCCTTTTGCTTTTTTTTTTTTTTTTTTTGACACTGTATCTTTCTCTGTTGCCCAGGCTGGAGTGCAATGGGGTGATCTCGGCTCACTGCAACCTCTGCCTCCCAGGTTCAGGCAATTCTCCTGCCTCAGCCTCCCGAGCAGCTGGGATTATAGGTGCCTGCCACCACGCCCAGCTAATTTTTGTATTTTTATTAGAGATGGGGTTTCATCATGTTGGCCAGGCTGGTCTTGAACTCCTGACCTCAAGTGATCCACCAGCTTTGCCTTCCCAAAGTGCTGGGATTACAGGCGTGAGCCACTGTACCAGGCCTCCCTTTTCCTCTCTCGATTGTTACTACCACATAAAAATATGCCCTAATATGCCCACAGTAAACTCACTGAATGAACTGCCTGTACTGATTGCCTCTCTTTTTCTCTGCTTTCTATTTTCTCATCAACTGCAGCCAGGCCGCCCAACCCAAGCATCCGGATGCCACCTGTGATCCACGTTGAGAGTCCGTGGTGGCTCTTAGCTCAGCTAATTAACACCCTAACCCTAACGCATACCCTCCTTCTTCATGCGGGTCATGGAACACCACAGGCTTCTCTCCACTCGCCGCCCCTCCCTCTTCTGTTTCTTCTACTGACTGTTCCTTAGGGTGGACGGAGGTTTTCCTTAACTCCCTCATTTTTCTCTGCCTGAGTTCTGAGCCAGTTCAGCCACAGGGAAAGGAGTTGTGCTGATGGGAACCACAACGTGCCTTTTATTTCTGATAAGCATCGGTTGAAATACGTGGCTTCACAACAGCCAGTGGCCTTCCTAATATAACTGCGGAGGGAATCTAATCACCCAAACCGCAGGCTGGTCTTCATGGGGTGGCGTCTCCTCTCTGTGGGTAGTGGATGTGGCAGGAGGATGATGATCTCTTCTGTGCCAGCAAAGAGGAGCTGGGGAGAAGACCGAGGGTGTGGCAGAGCCATTCTGACCAAGCTCCTTTCCCACACTCAGCCATTTTAGTCACTTCTGCTTTACTGGGCCGAAGTGAGCCACAGCAAGGCGAGGCCCAGGGTGTTGGTCCATGTGTTTCTTTCCAGATGGATCCACACGGAACCAGAGAAATGAGAAACTCACGTGGCCCCCAGTGCTGCCCATCTGTTTGTGCTTCTGAACTTCTAGGGGTGGCAACCCCAACACCAACCCCTGCCCCTGGGGCCGGTTTAGTTTTTGTCCTCGGGTGACTGAACTGGATTAAGATGGCATTTTAACTGCAAAGCCATGCTGTACCCAAGGCACAAAAAATGCCACTCTATCATCTATTCTCTTTCCTGTTTCAAATTATGTTCCGGAACATTGCCCAAGAAGGCTCGTAAGAGGTTCTCCAAAAATTATATAAGAACTTATACGTATATGAATAACAAGTGCATTCACTGACTCCAATAGTAAAGTTCCAGCATGAAATGTCTTAACTTTGAATCTAAATTCCCATTGCAAAAGTCCCGGTGAGAAGCCCTGGAAAAAAGGTCAGGGCCTTTGAAAGTTAAAGTTCCAAGTGGAATTATCTTAGTTTATGAGTTGAGTGTCTGAGGAAATTAAAGTGCAAACATTACTCTGTTTCTTATCGCTCTCAGCTGGGGCTGGGAGAGGCGTGTTCTTCCAGCAGCTGCAGGTTGGCCTCTTTCCTGGGATGGCTATTCTCCCTCCAGCCCCTCAACAGCCGTGCCTGTCCTCAGTGCCTCAGAGAGCAGAGAGTCTCTGCTTCATCCAGCACTAGCCTCAGTCTCAAAATAGGCAGAATGAAACAAACACCCAGTTCCATGGAGTTGTTTTTTGGAGCAACCTAATAGGGTTTTATTACTCTGATTTCAAAGGTCCAGTCAGTGCTTAACCCGTCGAAGAGGTTGACTGCCACCTGAGGAATGAGTAGCTGGAAAAGTGGGGCAGATGGGGAAAATCCTAGCTCTTCCCAGGTCTCCTGACAACCAGTCACATTTTCAGTGTTTTCCGCTGACTTCCCTGGTGAAACCCTCTAAACTGTCCATACTTGTGAATCCACTTTGTCTTGCTATCACACTGGGAAAGCCCTGCCCCTCAAGATTTTTCCAAGAACCTTCCCTTTTCAATCATAAGAAGGTACAAATCAATAGCTTCACCAATCAGTACTTTCCTGGATCTCAGATCCTTCTGATAGTCATGCTGCCTAGTCCCTGGGTTTGTTCCTTCTTATTCTGCCAGAGGTTCTGGGCCTCCATCACTGTGCAGCAGTGAAAACGCATCCTCTTCTGTGCCACTTTCACAGAGAGAAACGGGCCCAGGCGTGCCTCATTTTCCCCTTGCTATCATCTTATTCTGGCCTTAAAGATCTGAATTTCCCCATCATATCTCTGCAGCTGTTTTCGAATGGGTTATTCTTTCTCTCCAACAATCCTCCTCTTTTTCTACTGGAATCAGGATGTTTCTTTATTTCTTTTCATTCTCACCCTGCTCTTGTTCTGCTGGTGAGATTGAAACTTATTTTTCAGACCACTCCCGAGATTCCACCGTGAATCTGCCAAAACAAATTGCCTTCAATTTGATGGCTTAAAACCATAGTGATTTATTTTCTTAGAGTTCTAGAAGCCAGAGTTTAAAATCAAGGTGTCACAGTGGCCATGACCTCTCCAAAGCCTCTGTGGAGGGACTCTTCCCCACCTCTTCCAGCCTCAGTGTCACCCAGCGTTCTTGGCTCTGAGTTCACAACCCCAGTCTCCACCCATGTCTCACCCAGCGTTCCTGACCCCAGTCTCTGCCTGTGTCTCACTCAGCATTCCTGGCTGTGACCAGACAACCCCAGTCTCTGACCGTGTCTCACCCAGCCTTCCTGGCTGTGACCAGACAACCCTAGTCTCTGCCTGTGTCTCACTCAGTGTTCCTGGCTGTGACCAGACAACCCCAGTCTCCAACCGTGTCTCACCCGGCCTTCCTGGCTGTGACCAGACAACCCTAGTCTCTGCCTGTGTCTCACTGAGCATTCCTGGCTGTGACCAGACAACCCCAGTCTCGGCCTGTGTCTCACTCAGTGTTCCTGGCTGTGACCAGACAACCCCAGTCTCCGCCTATGTCTCACTCAGCGTTCCTGGCTGTGACCAGACAACCCCAGTCTCTGCCTGTGTCTCACTGAGCATTCCTGGCTGTGACCAGGCAACCCCAGTCTCGGCCTGTGTCTCACTCAGTGTTCCTGGCTGTGACCAGACAACCCCAGTCTCTGCCTGTGTCTCACTTAGCGTTCCTGGCTGTGAGCAGACAACCCCAGTCTCTGACTGTGTCTCACCCAGCCTTCCTGGCTGTGACCACACAACCCCAGTCTCTGCCTGTGTCTCACATGGAGTTCCCCTTGAATGTCTGTTTCTCTGTGTCTTCTCTTCTTCTTATGAGGACACCCATCATTGGATTGAAGACCATCCTGAATATAAGATTTTTTCCCCCTGAGATTCTTAATTAATTATATCTGCATAGGCTCCATTTCCAAATACAATAACATTCTGGGGTTCTCGATAAAATAAATTTGGGGAGACATCATGGAATCTACTACACTGTATAACTCAACAAGTTGGCATACATTTTTCTTTTCCTATTAATGTCACTATTTTCAGTAAAAGAATTGTGTGTGTGTGTGTGTGTGTGTGTGTGTGTGTGTGACAGGGTCTTGCTCTTTTGCCCAAGCTCAACCTCCCAGATTCTAGCCATCCTCCCACCTTGGCCTCCTAAGCATCTGAAACTACAAGTGCATGCCACCACACCTAGCTATTTTTTTTTTTTTGTAGAGACAGGATTTAGCCATGTTGCCCAGGCTGGTCTTGAACTTCTGGGCTCAAATGATTCTCCTGTCTTGGCCTTCCAAATTGCTGGGATTACAGGCATGAGCAACTGAGGCCAGCCACTTTCAGAAAAATTTACAGTTCTTCTTCAGGAGAGTTATGTAGAATCTGTATTTCAGAAATATAAAGCCATCCATGGTCACAGTGCATATAAGTAACATATCCAGAACTCATTTAAACAACATGCTGGGGCTGGCTTTTGAGCCGCTGGGATAGCCTCACAGATTCCAATCTGAATCCCTTGTGGTTTCATTCCTGGCCTCTGAAGGAAATTCAAAGGGGGAGTAAAATTTAATGAGTTGCCCTAACACTACTGGCACCAAATCTTCAAAGACAGAACTTCACCTGTGCTTTCTACCCATATTGAACTCAGAGGTCTTTGCTATTTAAAGTTTCAAACTACATTACAAAACCTAAGTCTTTGCCACCAGGAGACCCATCTAAGTAACACAGTAAAAGAAGCAAATAAATATTCTTCCTAATGATGTAAGGCCTATATATGGAAAGTCTAATATTTCCCTTTACACACATTCTAGCCGTGACTGCACCTGTTACTAAATCCCAGGACCTCTTTTAAAAATAAATGTTCTGCAGCTGTAAACACAAGGCCCCTGAGTCTCAGTCCCACTGGACCCACACTTACTCAAGGCATGTTCTTCTGTCCCAGACGACACAATTTAGAAGCCAGATTTCACAAATGGGAACCCAACCACATGGCTCAGTAGATGTCCTCACCATCGTCAAGGGGCTTAGCAAAGCCCTGTTCCTAAAGCTGCCATTGAACTCTGTTTCCCAAAGGCCACTCTTTGTCTCCCAAGGTTACTGGGATAGATGCCAGAAGTGAAGGCTCGAAGGAGCTAATCCACTCCCCCACTCTCATCCCTGTCCAAATTCTGAACCAATCGAGAGATAGACAAAGGGGAGAGAGACGGAACTCAACAAAGATAATTATGTAAAACTAGACTGGAAATGTAGCTTAGGTCC